>NC_000012.12:130413619-130715243 GCF_000001405.40 Homo sapiens | reverse complement strand
AGGAGGGAGGGAAGGGGACCCTGTCCAGCCCCATATTTCTCTCACGGAGGAGCCCTGAAGGAGACTCTGCTCACAAGGGTGAAAACCCCACTTCGTCCAGGGAAGGGAAATGTCACAGATGGAGCAGGCCTGAGAGGAGGGAGAGCGGCTCCCTCTGAAAATGGAAGATCGGTGGGAAGAGGAGGTGTCCGGGCTCTGGGCCCTGCGGCAGGCCAGGCTGCTGGGCTCTGAGCAGGAGTGGGCAGGGGAGGGGAGCTGGCGTGCAGGCTCACTCACCCGGTTTCTAAGGGGAACAGTGGGGGAAGGCTCTAAAAAATCACCACCTCCCCCACGCACATGGCCCCTCCCTGGCTCCCTCCCAGCCTTGCTGGGCTGTCCGGGAATCAGCTTCAGACTCATCCCCCGCTGGGCTGTGGGGTCTTGGCTTGTCCTGTGAGACATGATCCCAAGCTCCCAGTGGGATGGGCAGGGTCTGACCGGCTCCGGAGGTTCCCTGGGGGCACGGTGTGAGGGGAAGGCCGGCGGGCACCCCTTCTGCAGTGGGGGGTGGTGGGGCGTGCCTGGGGTCGAGGGCTGTGCCGTGGCCATATGGCAGCCGCCTGGGGCCCAGAGTGGAGCCCTTCCAGGTTATTTCAGGGAAGGCGCTGGCAGCGGCTATTCCCCCGTGCCCCTTCCTAGAGGATGGCAAACTGGGTCAGGGAGAGGGTGGCACTGCCCACGTGCCCGGGAGACAGGAAGATGCTGGCGCTATGGGGGCCGCCCCCCACGCAGGAGGCAGGCGCCACGCAGCCCTCCCCGGGGCATAGCAGCCGGCCTCCCCCATGCTGCAAGCCCGGCAGAGAACCCCAAGCCTGCAGAGTCCGGGGGTGGGCGTGGGTGGTGGAGAAGCCTCCCAGGTGAGGCCAGCGTGCAGCCGGGCTGAGAGCTCCTGGCCATGAAGATGAAAAGACAAGCGGTGGGCCCTACACTGTAGCTTTCAGTTTCATCTCTTTGGCCCCATGCACTGTTGGCGCCTGGAAGAGACCAGCATGTGCTCAGGGGGCGGGAGGAGAGGCAGGAGCTGGCTCTTTCCTGAGCTTGCTTCGCTTTCCATTTCAAATCCACCCCCTGCCACGTTTGTATTTTTGGAGTCTGGTTGAAGTTTTAATTGGAGCAGCGATTCTCACACGTTGGTGAGCGCTGGCATCCTGGCGGGTGGGTTAAGGGGCTACAAATCTCAGAACCTCTGATCCAGCAGGTCTGGGGAGGAGCCGGGAATCCGCATTCCCACGCAGTCCCAGGGGAGGTGGAGGCATCCAGGGACCCCACTTTGAGGATCCTTGAATACAGCGTGACCAGGAGGCGCTTTACGCATCTCTGGGGCATGTTGCCAGCTCTCTGTTGGCCTTTGGCTGAGGTCATACATGAAGCTGAGTGCACGCCTCATAGGTTGGTCTAGACCCGCAAGTGCCAAACCTCAGGGACCAGAGGGCCTGACCCGGGAGCTTCCTTTGTGTCCGGGAGTCTCCCTAGGGCACGGCAATGAGCATCTGTTCCAGGTGGGCGGAGACTTGCCGGCTGAACGTCTCAGTGTTTCCCACTTCTGCCCCAAGGTTTGGAATCCGCGTGGTGCTGGGAACCCGGGGGAGAACCGGATCGGCTGTGCTGGTCTCTTGTTGATCAAGCAGAGCTGCTGATTCCAGAAAACTCTGTTCTCCACTTACCTCATCCCGTGTAGATAGTGGTAGTGCATGGCTTATGTCCTCAGTTTCTCTTTTGACTTTCACCCATTTGAAAAGCTGTCTGATCCCCTATGGTGTGGGAGGAGGCTTGCAACCAGCTGAGGACACCTGCATCTCTTGTTGGTGATGCTGGTGCCACCACCCTTGTGTGCAAAGGGCAACCAGCTGAGGACACCTGCATCTCTTGTTGGTGATGCTGGTGCCACCACCCTTGTGTGCAAAGGTTTCACTGAACCATACTCCTCAGTCCTTCCTTCCTTCCTTCCTTCCTTCCTTCCTTCCTTCCTTCCTTCCTTCCTTCCTTCCTTCCTATCTTCCTTCCTTCCTTCCTTCTTTCCTTCCTTCCTTCTTCTCTCACTCTTTTATTCCGTTTCTTTCAGTCTCTGTCCCCTTCTTCCCTCTCTTTCTCTCCTTTTCTCTCCCTCTTTGTTTTTTCTTTCCTTTTCTCTCAGTCTCCCTCCCTCCCTCATTCCTCCTCTCCCTCTCTCAGTCTCTCTCTCTGACTCACCCCTGCTTGTGTCCACCACTGGGCCACGCTCCTGTGTGGATCCATCTTTCCTTGAAGAAAATCTCCCAGATGACGCCCTGCATAAGAAGGACATTTCCATCAGTGAAGACCATGCGTACTGCGGTGGCTGTGCGATTAGAACAGACCTGAAAGATCCCCATCCCAGTGTGGCTGTCGTAGCTGCTCAGCTTGAAGCTTTAGTCTCACGTGTTTAGTGACGATGGTGTGGGTGAACCCACTGTGCTGCCTGGAGTGTGAACGTCCAGCACATACAGTCATGCATGGACATGATGCTCGATGATAATAAATGACTATGTTACTGGCTTATGGATTTACTGTAACTTTTATCATGATTTTAGAGTGTATTGTTTCTACTTATTAAACAAAAGTGAGCTGTGGAACAGCCTCCGGCAGGTCCTTCAGGAGGGATCCGACAGCAGGCATGGCCATCGTGGGAGGCGACGGCACACCTTGTGTTATTCCCCTGGAGACCTCCCAGCGGGACAGGACGTGCAGGTGGAAGGCGGTGATGTGATGATGCTGGCCCCGGGGAGGCCTAGGTGAACGTGTGTGTTTATGTCTTAGCTTTTAACAGCAAAGTTTAAAAAGCAAACAAACAAAAAAATCAAATAGGGAAAAGCAAATAGATGAGGATATAAAGAAAGAAATTATTTTTGTACAGCTGTACAATGTGTGTTTTAAGCTAAGTATTATTACAAAAGAGTCCAAAAGGTAAAAAATTAAGAAATGTATAAGGCAACGAAGTAAGCTGAGGGCAGTTATGGAAGAAAGAAGAATATTTTTGTATAAATTTAGCGTAGTCTAAACGTGCAGCCTCTGTAGGGTCTACAGACACGTACAGGAATGCCTGGGCCCTCACGTCCACTCCTCACTCACTCACTCACCCACCCAGAGTCACTTCCAGTCCCGCAAGCTCCATTCATGCTAAGCGCCCTATACAGGTGCACCATGCTTTATCTTTTAGATCTTACTTCCGCTGCCTCTCTTCTATGATTAGATGCAGAAGTACTCACCATTGTGTGGCAGTGGCCTACAGTACTCAGTACAGTCACGGGCTGCACAGCTGTGAAACCGGAAGCAATGGGCTTGCCCATCGAGCCAGGGCGTGGAGGAGGCTGTGCGGCCCGGGCGTGTGTGCAGTGTACCTGTGTGTGAGGTGCGCTCAGTGACGAAATCACCTAATGAGGCATTTCTCCGAACGCATCCTTGTTAAGCAAGGCGTGACTGCATTTATCTTTGAACAAGCCAGTCACACTGTACTAGGGTTTGTGGGGTTAGAAGTATTCATTTATGAGGTGGGTCCCTGAAAAGTAACATTTAATCTAAATCTATTTTAACTTTTTTGTGGTTATTTTCATATGTGTGAGAAGCAAATGCATCTGTAATGAGAAACCTTCACACAATATAAACTTTAAGTCCAAATGACGTCCTAAGTAAATCACTCCAAATAGCATCTTCAAAAAATGGAGAAAAAAGACAAAGCACACTCATTTTAAAAGCCCAGAATAATCTTGATACAAAACCCCAGTGAGGCCATCAGAAGGAAGAACATGTGCTGGCCAAACTCTCATGGTCACAGACACCACATTCTAAGTCAAGTATTAGTAAATTAGAAAATGGAATCCAGCAAAACGTGAAAAGGGTAATAGACATTTCTTAATTTTTCCCTGGACAAGGAACCTCAGAAAATGGAGGAAATTGGGGCTTCTCTGGATTTGTGAGAGGCTGGATAGCTTCTTTTTTTTTCTTTTGAGACAGAGTCTTGCTCTGTCACCCAGGCTGGAATGCAGTGTCATGATCTCAGCTCACTGCAGCCTCCGCCTCCTGGGCTCAAGCGATTCTCCTGCCTCAGCCTCCTGAGTAGCTAGGATTACAGGCGTGGGCTACCACGCCCGGCTAAGTTTTGTATTTTTAATAGAGATGGGATTACGCCATGTTGACCAGGCTGGTCTTGAACTCCTGACCTCAGGCGATTTGCCCACCTTGGCCTCCCAAAATGCTAGGATTACAGGCATGAGCCACTGTGCCTGGTCAGATAGCCTCTTCTTAATGCTCACCTACACGAGAAAGGGAGGTGGCTGTCAGGGCTCCATGGGACCCCACGTGTGACGTGCGGGGCCTGTGAGGATTGGGAGCAGTGGGGCTTGTGGAGGAGCAGGTAGAGCAGGGAGAGGCCTGAAGACGTCCATTTGGGATATTCTCATTTGTTGGTGTTTTGTGGTCTGTCATTAGTAGGTGCTGGATAAGCACTTGCTGGAGAGACCCAGTGTGGGAGATGAGGGGGGCTCTCTCCTTGGCCTAGCTGTGTGGACAGGTCCTTCCTGTTGGTGCTGAGCCTGGGGCGGGGGAGGTGCAGCACCTGCCACTTCTCTATCTGTGTGGGACCCAGGAAGGCAGGGCATGACCTATTCATTCAGCAAACCTTTAAGCACCTGCTAAATACTGACTCACATTTTAGGTGAGCAGTGAACAAGCTAGAGGAGGGTGCTGCCCTCATGGGGAGCACACATGTGTGTGTGTACGTGTGTGTGTGTATGTGTGTGTGTGCGCCTGCGTGTATGTGTGTGTGTGCATGTGTAAGACAACGGGCAAGTGAATGAATAATCACTACACCAGAGACAGCTGCCCTGATGGAGTGCCCAGCAGAGGGTTCCAATGGCTGATGTCAGGGGCCGCACCTGGATGATCTGGGAGGGTCTCAGGGAGGAGGTGGCGTTGAAGCTGAGACAGGACCCTGAGAAGGAGCCAGAGGTGCAGACACCTGGGAGAGAGGTTCAGGCCCCGAGGGCAGAGGGAGGAATGGATCTGCGAGCTGCTCGGTGGCTTTGATTCTCATAGGTATGTGCAGAAATTGCTCCTTGGGTGTTTTTGGAGCAGCTGGGACCACAGGGGCTGCAGAGCCAACCCCTCTCCTGGAGACCCTCGGTGTCCACCCGTGAGCTCCCAGGGATACCCGGAAACCAGGGGGCCAGTGGTGTACTTTTTGTCATTTCCATCCATGGGGAGTTGGTCATGGTGTCCCTTTGGGTGGAAGGTCCTCCTTGCCCCTCCTATGCCTCTTACCGCGCTCCTTCCCCTGCCTCCCTCCTGCCCAGTGCTACCAAAAAGAAAGCCCATTTGGCCATTTTGGCAGCAGGGGCCTCCTGAGGGGGCCTGGGGGTGCGTTGGTACAGGTTCCTCTGATTAAACGCTCCTGGTGCCACACCCAGTGTGTGTCCGCGATGGGAATGTCAGGAACGGGCCGCTGGGTTGGGTGGGAAGGGGGGGGGTTTCCTCAAGGCATTCTTCATGCTTATTACCGACGTGGTTTCCAAGAGCAGGAACACACCCCATCACGCTGCCCCTGTACCTCCTTGGACGGAGATATTGGGACGGGGGCAACAGGCAGCTTTGTTTCCGACTCTTCCTTCCCTCTCCCTGAGAGGGGAGCCCCAAAATCTTGGGAAACGTGCCTTGACTCAGCTCCAGGTCTGTAAAGCGCTCCATGTTCAAGGGCCAAGGGCTCGAGCTGCGTGTTGACTCCTTAGCCTGGAGCTGCCCCGCAGGCTGCGGGTGCCAGAGCTCTGCTGTCGGGCGTCACGCCCAGAGACCTGCCCCAGCCCCAGCTGTGGTGTGGGTTCTGCGTCTTCAGCCTGTGGCTGAGTCCCCAGTGCCCAGCGAGTGGCTGAGACCTGGCTGGGGCTCAATAATTGTCTCTGTGGGAAGGGTGGATGCAGCGAATGGCAGTTGGGGCCCCGGGAGGGCCATGCCTCTGTCCAGACAGTTCCCCAGCTTCCTTCCTGCTTGTCCCCAAGCCCACCAGCCCTGGTGACTGCCTCCTGCATCGTGGCTTCTGGATCGTGAGAATTAAAGATGGGAAGTTGTGTAAACAGCTTTTCCAGCTCAAATGCAGCAATGCATCGGACTGCTGTTGCCGGCACGTTGCTGGGTGCCTTCCTCGGTTACATGCATGACACAGCCCTTCTGCGGCAGGCCCTGTTGCTCATGTAGACCCATTTTACAGATGAGACAATAGTCTTTGAGAGATGGAGGGGCTCTCTGAAGATCACACAGCTGGGGAGAGATGGGCCCAGTTTCAAACCCGGGCTGCCTGACCGCGAAGCTGGGTTGGGACTACAGCGCTGCAGGACCTGTGAGATCCCAGAGAAGCTGGGGCGGAGCCGGTTCTGGGTCAGATGCAGTCCCAGGGAGCTCTGAAACACGCCTGTGTCCAGGGCCCACGCGAGCCTCTTAGAGAAGGTGCAGTGAGCTGGGGCGCAGGTATAACAGTATTTTCAAAGCAGCTTTATTTCACTAATTTGTTTTTTTGAGACAGGGTCTCACTGTGTCGCCCAGGCTGGAGTGCAGTGGCATAATCCCGGTTCACTGCAGCCTCGACCTACAGGCTGAGGTGATCCTCCCACCTCAGCATCCTTTGTATCTGGGACTGCAGGCGCGTGTCACCATGCCTGGCTAATTTTTTATATTTTGTAGAGACAGGGTCTTGCTATGTTGCCCAGGCTGGTCTCAAACTCCTGGACTCAAGCGATCCTCCTGCCTCAGCCTCCTGAAGTGCTGAGATTATAGGCACGAGCCACCATGCCCAGCTTTAAGACTGCTTTACTGAGATATAACTTACCTACCATCCAATTCATCCATCTAAAGTACAAGTCAGGGGTTGTCAGTATATTCAGAGTTGTGCAACCATCACTGTCATCAATGTTAGAACATTTTCATCACCTCAAAAAGAAATTGCCATTAAGCAACCAGTCTCCTCTCTCCTCTCCTCCCAGCCCTGGCAACTGCGAATCTGCTGTCTCTATAGATGTCCCGCCGTGGACATCTTACGTGAACAGAATCATACTACACATGGTCCTCTGTGGCCGGCTTCTTTCCCTCAGCACAGCATCCTCAAGGTTCACCCGTGTTGTGGTGTGTGTCAGAGCGTCATCTCTTTTTATGGCTGAATAATATTCCACTGTGTGGCTGGACCACATGTTTACCCACAGGCATCAGTACTTTCTAAAAGGCCTGAGATTATTGCAAATATAGTCATGTGTAATGCGTATAGTCTCTCTCTCTCTCCCTCTCTCTCAATCCCCCCATTTCTTGGCTAAGCATTTGCTTTGCCAAACATGTCCTCTTCCCAGCCTCTATCTAGCTGTTGCCTACATGTGATCCACTAATATCCGCCACTTTCCCTTCACATCCTGATTCTGAGCTCTTCTTGCTCGGGCCGCCTCGGTCCCCTTGGCCAGAGACCCCTGGTCTTGTCCCTGGGCCACACTGCCTCAGCGCCCCCAGGCCTCCTGTGTCCACCTCTGCCTGCAAGTCACTCTCACACAGCAGCCAGAGGGCTCCTGTTGGAAACGGCTCAGTCCACGCCCACTCTTGGAAGCTTCTGATTGCATTTATTCTCACTTAGAGCAAGCGCAAGGGCCTCCTGATGGCCACAGGCCTGCCAGCTCTTCCTCCTTCATGTCTTTGTCTGGAAGGCTCTTCTCCCAGCTACTCACTCATCATGTTGTTCAGGGCTCTGCTCAAAGGTCACCGCCTCTGAGAAGCCTTCCCTGACTGCCTGCCATGACAGCAGCCATCTGGACCTCCTGTCCTATCACCTGTTCTGTTTCTTGATGTGCCTCCCTCCCTCCCCATGGGAGGACTCCTGGGCGTGGGGGGGACCTTGTTCCCTGCTCCTCCCAGTTGCCTCCCTTCAGGTGGGCACCGTTCCATTCTGTGAGGGCACGAATCCTCTGCGTACCTATGCCAGCATCTGCAGCTGGATACGACTGGCAGTTGGAAGTTCTGAGTGTGTCTGCGTCTTTCCGGGTTGTTCTGTGACCCCACCGCTCTTCCTGCTCTCAGGCCTGGGTGTCCCCTGGGCCACTGTCCTGTGTATACCCCGGCCTGCTTCAGCTCTCACGCCCGGGCCCTGCTCAAGAACAGGAAAGAGAATCTTGTCGCTTGAGGACACGTTCAGTTACTTGATGTTTTCTTGGTCATTTCAGGATTTCACATTGTTAATTTAGGATTTTTCTCTCTTCCATGGGGTAGGGCTGGGAAGGTGGGTCTCTCAGCAGAGGCACAAGCTAGACCTGGCGGAGCTTGTGGGAAATGCCCATTCTCCATCAATCTGCAGAATGAGCCTGCGGCATTTGGGACCACTGGCGGCTGCCGAATCACTGCATGATAATTTTGGTGATAAGTCTGTTTGGAGAGCAATAGCATGAGCCATGAAAACAAGAGCCGGCCTCATTGAATCCTCACCGTACCCCAGGCCTGTTCTGCACTCTTCCCACCAGCTAGCTCATTTAACTGTCAAAAGGCACCAACACCCAGAAAGGTTAAGTCACTTGCCCAAATCCTTATGGCTCCTGAGTGGAGCAGCCAAGATTCACTGGGCACTTTCGCCAGAGCGCCTGCCCCTGGCCACTACGCCATGCTGCCATGGGGAGCGCGGACCTGCCTGTGCCCCACAGCATCTGTGCGGGGAGCTGCTCCGTGAACGTGTCCCTCGGAAGCAGCCTTCACTGGTGGAATTAGCCACAGTCACAGGGCAGAGTCTGGAGCCAGGCTGGCAGGCCCCGATCTCTGCTCTGCTACTTCCGGCTGTGTGACCACAGGCTCTCTTCTGAACCTCTCTGCGCTTTCGTTGTCTTATCCATAAAATGCAGGTAACAATAGCATCCGTCTTCTCCTCGACGGATTGTTATTGAAGGCATTCACTGGGGAAAAGTGCTTAGTATCTTGCAACACTCAATAAAGATTAGCAATTGCCTTTATTTCCATTCAGATGGGGACGGCAGAAGGGGTGCTTTGATGATTAAATGACTTCAATGGCACAGAGCATTTAGAACAGGGCCTGGAATAGTGTGAGGGTTCAACAAACATTAGCTATTACGATTCCTGCTATTATTATTAAACTCCAAACAGACCAATCATTAGCATGTGAATGGAATTAGTAGAATAATACAGATAGTCCCAGAAACGGGTCCTCTGAAGCTTGTGCAGCCCAGATTTCTTGTAGATGCTTCCGCAGTGTATTTATTTTTCCTTTCTCATGAGCAGAG
Organism: Homo sapiens; assembly: GCF_000001405.40. Classification (NCBI taxonomy): domain Eukaryota; kingdom Metazoa; phylum Chordata; class Mammalia; order Primates; family Hominidae; genus Homo; species Homo sapiens. The sequence goes on along the minus strand of NC_000012.12, from coordinate 130,705,944 downwards.
CTGTCTAAAGTGTGTGCGAAGTGAGCCGGTCACGGTAGGAGGGAGACACTTTTGCACGAAGTAACCATCAGCATTTTTGTGACCTTGCAGGGATGGGTAGGCTGGGAAGAGAACGGCTTCTGCCTCCGTTGGTCCCAGCCACACCTGGCCACCCCATTGGTGGGCGTTTGCCTTGGGGCACTGGGCCTGCCCTGTCTGTGTTGGGACGTTTTTGCAGGCTGGGCGCCTGTGGCCCTGCAGCAGTTCACTCCTGCCATACCCAGTGTGCTCCAGCGTCACAGAAGGAGAGAAAGAGCAGGAAAGCGGTGTGCAGCAGGAGAGGCGTGAGAACCGCAGAGAAACACAGCAAACGCCTGTGCTGAGTTGTTCGTTAGTGAGGAGCTGGTCAGGAAGAGCGTTTTACAGGGAACCACGTGGGCTCCTGTGTGGGCCTGGGACAGCTGCGTCCCTTCCCTGCCAGCCTCTCCCCCAGGAGGCTTCTGTGGCCCACAGTCACGGACATGACAAATGGGGAAACTGAACCTCCTTTTCCCCAGAGGTGAAAGATGCGTTAGGAAGCACAGGGCGGTGGTGCGGCAGCCAGGGCCCCGGTCTTTGTTGCGTGGTGACTGGCCGGGAGGCTCCGGGCGGCTTCATGAGCCTGTCTAGTCTTGGTCTCTGCTTTTCACCAGTGGGAATATTAACATCTCATTGGTTCTCCTGGGCTTCGGGTGTGCAGGCATCTTCTTCCTAACTCATGCATCCTCCAGTGTCATTGATTTGTGAAAAACTCAGTTTCAGGCACATCCGTGTGACTCTGAAGGCGGAACCAGAGCAATGTGGCCACGGAGAGGAGCCCCCAGAGGCAGCCGGTGCTGGCAGAGGCAGGGATCCTCACGCAGCTTTGGAGGGAGCTGGTCTTGCCACCCCGGCTTCTGGGCTTCTGGCCTCTAGATCTATGAGAGAAGAGATGTGTGTTGTTTTGAGCCTCCCAGTTTTTTGTCATTTGTCATGGCAGCCCAGGAAACGAGCACAGGAGGGTATCACTGTCCCCACCATCGTGGAGACAGGGACTTGGACGCACAGACAGGTGAAGCAGCTAGCCCAAGATCACATAGCTAGAGAGCAGCGATGCCAGGACCTGAACCGGTGACCCTGGTGGTGGAGCCCCGGAGCCTCGGCCCGTCTTGCAGGTGCTCTCTGGCTGGCAGTCTACGCTTTGGGAAACAGACCTGTGGAGGCGGTGGTGGCAGGGCGAGGGGTTATGAGTCCACGGAGGGAACACCTTTGGAAAGTGGGTTAGAAAATGCGGAGTGCCATCTAATTAATTTGAGATTTAAAAACTTCCCTTTAGAAGCCATTTACTTTTGTTTATTATTATTATTATTATTGAGATGGAGTCTGGCTCTGTTGCCCAGGCTGGAGTGCAGTGGCATGATCTTGGCTCACTGCAACCTCTGCCTCCCGGGTTCAAGTGATTCTCCTGCCTCAGCCTCCAAAGTAGCTGGGATTACAGGTGCCCGCCACCATGCCTGGCTAATTTTTGTATTTTTAGTGGAGACAGGGTTTCGCCAATTTGGCCAGTTGGTCTCAAACTCCTGACCTCAGGTGATCCACCTGCTTTGGCCTCCCAAAGTGCTGGGATTACAGGCATGAACCACCACCCCTGGCTTTTTGTTTATTTTTTAAACAAGACGTCAGGAGCCCAGCCCTAATGAGAGCTGCTTTGGGACGCGGGTTGAGTTGCCAGGGCCCACAGAGCACCCTCCCTCTGCCTCCTCGGTCCTCGTCCCTCCTCCTGCACTTCCTCTGTCCTCCCTGCCTGTGTTCTGGTGCCTGGAGGGAAGTCGACCTGGCCATGGGGTGCTTCCCCAGCTGCTTTCCAGATGAAACTGAGGTTTTAAAATGCTGCTTCATCTGGAAGGATGGGGCTCCGATTTATAGCTTTCTTGGTACAGAAAGGGAGATATTTAAGGGAGACTTTGCTGATGTCCCTAAAGTAGCAGGAAGGTGGTGTGTTCCCCTCACCGGTGAGCACAGCTGGGGCACTGCCTCCCAGGGTGGTCGGGCCCCAGACCTCTGCGCTGCGTTCAGGCTCAGGCTCAGGGTTCCCTCCGTGCTTCTAGATCGATCTCTCTCTCTCTCTCTGTATTTCCTAAGCTGTTCAATTGTGGGTGCTGTTTTCCTTTCTTCTCCCCTAGGAAACACCGTTTCAAACGCACTCCCAATATACTACACATGACAACTGAATCTTATTTAAGACGTGGAGAAGCCACCCGACCCCAGGGGAGGCTGAGCGGTGGGTGATGTAGAGCGCTAATCAGGGTTAGGCGGTGGCCCCTAGTCACGTGAGGGCTAAAGCGCCCGGATCCGATTACGGGATCTGATGGAGCCCATGCCAGGGCCCGGCCCTCAGACTGCGGCTCAGCCCTGAGCTGAGCACCGGGTGGTCGCAGCAGTGGGTGAGGGATTGGGGAGGGCAGGCGGGTGGCCGAGGGAGTGCCCGTGCCACGCTTTTAAAAAACAGTGATCGTTTGAGAATACAGCACTCTTCCCACCACAGTTCTAACACAAGGTCATTTTCAAACACTGATGTTAGATGGTGATTTTCTTATTAGTGAATTAGGGATTCTTGGGCAGGCTTCATAATAAGTGCAGGAAACTGAAAATGTCCAGGGCGGAGGGGGAGCCCGCCTGGAGGTTAATCGGGGTGCACAAGGCCAACACCAGGCGTCATCTGTCAACCAGGAGGGTGACTCTCCTGGTTAATTGGCTGCCCCCATGCTAGGAGGCCGGACCACTTTGGCAACTGCAATTATCTCCAACTGCCAGGCAAAGAATCCCACCCCTGGCCTGCTGCAGTGACCTGGTGACCTGGAGGCATTACAGGAAAATCCTGTTCTAATGAACTTCTCCGGGCATCTGAGTAGCAGCAGCATTTTTCTGAAATGAATAAATTGCTGGAAATCACAGTCTCATTGTCTCAGCCCAGGAGGAAAGAAGTAGATGCTCTCAACCCCTGTTGAGGCAGGTCCCGGCTGAGCACCCGGGATGGTTGATTTCATGGAATTTCCATACAGCCCTATGATTAATTCCAGTTTTATGGATGAGAAAAGAGCGGCCCCAAGAAATTAAGCAACTTGTCCAAAGGTGCACAATTTGTAACTGGGTTTGGGGAAGGGGCCCAAGATTCCGATCAGGATCATCTGATTCCAGGGCCTCTGTCCTCACCGCCCGGCCATGGTTCTTACTAAAAGAAATTAATACTAACAAAACAGGAAGGGCTTGCACACAGCCTGTCTTGCTCTCACACACACCATTCCTATTTTCTTCTCCTTCATCTTACATGTGGTTCCTTCCTTCCTTCCTCCCTCCCTTCTTCCTTCCTTCCTTCCTTCCTTCCTTCCTTCCTTCCTTCTTTCTTGTTTTTTATTTTTTTATTTTTTTTTTGAGACAGAGTCTTGCTCTGTTGCCCAGGCTGGAGTGCAGTGGCATGATCTCAGCTCACTGCAACCTCTGCCTCCAGGGTTCAAGTGATTCTTCTGCTTCAGCCTCCCAAGTAGCTGGGATTACGGGCATGTGCCAACACACTCAGTTAATTTTGTATTTTTAGTAAAGATGGGGTTTCTCCATATTGATCGGGCTGGTCTCGAACTCCCGACCTCAGGTGATCCACCCACCTGGGCCTCCCAAAGTGCTGGGATTACAGGCATGAGCCACTGTGCCCGGTCCCACATGTGGTTATTTCATTGCTCTTGGTGGTGGAGGCAATTTGGAAATTTACCCAAAATCATTGCTAAGGGTTCAGCTAGAGAGAAGCTTAGATTTTCCTCCCCCACTGTAATGCAAACAGCTGGGACCCTTGTTGTTTAGTTAGGAAGAGTATGTGTCTTGTGGGCTGGGCTCATCCTCGTACTGGATTATTGACTGAAATTGGCTGGCCACAGGGAGCAACATCCACATGGGGGCCTCTTTCGTGCCGCATTATGTTTTGGTGGGCCTTGTGCCTGCAGTCCCTTCCCTAGAGCATCTGTTCCTTCTAGAACATACGTGTGTGGGCTGCATGTACCTCCAGCGGGGTGAAGGAAGCATTATGGGAAGGGGTGGGCCATGGCAACCCTGATCCCGGCTCCTTGGTTTTAAGGCAGGTTGTCAGGTATAACTTGTTTTGCCCACTGAGTTGAAGGATGCGTTATTTAAAGACGTGCTATTATTTGGCCCAAAGATCTTGAAGAAAAACAATGAATTTTGCAGCTTCCCACACTGTCAAGCAGGAGCGATTTGTGTCCCATGGCTTTGAGGGGGCTCAAGTCAGCATCAGGTGCTACAGTCGGTCTCACAGTCTCACGCCTTCCTTGCTCAGACACCTTCCCCTACAACGTGCCCAGCAAGGTACTTTTCACCCCATGTTCAGACGCGGGCCTGACTGTGAAGGTTTCCTGTGCCCGGCTCCCCTGGGCTGCTCTCCGCCCCTGAGTGTGATATGGGACCTACTGGCTGTCGGCATTCTTTGGAACCCTTGTGTCTTCAGGGGTTGTAAACTCCAATACAAGCAGTTCCACGTGTGATGTAAGCTGAGTGTAAGGCAGAAAGTGCCACGTAGCTTTTATGTCTTCCAACCACAACACCTGCTGGTTCTGTATTTATAGAACACTCCAAGGCCTTCCCAGGCAGCTTGGCAAAGCTGTCCACCCCGCTGTGTTAGGGGGGCTTACAGCGTGAGGGCCCCGGCTCAGCTCCCACCTGCTGGGGGGCTCTGCTGCTTCCCTTCTTACCCCGTGGGCATGGCTCAGAGTGGCTCCCTGTCTACAGCTGAACCCAGTGGCCTCCAACTGCAATGACATCCTGCCCATCCTTCGAAATCACACGGAAACCTTGTATTTGTGTTTTAGCCCTTCTCAGTGTTTACCTGTGTTCTAGAGACCTGTGCACTCTTCTTGTCTGTCCTAGAAAACTACTTGCTAAAAGGCAGGGCCATGTTACATGTGGCACACACACCATGCTCAGTACAGGAAGTGCTTGTACACAGTGGTGCTTACAAAGAGTACACAGTGGGTGCTCACAAAGTGTGCACTGTGGGCATTCACAAAGTGTATGCAGTGGGCGCTCACAAGGTGTGCACAGGAGGTGCTCACAAGGTGCTTGTTGTGTGATGGAACGTTTGGAATTTGTTGGGTGGTTGGATCAGTTTCCTGCAGCTGTCATAATAACTTAGAATGAACTAGGGGGCTTAAAACAACAGAAATCTCTTCCCTCCCAGTTCTGAACGCGAAAGTCTGAGATCCAGGCGCTGGCAGGGCTGTGCTCCAGGGTGGGATCTTTCCTGCCTCTTCCAGTTTCCAGTGGCTCCAGGTGTTCCTTGGCTGTGGCCAGCCCCCTGCCCCCACCTCTGCCTCTGTCTCCACATGGCCTTCTCCTGCGGCTCTATGTGGCCTTCTCCATCTCCAGAAGGACATTCTCGTTGGATTGAGGGCCCCTGACCCAGCATGATCCCATCTGAATTCCTACCTTAAGAATTGCATCTTCAAAAACCCTACTTCCAAGTGAGGTCCCATTCTGAGGTCTCGAGTGAACGTGATTCTCGGGGGACATTCCTCAGTCCACTGCCGTGGTTGACCGTCTTGCAGACCCTTGCGGGGTGTGGCTGGTGTCTTAGAGATTCCTCAACTCCAGGCATCTTTCCGGGGAATGGGTGAAGGGAGAAAAGGACCTTGGCTGTTGCGGGCCTGGGGCTGTGTGGGTCTTTGTAGAAATGGCCTGCCAATTAGAGATTGAGAGAAAATAAACTAAAAACCACACCAACTGGAAGACCATCAAATGTTTTCTGGCTAGTAAGAGTTCAGGAAGCATTTTCCTCAGTTGGGTGGCTGGGGAGGGAACATGGCTGCCCCTTAGGGGTAGCAGATGGGCATCTGTGGGCTGAGAGCCACCCACACACGCTTTCTATTTGGCCTACGTAGAATTAGGGAAAAAATGGTTAAAATTGGTTGCTAGCATTTTAAAAATTGGGATATTTTAATATAAAACCTGTATTTCTTTTTTTTTTTTTTTTTTTTTTTTTAAGACAGAGTCTCACACCATCACCCAGGCTGGAGTGCAGAGGCATGATCTCGGCTCACTGCAACTTCTGCCTCCCAGTTCAAGTGATTCTCCTGCCTCAGCCTCCCGAGTAGCTGGGATTACAGGCACCTGCCACCATGGCTGACTAATTTTTGTATTTTTTAAAATTTTATTATTATTATACTTTAAGTTTTAGGGTACATGTGCACAATGTGCAGGTTTGTTACATATGTATACATGTGTCGTGTTGGTGTGCTGCACCCATTAACTCGTCATTTAGCATTAGGTATATCTCCTAACGCTATCCCTCCCCCCTCCCCCCACCCCACAACAGTCCCCGGTGTGTGATGTTCCCCTTCCTGTGTCCATGTGTTCTCATTGTTCAGTTCCCACCTATGAGTGAGAACATGCGGCGTTTGGTTTTTTGTCCTTGCAATAGTTTGCTGAGAATGATGGTTTCCAGTTTCATCCATGTCCCTACAAAGGACATGAACTCATCATTTTTTATGGCTGCATAGTATTCCATGGTATATACGTGCCACATTTTCTTAATCCAGTCTATTGTTGTTGGACATTTGGGTTGGTTCCAAGTCTTTGCTATTGTGAATAGTGCCGCAATAGACATACGTGTGCATGTGTCTTTATAGCAGCATGATTTATAATCCTTTGGGTATATAACCAGTAATGGGATGGATGGGTCAAATGGTATTTCTAGTTCTAGATCCCTGAGGAATTGCCACACTGACTTCCACAATGGTTGAACTAGTTTACAATCCCACCAACAGTGTAAAAGTGTTCCTATTTCTCCACATCCTCTCCAGCACCTATTTCCTGACTTTTTAATGATCACCATTCTAACTGGTGTGAGATGGTATCTCATTGTGGTTTTGATTTGCATTTCTCTGATGGCCAGTGATGATGAGCATTTTTTCATGTGTTTTTTGGCTGCATAAATGTCTTCTTTTGAGAAGTGTCTGTTCATGTCCTTCACCCACTTTTTGATGGGGTTGTTTGTTTTTTTCTTGTAAATTTGTTTGAGTTCTTTGTAGATTCTGGATATTAGCCCTTTGTCAGATGAGTAGGTTGCAAAAATTTTCTCCCATTCTATAGGTTGCCTGTTCACTCTGATGGTAGTTTCTTTTGCTGTGCAGAAGCTCTTTAGTTTAATTAGATCCCATTTGTCAATTTTGGCTTTTGTTGCCATTGCTTTTGGTGTTTTAGACATGAAGTCCTTGCCCATGCCTATGTCCTGAATGGTATTGCCTAGGTTTTCTTCTAGGATTTTTATGGTTTTAGGAATTTTTGTATTTTTAGTAGAGATGGTGTTTCACCATATTGGCCAGGCTGGTCTTGAACTGCTGACCTCAAGAGATCCACCCACCTCAGCCTCCCAAAGTGCTGGGATTACAGGTGTGAGCCACTGCGTCCAGTCTAAAACTTGTATTTCTAGCATCTTTTGTAAACTGCACACACTGGAATTTTGTGGGGCTGAGTCATGCTTGTCCCTTCCTGACAGGTCATGTGAAGGAGCAGGAGGAGAGGCAGAGACCAGGACATTAGGAGCGGTAGCAGGGACGGACGGCCTTCTGAAGTGAGCAAGTTAAGGACAGTGTTTGAGTCAGATGGAGGCGGGTTCTGTGGCTGTAACGAGACCCAAAGGAAGGGGCTTCACTAAGTCACGGTTGCACCCCCTCTGGCTCTGTGGCCCACGCCTTCTCCCTTGAAAGTCTTTATCTCTGGGGTCTGTTACTCTGCTGCCTCCTGGTTCCCCTCCCACCTTCCCTGTCCTTCTCTGTCTCCTTCATGGCCCCTCCTATGAAGAAGGGCCTCACAGCACAGCTCTCAACTTTCTCCTCTTCTCCAGGCTGTCCCTCTCCACGCCCGTGACCGCAAGTTAGCTGTTGAAGACGGCTCAAATCCCTGCCCCAAATGTCCCCCTAAATATTAAACATGGTTCCAGCTGCTTCCTAGACAACTTTTCTTGATTCTTGCATTTCCTGCAAGTTCAGTGCATCCCAAATGGAGCTCACTGTCTCTTCACCAACACTCGCCCTTCTTTCCACTTTTATTTTTGTTTTTTTAAAGAGATGGGGTCTTGCTTTGTGGCCCAGGCTGGAGTGCAGCAGTGCAATCATAGCTCATTGCTGCCTTGACTTCCTGGACTCAGGCGATCCTCCAGCCTCAGCCTCTGGAGTAGCTGGGACCACAGGTGGGCACCACTGTGCCTGGCTAATTTCCCTTCTGTGTTCTTGATGAAGGTTGATGGCACCACATCCAATTTAGGAAGGACAAGGACAATTGCAGAATATTCCTCCCTGAACTTCTATCTCCAATCAGTTGCCAAGGCCTGCCAATTCTACCACAATTATTATGATTTTTTTAAAGAGGCCAGGTCTCCCTCTGCACCCAGGCTGGAGAACAGTGGTGCAATCATAGCCCACTGCAGCCTTGAACTCCTGGGCTCAAGCAATCCTCTCGCCTCAGCCTCCCGAGTAGCTGGGACCACAGGCGTCCACCACCATACCCGGCTATTTTGTAGAGATATTTTGTAGAGAGGGGTCTTGCTATGTTACTCAGGCTGGTCCTGAGCTCCTGGCCTCAACCAGTTCTCCCGCCTTCACCTCCCAGAGCACTGGGATTACAGGCATGAGCCTCTGCACCTGGCCACATTAATACTTCTTGGGTCTGGAATTCTCTATTATTTCTGTGGTCTTAGTTCAGGATGGCTTTCGTCCGGTATTGTGTCTCCTGAGGTACCTCCAGTCTGGCAGTCTTCATTCATTCCATCCTGTGTGTTCATTATAAATATGAACCTGATCCCATCATCTTGTTTGACACCCTTCGGAGGCACTTATTCATTGTCTGCAAAATAAAATCCCCTGTTTTCAGCCTGGCAGGCGAGGCACTTCCCAATCTGACTCCTGCCCACCTTACAGCCCCCGTTCACCTCTCCCTTTAGCCACGTGAGATGATTTGTAGCTTTCAAAACATGCTCGGCTGCTTCCTGCCTCTGTGCTTTTGCAGAAGCTGTTGCCACTGCCCTGAATGCTGCCTTTTCTCTGACCAGATACAGTGCTTCCCAAACTGAGACTCCAAAGAGAGGTTTAAGCGGCTTCTCAAACATTGCTGAACAACATGGCATTACAGAATAGCACACTTATTTCCTTTTAATTCCCCTTACTCCTTCTGATTAAATCAAGGAGAAAGTCTCAGTTTGGTGTTAGTTGGACTTGATATTTCTAATTCTTGCTAATCACCTTTGTTAAACCTCATTTGTTAAATGATCAATGTTCACAGTGATCGCTTTGTGAACCTCTGGCTCAAAATGCTGAGTCAGCTCAGCTATCTAGCTAGAAATTCATATCCTTCTGCTTTTTAAAACAACCTATATTAATTGTTACTTTACATTTAAGGCTGATGATGTTGGCTTTCATTTTGTGGTGGTGATCTATAAATTTAAACCTTACTCAGGTTTAATGTCAGTAATTTAAAGAAAATTATTAGATCAAACTTGAGGGATGCAGATGACACATTTGAAGGTAGCCTCTGAATGACTGATGTATAGAAAAACCAGATCACCACACACATCCCCCAGACTCCCATCAGCGGCCTCTTCCTTTCAGGAGCTGGGTCTGTCTCTGCCCTCCCCAGGCAGCTGCATTGTGCAGGCGTCTTCTGCACTCCCAGTAAGGTTTTGCGTGTACCCATGTTAAAGCCCTTATCATGTGCCTGTCCTTGTGGACACGTCAGCCTGCTGGCTGGGACGTGAGCATGGAGGGCAGGGTTGTGTCCATGCATCGTTGGTACCTTCTGCAGCTCCTGGAATTTAGTAGGTGATCAGTTGCCCATGTAGCATCTCCCCTTGGTGACCCAATGCACATCTGAAATGCATCTGTCCAAAATCATATACTTGCAATTTCTTACTCCCATAAATGTACTCCTCCTCCAGGGGTCTTCATTTTTGTAAATGGCAACGTATTTCATCTAGTTGCTGCAGTATAAAGCCTTGGGATCAACCATGACTCCTCTTCAAGCCCATATCCAAACCATAGCACATCTGGACGTCTCTAAACTTTCAACATACCTAACCTCTTCTTCCCACCTCCCCTGCTAGCTCCTTAGTCCAGACCAGCCTGCCCTTCACCTAGACAGCCATCCTAGCCTCTGCCTCGTCCCCTGGCCTCTAGTCTTATTGATCAATGGTCGGTTGCCACTCAGAAACAGGGGTTGATCTTTTTGAAACAAACTAGGTCACCTCACTCTGTTGCTTAAAACCTTCCAGTGGTTTTCCTGCCCGCTTGGAATGAGGTTCCTGCCTGGACTCCCCACTCTCACCATGTACCACCCTCCCTCCCAGGTTGGTCTTCAACTCCTGGACTCGAGCGAACCTCCCACTTTGGCCTCCAAGAGTGGTGGGATTGCAGGTGGGAGCCGGCATGCCTGGCCTTCAATAGTTTATTTAAATGTCGAGTGTTTAACAAGGTTGTGTGGAGAGCAGCACCTTTCCATCCTGTCAACGTAGCTCTGAGACAGTGTGTCACTTATTTGGAGATCAAGTTGAAGTCTGAGTGTGGGTTTGGTGAGATGGGAGACTGAGGCCACGTGGTCCTCCTGGCTCGCGTGGGAGCTGATGCAGCTGGAAGCTAACAGAGTGAACAGGAACTCAGGCTCAGAAGAAGAGGGGCCCTGCGGTCTTGTCATGACCAGGGAAGGCTCCAGGCAGGATGTAGCATGTGGGCCTGACCTGGTGGCACTTGGATTATAAAAAAGAAAACCTCAGACAACTAAGTGGAGATGAAATGCTCCCTATTTCTGTAGTGAACAGGTGCTCCAGAGCCTAGTGGAAGGGCAGATATTGTGTTCACGACTGGACATTTGCGTTCATAATGGGAGCGACACTGACGGGAAACTGATCTGTTGTGGGATCTCGCTTATCCTCAGTCTGGCCTGGAATAAACTTTACAGCTCAGGCACTGGGTTCTGTTTGTGTACCCATTTGGTTAGTGTTTGCTGATCACGTACTACGTGCTAGGCCCTGTGTTAAGAACAAGGGCTAAGAACATGGCTGTCCGCGTGTCCAATGTGGCTTCTTCCCTTTCTTTGTGTGCCCTCTCCAGGGCTGTCCTGAGCAGCCAGCCCACCCTATCATCTTTGTAATCACTTTTGTCAGTGTCTGCTACCTCCTGTGTGGCAAGCAATGACAACTGCAAGGAAAGTTGCCGCAGTGGGGACTAAGCCAGTCCAGGGAAGCACCATCCATGCAGAGAAGAAGGATGAGCGGAATTCTCTACGGGAGGGCCGTGGAAAGGAGCTTTCCAGGAAGGGGAGCAGTCCCGAGAAGGCCTTGGGCAGGAGCGTAGAGAGGCCAGCATGCTGGAGCGTGGTGGGAAGGAGAGAAGCACACAGTGAGGTTGGCGATGAGACAGGGTGAGATCACGAGCAGCAGTGAGGACTCTGGACTTTGTCCTGAAGGTCATGGGTAGCCTCTAAGGTCCTTTATGTAGAATGACATGGTTGAATATCCACTTTCAGATGATTTTTCTGCCTCCTAGGTAGGGAGAGAACTAGAGGCCATGACTACTGGTGACTGACTGAATGAAGGGCAAAGTGCTGAGTTGATGTTCAAGTCAAGGTTTATGGCTCGTTCCCCTGGTTGAGGGCAGTGGCCTTGCAGTGACTCCTCCTCCAAGGAGGGTTTTGCTTGAGAGTTCTGGTTTGTGCAGCCTCTTGGCAGGGGTGGGGCCTGCACACAGCTGGCATTCACCACCCCCTTCTGGTCCACATGCTTGGGATAAATGTCCTGGACATCTCATTCAGAATTATGCTCAGTTACGCAGTGCCTCAAACAAGAGAAGGGTTTATATTCTTATGGCATGGAAGTTCGGATGCAGGAATCCCAGAGCTTCCTGGTGTGCAGGCTCCACTGCATCCTTAGGGACCTGGGCTCCCTCTGGCTTGCTGCTCTGCCATCTTGATGACAACAATCCTGTCTTAATACTCTCAAGACAGCTGGTGGAGCTCCAGCCAGCACACCTGCATTCCAGGCAGGAAGCAAGGGAGCGGTAATGGACGAGGGGCAAGAGAAAGTAAGTGACAGCTGAATCATCCGCAATTAAAGGGCCTTCTTGGGAACGACGCCTTTCAGTGACTTCTGCTTACACTCACTGGTTGGAGCTGTCATGTGCCACCCTAGTCTGCACCAGAATCTGGGAAATGTAGCTATTTAGCTATTTCCATGACCACCTCCAGAGACTTGGGTTCTGTTAGAAAGGAGAAGGCCAAAATGCATATGGGGTAGGCCCTGGTGATCTTCAAAGCACCTGCTCTCCTCTCCCAGTGGACATTTACTTTCTGGCCTGAGAGCCTTTCTCACGGTGGGCATAGAAGTGGATTCTGCACACAATTGCTGGGCATCACTGGCTTTGGGGGTCACCAGTTCTTAATGGAAGCAGTCTGAGAAGTAGCCATCCCTTTTGTGCTTGCCCTAACAATCCTCAAGGCGACCCCCCATCACAGGCATCGTTAGGATAGCATGGGATTGTCTGCAAGTGTGTGTATACCCAGACTTTCCCCAATTGCCTAAATTATCTCTAAGAATGGAGTGAGAGATGGCCCTGTGCCTTTTCTTCACATTTCATTCATTCATTCATTCTTTCTTTCAATCAATTGAATCATTACATGACCATGGCATGGAGCACGGAGTCATATCACAGGGACCTCATGGACACGGTGGGGAGACAGACGAGTGTTTCCTAAGAAATGCTCCCATAGGAGTATGGGGGCAGCTGGAGGGCCATGGGAGAAACTTCTGTGTTCAAATCGTGTCTTAGGTACTTGGTCATGGAGCAATCTTCACTCTCAGTTTTCTTGTCTGTAAAATGGAGCTGATGCAAGTTCCTCACTTATAAATGTGTTTGCCATTCTATTCCCTAACTCTCACCTGTTTGTTTCCATCCCATTCCAGCCGTTCAATCCCATCTCTCTACCCTATCCTACCCTACCCTATCCTATCCTACCCTACCCTACCCTACCCTACCCTACCCTACCCTACCCTATCCCATCCCATCCCATCCCATCCCATTCCACCCATCCCATCCCACTTTTCCATTCTATTTGATTCCATTCCACCCATTCCATGTCTCTATTCTATTCTATTCTACCCCATTCCACCTATTCCACTGCACCCCATCCCATTCCATGTTTAGTTTTTAAAGATCATGCTATGCCTTGCTAAATTGATTCCACAATCCAATGCAGCAGGACCTGCAGCTTGGATAACTCTTTTTAAGAATGCACCTTTGGCATTCCTGGGGAAAGAGGGTTTGGGGTGGTCTAGGAGTCAGGAAAGAGGGGAGGAGGCTGCCTCAGTCTTGGCTGGAGGGAGACCGTGAGGGTCTCGGTGAGATTTATTATTGTGAATTGGGGAAGGGTGCCTTTAATGGTTTTTAATTAAAATTTAATAACTAAAAAGGAGAACAAAAGACTCGTCAAATCATTCTTCATTCTTGGTTGCTCAAACCAGGCAATTAAGATGCTTTGTTATAAACAAGCAGTGGGAGGAGAGGGAAGGGGTAGGGGAGAGGATGGAATCAATGAGGCATGAAGAGGCTTCTGCAGCAGACCCGCCCTGACCACAAGGCCCTGGGGGGCCCCCCACGTGCAGGTGAAGGTGCCATCTCAGGGGGACTCTCCTTCTGTCCCACTTCTGTCCCGAGAATGCTGAGGTATCATTCCAGAGGCAGGAGTCAAACCCAGGCCTCTCATCTCCCAGTGTAGTGAGTTCATCCCTTCCCAGCAAGTTCAGCTGCACACCAGCTCTGCAGACGCCCTCTCCAATTCCCTTTCTAGTCCTGTGATTACAACAAATAAGATCTCCTTTTTCATCGTGGCAGCATCCAGGGCAGTTTTCCTTAGACCCCTCGCAGCACCCGCAGACCACATCTTAGACTGTATCCGCTTCTCCTCGTTCTAGAAACCCGTCCCCCTGCCATGTTCCAGACCCGCTCTAACCACCCAGGGCCTCCACAAGGAAAGCACAGTCCACACCCTCAGGAAGCCTCTATTCTCCTGCTAATTTCTACTTGAAGATTATAATTTTGCACATCATCTGAACTGGGGGTGCTGGCACCCCTACCATGTGCTGCACCGTCTGCATGAGCTCCTTCCCTTCTGGGCTGTTTTTCTCCCCCAAGAGCTGGGTGGGGCTCCCTGTGGTACCCGCTTCTTCTTTGTTTTGAGACAGGATCTTGCTCTTTTGTCCAGGCTGGAGTGCAGTGGGGCCATCTGTGCTCACTGCAGCCTTCACCTCCTGGGATCAGGTGATCTTCCCATCTGAGCCTCCCAAGTAGCTGGGATTCCAGTGTGGGCCATCACATCCGGCTAATTTTTGTATTTTTTTTGGAGAGATGGGGCCTCACTGTGTTGCCCAGGCTGGTCTCAAACTTTTGGGCTCAAGTGATCTGCCTACCTCAGCCTCCCAAAGTGCTGTGAGGACAGGTGTGAGCCACCACACGCAGCCTGTGTACCTACTTCTTAAGTGAAAGGGGCATTCCTGGGTAGAAGGGGCTACAGCCACCTGCCTGTTCCTGGCCTCTTTGTGAGCACACATTCCTCGGGTTGGTTCCGCTGGGCCTTCACTGACTCCCAGGAAGCCGTTGCTGTGGTCAGCGTTGCAGGTGTTAGGAGTCACAGGCTTCCTTTAGGTCTGGTGTGGAGTTACTGTAGGAAAACAAGGGCACTGGAGAGGCTTGAGCCCCTGGTCCTGGAGGCGTTTGAGATTTCTCCCTTTACATCTCATCCCGCCCTGTTGAGTCGGGGCTGGCAGCTCCTTTGAGGAACTGACCTCTGAGGAAAGAGAAACCCATTTGCTCCTCTCCCTCCTCCCCCAACAAGAAACACGCTGTTTAACATTCTTTTCTGTGGGCCCTTGTGAATTACAGGGCATCTCACTGGGGAGGGAGAGGAAGACGTCCCTCACCAGGCTTCCCTGTGGGCTGGTGTGAATTACAGGGCATCTCACTGGGGAGCGAGAGGAAGATGTCCCTCACCAGGCTTTCCTGAGGGCTATTGGGTTCTCTCTGCACCTCAGAAGTGATATTTGAGTCCCAGGCTTCAAGCTCCTGATGTGTGAAATCATATTCCACCCCGAGAAAAATCTCAGACCTTTTGTCATTTTCCTCGGTGTTTGGAGCTTCCAGTGGAAGTGCGTGGCCTGCTACAGTTGGTGGACTCACTGCTAGCCCTAAAGATTATGCTAAAATAGTACAGTTATTGCAATCAGGACCATTGGTTGCAAGCAACAGAAAATCCCTCTCCCACTGGAATTAGCCAAAAGGGGATGCATGGGCCAGAGTAAGTGAAAAATCTAGGATACCGCAGACATCAGGTGTGGCTCAATTCAGGGCTCAAATCATGTTGCCAAAGAGTCTGTGTTTCTTCTTCTTTCTGCATTCTGAAATGGGTCCTTGCCTCATGGTGGCAAAACCGCTGTTCAAGCTGTTAGAGCCTCATTCTCTCAGGTTCTCGGGCAGCAGGAAAGAGCACCAGTTTCTGTGGCGGGCAGACCCCTAGCAGTGCCCAGCAAGATTCCCTGCCCCAATCTCTGGAGCCTGTGGATGGGACGATGTCTCTCTCTGTGTCCATGATCCCCACCCCCAGGGCATGGTGGGCCCTGAGAAAGGGAGGCCGCCTGGGAGAACCCAGCCTAATCCCTGGAGCCTGCACAAGCCGAGAGCTTTCTCTGTCAGGTGGCAGAAGGGAGAGGTAGAGGGAGCAGAGGCAGGAGGAGGACTTGACCCGCCCTTGCTGACTTTGAAGACAGAAGTGAGGACCCGAAGGCACTGCCAGTTGCTGAGAGGCCCTGGCAGCACCAGCGGGACACGGGGCCTCAGCTCTGCAATTGCGAGGCGCTTAACTCCCACAGCCTGAGTGCACTGAGAGTAGGTTCTCCCCTTACTCCTGAGCCTGCAGACAAGAGCCTGCCTGGCCAGCATCTTGAATTTGGCCTCACAAGACTGTGAGCAGAGCGCCTGGCTGAGCCTGCCCAGACGCCTGACCCACAGAGCTATGAGCTAACACATGGGGCTGTTTAAGCCGCCATCTGTGATCATTTGGTACGATGCATAGAAAATGAACACAGCCTCTCTACTGGGTCCTCCACTCGCGGGCAGGGTTTACAGTGATTGGCTCCACTGGTTCTGTGTATCTCTGTGTCCATCAGCACTTGGGGTGCAGTCTCGAAGTGTTGATGGGCCCGTCCCCCTCCCCAGCTAAGCCTTGGGATCAGAGGCAGCTCCTCCACCTATTCTAACGTCCAGGGGAGAATCGTACTGCACGGGAGACAGCCTGGGGCCCAGCTGAGCTGCTACTGATCCTGGATCATCCTTTTTCTCGGGCCTGCAGTTTGCTTATGTGTCAGGTCTAATGAAAGAGAAGGGGATGTCGTTACTTATTTAATTAATTAATTAATTTTTGAGATGGAATTTCACTCTTGTTGCCCAAGCTGGAGTGCCATGGAGCGATCTTGGCTCACTGTAACCTCCGCCTCCCGGGTTCAAGCGATTCTCCTGCCTCAGCCTCCCCAGTAGCTGGAATTACAGGCACGCACCACCACACTCAGCTAATTTTTGTATTTTTGGTAGAGACGGGTTTTCGCCACATCGGCCAGGCTGGGCTCGAACTCCTGACCTCAGATGATCCACCCGCCTCAGGATTACAGGCGTGAGCCACTGTGCCCGGCCCAGGACACGGGAGCCCCTCATGTTTGGTGCAGCTGTGTTGGCATGGAGGGGTGTGGGTGGGAGAAAATTGGTCTCGAGGATTTATCTGGTGTATCAATCAGTGTTTCTGTAAGCGCAGGTCATAGCCCATTAGGGAGCCATGAAATCAATTTTGTGGGCTGTAACCGGCGCTTTTCAGAAATGAAAAGGGACAGAGGATATCGGCGCACACTGGGCAGTTCTCTGCTGCCTGCGACCGACCTTCGCTCCAGTTCTGCTGGGCAAGAGTGGGGTGGGCTGCCTCAGGCAACGTGAGGCCCACGTTTCAGCCAGCGTTTTGCAGAGTTTAGACTTGGTTCGAAACGTTTCAGCTGAGCAGTTGGAATTGGGGGCCGGAGGAGACAGTGGTGGTGGAGGTGGTTCTGTGTCTCTGTATGAGCCCCAAGGGGGCCATGTGGCCTCTGTTTTGGGGTCTTTAGAATGTGGGGTTTTAGTGTCCCCCTGCCTGTACCTGTCACCTGCCCTTGGGCACCAAGAAAGGCCAGCACACCCTCCTGCTGCAGGGCTGGGAGAATGCCCGCCGGCTGTGCTCAGAGTCCTAAGGGTCACCCGGGGTAACTGACAGGGGGTAACGGATGGAGGGGTGAAGACGACTCATGCTTGGGGGAGCTCTTGGTCACATGGCCGCCCCCACGGAGGGACAGTGGTGTGTATGTTCACTCAATGTCAATTACTTCTCTTTCTCTTTCATTAGATCTGATACCTAAGCAAACGTATGTGTTATCCAATGGCCCCAGAGTGTTCCAGAGTGTTCTAGAGTGTTCCTGTGGCTCCCTGAGACCGGGAGCAAGCTTGGGAGGCTAGTGAGGCTAGAAAGGCTGGAGGTGAGGAGTTCAGAAACAGCAGGAGGGTCTGCCGGGTGCCCATGGTGCAGAGCTGGGCACGTGTTGCCCATGCCACCAAGGCCGCTGAGAAGCCACCACGCAACTGTTCACAAAGCCAAGCAGCATGAACAGTGCAGGCTGGGCCGGGAGCTGTGGGGCCATGCTTGGAATGGCATCAGAGCCTGGTCACCGAGTGTGTCATTTTGTAAGCTCTCTGGTGACTTCTGTGATGTGCCCCTCTTTCCCACAGTACGAATTTTAACAATAGTTGATCTGAGCTGTTGGCCGAGATTGTCAGGTCTTTGGGCTCATTTCACTGTCTCTCGTGGTAATAATTTCTAAAATCGCAGATTGCTTTGAGCACTATTTTAATTCATCTGTGGATACATGTTGGGAAGTAATTGCCAGCATTTATCATGCTGCTGCAAGCTCATTTCCTGAGGCACGTGCCCAAAGCACACTCTATGTTCAATGAACATTTGCAAATCAATGAATTAAAAATAAGCCATTATTATACTTTCTTAGTAAAAGCCCATATATTCTTCCATATGTGAATATGGGTAGAAAGATGTCTGAAAGTCTATATGCTTCAGATGATGGGAGTTTCTTAATTTTTAAGCATTTTCTTCCTTACCTTTCTGTATTGCCTAAATGATTTTCCATTCTGAAAGTACAACTTGTATTTATTCATCTACTTTGTTCAATGCCCAGTCACCTAGAAGCTTTACCCAAAGAAACAAACATCTAGGAAAATACACATCACAGAACCACGCAGAACAAAGGCACAAAGACCACCTTTCACACATCTTCTTTGTTTAGTTTTCCTTTAGTTTATAAAAATAATTATACAGTGAAACGTGCAGAAACCACCACCCAGATGTGCTGGGGGGCGTGGGCGACTGGTTAACCTCCTATACCACATCTTACAGGTGGATTAAAACGCGAGGCATCTCTGAAATAGTTATGCAATACAATAGGGCCACTGATCTCTTAAACATGATTTACTTATACATCTTTCGGGGACAAATATTCTGCTTATAGACAGCGATACTCACATCTGAAAGAGGCGCTTGGATGTGACCAGTGATACTTGCCACTCTCGATCCTGCCCTTTGAACATGGCTTTGGCGGATGGGTCTCTGATTCATAAAGTATCAGGAACTAGACGAGGTTTTAGCAGCAGGATCTGGGCGCTGACCTGAAAAAAGCTATAATGACATTTTCACTTTAACAAGGTGAGATAATGAAAGGATTAGCTGAAAAGAAAATGTAGTCTCTCCACGGTGATTTTATTTGGAAGCGGGTCTCTAATCGCTGCGCTTTGCAGCCTGTGCAAATGCTTCCCAGCGAGCGCGAGGTATACGCCGGCAAATGAGTTGGTGCAAACAGCCGCCTGTGCCTTGCGCTGTTCTCTCCCCGCTGCCTTCTGGGCTCGTAGCGGCCTCTTCCTCCCAGCAGAGCGTCCCCTTCCCGCCTCGACACCTTTTCCAGTCCACACCCCTTCCTCCTCCGGCCCTGCAGCCATCTGGTGCCCCAGGCCCCCGACGGCGCTGGCAGGTGCCCCTCACGCCTGTCGAGGGAGTTGGAAGACACGGCCTCGCTCCTGCTGGTGCGGAGGCCCGAGTGCTAAACGCCCTGGCCATGTGCGCGTGGCCCGGGGCCAGCACGGCTGTGCCAGCGTTTGCTTCACCATCAAGTCCTGATCTTGGCAGACTTGGCTCCTCTCCTGGCACAGCGATGGGCTGTCATCTCAGCAGTGATTTAAATTTATCAGCCTCTACTTTCAGCCACTGGGGCCAGCAGCACAACGTGACTCCGGTGTGCCTGGCCCGTGTAAGAATGCCTCGTGTGGGACAAAGGGGACGAGGTGCCCGGGTTTCTGTCTGGGCCGCGCTTCTCAGTGCTGCTGCGCTTTCCTGGGGAGGGTTTGAGCAATCTGACAGCCTGGGGGCGCGGGGTCTGTGCTGCCGCACCTTGCAGAGGGGAGTGAAGCGTGGTAGAGGCGTTTCTTAACCCATTGTCCTCCTGAGTGACCATAGCTCCATGATGAGGCCACAGAAGAAATCCTGGACTCCAGAAGGAGGGGTTTTATTGTAACTGATCCCTATGGCGGCAGGAAGGGGCAACGGGAATGTGGGGAGGGCTCTGGCCGTGACTGCCAGTCTCCAGGGCCAGGCAGCCTGGGTTTTCCCTTTAAAGGGAGGAGAAAACCAGCTAGGAAGAGCAGGTGCCGGGCGGTGTGCGGTGTGAGGCGCTGGGGCCACGGTGGCAAGGACCGGACAGCAGATGGGAGAAAGTCCTGCCTTGGGGTGCATCTGCTCCCCGGGGGGATGCTGGGGGCCTTCTGGGGCTCATGCTTTGGGGGCGGGCCTGGGCGGACCTAGGGGAAGGAGAGGAGCTTAAAGAAAGATTGGCTGATGCGCATTTTGTTCTGGTCCACCAGCGGACACGCAGTTCAGCTCATCTCTGAGAAGGCAAAGGCTGAGATTTTGGAGGGGCTGTGTCTGGCCTTGTCATAGGTAAACAGAGCAGGGCATCTGTGAATCTCATCCCAGGCCTGAGGGGAAGGGGGCTGTTTGGAGTGATCTGCTTTTAGAACATAAAGAGTCGCGGGATCTCTTTAACCTGAGCCGTTCAAGGGCTCAGAAGCACGAGGCCCAGTGACTCCAGCATTGCCATGAGCCACGGCGGCCACACGGCTCCCTTCCTGCCTGGGCTTTTTGGAAATGAGGCTTTTCAGTGGCTGCCGGGCCACTCAGTCTTCCAGGGGCAGAGATTTTGAACCAAATGCTCACAGGGTCAGGCGGATGACATCATAGGGCAACGGCGCCTGCCCAGTCGTCTTCTTCACTTCTCCAAAGGGACATACTGTCTCCGATTGTTCTGGAATCATGCAGCCTTCCTGGTTCCATTTTTAACATCTGTTTTTCAATTTTATTATTTATTTAATAGCTTTTATTGTGTATATTTAAGATATACAACATGATGTTATGAGATCCGTATATAAAGGGGTTACTGTAGTAAAACAAAGGAACATCTCCACCATCTGGAGACGGAGAGGTAAAAATGCTCTTTCTTCTTAATCCTATCATTACTGTAATTCCATATTATTATTAATGAAGCAGAGTGGGGCTAGAGAGAGAAGGCAGCAGACATTGTCCCCGGTGTGGGGGAGATAAGAGAGGGTGGCTGCCATTTAGGAAGGTTGCAGGAGCTCCTTATTTTTCAAGAGAATCCAAAAAGTTTGGTTTCTGGATTTATCTTGTAAGTTTTAAATGTGGGTGATGAACTCATGTTGACAAAAATGTTACTAGAAAGTGGTCCTAATCCAGACCCCCAGAGAGGGTTCTTGGATCTCCTGCAAGAAAGAATTCAGGGTGAGTCTGCAGTGCAGAGTGAAAGCAAGTTTATGAAGAAGTGAAGGGGTGAAAGAAGAGCTACTCCATAGACGGAGCAGGGCAGTCCCGAAAGTAAGAGAAGGAAGGTGTCCACCCTAAGGGTAATACTCGTATATATATGGGATAAAAAAAGATCATGGGGAGATGTGCTCTGCTGTAAGGGTTTGTGATAAAGGATTAATTTTCTTAATTACTACATTTTGCAAGAATCGATATTATTATCTTTAAAGCAAAATTAGGAATGTTTCTGTTCTCAAGATATCGGGATATCAGGACACTCCTAAGTCTGGGTCTTTTTAGTAAATGTTATCAAACTGTTATCTTAACCGTAAACATCTACAGCCTGGAAACACCTCACCTCCTAAAAATGCAGCTCAGCAAGCCCCAGCCTCATTTTTCCTAGCTCTCACTCAAGATGGAGTCGCTATGGTTTGAACGCCTTTGACAAAAAGAGTGAAACTCTAAAATATTTGAAGAGATTTATTCTGAGCCAAATATGAGTGACCCTGGCCTGTGACACGGCCCTCAGGAGGTCCTGAGAACATGTGCCCAAGGTGGTTGGGGCGCAGCTTGGTTTTATACATTTTTGGGAGACATGGAACATCAGTCCAATGCATTTAAGATGTACGTTGATTTGGTGCAACTCAAAGTGTGGGTGGGGGTAGGGATGGGGACTTCCAGGTGATAGGTAGATTTAAAAATTTTCTGATTGGCAGTTGGTTGAATGAGTTCATCTGAAGACCTGGAATCAATAGAAAGGGGTGTCTGGGTTCAGATAAGGGGTTGTGGAGGCCGAGGTTCTTATGATGCAGATGCAGCCTCCAGACAGCAGGCTTCAGAGAGAACAGATGTAAATGTTTCTTATCAGACTTATAAAGGTGCCAGACTCTTAGTTGATTCTCTCCTGGATCTGGAAAAAGTCCTGGAGAGGGAAAGGGGATTCTCTACAGAAAGAATTCAGCGTGAGTCTGTAAGGTGAAAGCAAATTTATTAGGAAAGTAAAGGAATAAAGAATGGCTATTCCATAGGCAGGACAACCCCGAGGGCTGCTGGTTGCCTATTTTTATGGTTATTTCTTAATTATATGCTAAACAAGGGGTGGATTATTCTTACCTCCCCTTTCTAGACCATATAGGGTAACTTCCTGACATTGCCATGGCGTTTGTAAATTGTCGTAGTGCTGGTGGGAGTGTAGCAATGAGGATGACCAGAGATCACTCTTGTGGTCATCTTGGTTTTGGTGGGATTTGGCCGGCTTGTTTACTGCAACTGTTTTATCCGCAAGGTCTTTATGACCTGTGTCTTTTGTCGACCTCCTATCTCATCCAGTGACTTAGAATGCCTTCACCATCTGGGAATGCAGCCCAGTAGGTCTCAGCCTCATCTTACCCAGCCCCTATTCAAGATGGAGTTGCTCTGGTTCACATGCCTCTGACAATACCACCAGAGAATTTATTTCCTAGTTCATTCATTGCCAGTGATCAGAGCTGGGGGCCTTTACAACCTGAATGCATCCTCTCGCAGCTCTGGAGGCTGGAAGCCTGAGGTCAGGGTGTCCGCAGAGCTGCCTTCCCCCTGGAGGCTCTGTGGGGAGCCTGGCTCCCTGCGTTCCCCGGCTGTCCTTGGCATCCTTGGGCTTGTGGCCACATCACTCCGACCTCTGGTTCCACTGCCATCCGTGTGAGCTTTCCCGTGTCTGTGTGTGTCCTTTTCTACCTCTTATGTGGACACTCTCATCAGATGGAGGGTCCACCCCAACCCCCCTGGATCTCATCTCTACCCTTACCTTAATTATACCTGCACAGACCCTGTTTCCAAATGGGGTCATGTGGGTTTTTTGGGGAAGGCACTATTCAACTACTACGACCTCACCTTAAAGATAAAAGAATGAGACATAGTGCGCCTCCGACATAATTAGACAACAAAATAAGCCCATCAGCTTCTAGAAACATGACTTACTTATAAAAATCTTTTTGGGACAAATGTTTTGCTCATAGCTCGGGGTACTCGTATCTGAAAGAAATACTTGGATGTGAACAATCTTATTAGAAATTTCAGACTCCTGTGGAAGGCTCCTTCCCTTGTGAGCACGGCTTTGGCCAATGAGTCTCGTCTTCATCAATTATCACCAGGAGCAGAAGTCTGGGAAGCAGAGATTGGGCGCTGCCTCCTAATGCCTGAGTGACTGGACCCGTCCCTCACAGCTCAGTGTCACAAAGTGACACAAGGAAATCGATCGTCTGCCCACCACTGCACGCACTCCGTGTCTGATATGTTTTGAATTTTTTGGAAGATCAAGTTTTACAGCATACAGCTATTTTTTAAAATTTAGCTTTTTAGCATTCAGCAGTGACAACTTTTATTAAACACCCCTGGTGCGCCGTGCATGATTTGAATTTCAGTTGCTCACATCCATAAGCGGCGCTGGTGTTAGTCAGGTTAATGTCAGCTGCAGCAAAAATCCAGGAACTCTGGGGGCTCAGCACAGCCCGTTCATTTCCCCCTTGCAGGGAGGTGCAATGGTCAGTGAGTGGCTTCCTCCACGTGGTCACTCAGGAACCCAGGTTTCTTCCATCTTGGGGCTGGCGGTGCTCCAGGGCCCCAGAGGCCCCAGCATCCAGCCGGCAGTAGGGGAAGGGAGAGCAGACGAGGCTCTCTGGCTGGGAAAGGAGATGCATCCCTTGGCAGTGGGGGAAGGGAGGGCGGACGAGGCTGTCTGTCTAGGAAAGGAGATGCATCCCTTGGCTTGGGTCACATCCCCTCACCGGGATACGGGACAAGGGCTGGGAGGGTGTCCCTGGGTGAGCCACCACCCAGCAGCAATGCCACACTATGGAAGTTGGGCCCCACATTTACGAGGGATAGTGAGATCTGTCTTTGCCACATGTATGCATAAGAAATACTTGCATGGCTGGGCACGGTGGCTCACTCCTGTAATCCCAGCATTTTGGGAGGCTGAGGCGGGTGGATCACTTGAGGTCAGGAGTTCGAGACTAGTCTGGCCAGCATGGTGATACCCTGTACCTACATTTTTAGTACAAAAATTAGCCGGGCATGGTGGTGAGCCCCTGTAATCCCAGCTGCTTGGGAGGCTGCGGCAGGAGAATCACTTGAACCCAGAAGGTGGAGGTTGTAGTGAGCTGAGATTATGCCGCTGCATTCCAGCCTGGGCTACAGAGAGAGACTCATCTCAAAAAAAGAAAAAGAAAGAGAAATACTCGCGTGAGGTTGTCATGTGAGGGATGGATAAAGAGTTATCGCATCTTAATTACCAAGGCTGGCAATTAATTTACACGACCTTAGTTCATCTTAAAGTGTTGCTTAAACTTGGCTTATTAACATGAAATATGAGATTGATTTTTTTAAAAAAAATCAACAAAAAGTAGAATAGAGGTTACTAGGGAATAGGGGAGGGAGGAAGGGGGAGTTATTGCTTAATGAGCATAGAGATTCTGTTTAGAGTGATAAAAAATTCTGGAACTAAAAACAGGTGATGGATACAAGGATTGTGAGTATACTTAAAGTTACTAAAGTGTTCACTTAAAATGGTTTACATCTTATGTTATATTTTATTACAAAAAATTTGTAAAAAGTACATGCATTTATTTTTATTTTTTATTTTTTTTTAGAGATAGGGTCTCACTGTATTGCCTGGGCTGTTCTTGAACTCCTGACCTCAAGTGATCCTCCCACCTTGACCTCCCAAAGTACTAGGGTTACAGGCTTGAGCCACTGCTAATCATAGTCCTTGTGAATAAAAGTTGATAAGTATGGGAAGCTACTTTTACAGAACTTGCAATTATTGTTCCTCTTTTGAAATATTCAGCTTTGGGGCTTGAGATTTCTCTCTCACCTCTGGTGTCCTGATACCAATTATTAATTATCAGGAAAGCCTGCACAGAGAATGCCCTGTAGATGCTACAGAGATGAGTATTCCTCTGCATAAGCTGAGATTTCTCCAGGGTTCAGCTATGGAGACAGATTTAAAAACATACTTCAAAAGTTAATCTATCACACAACAAAATCCCTACAGCACGAAATGAAGTGTGGCGGGAACTGTCCTCCTCCCACCCCGATCTCCTCTGAGCCCAGGGCCTCTCAGCCTCAGTCGCGCTGCCACGGGGCCGGGCTGCCCTTGTCATGGGGCTGTTCCATGCACTGTAGGACGTTCAGCAATGTCCCTGGCCCCTACCCACCAGATGGTGGGAACAGCCCTGGCCACTCCCCAGTTGCAATAACCGAAATGCCCCCAGACATTGCCAAATGCTTCCTGTGTGTATGAGTGGGTGGGGGCAAAATTGCCTCTCCCCGAGAGCCGCGGTCCTAGAAGCAGGCAGTGATGTCGGTGTCTTGTGTTATTTGAGCGAGAGCCTTTGCATGTCCAAGCTTGCGTGTGTATGTGTGTATCTGAGTGTGTGTTCCCACATGGCCAAAACCCACAAGTGCTCCTTGACTGTGCCCACTGCCCTGCTTTTCTCACTGAACAACATGACACCATCTGTGTGCTCACAGCTCTGGCCCCCTCCATTCAAAGGCACCCATGGCACCGTGTACTATGGACTGGCACACAGGAGCTTTCTCAACCTTACTCTTACAAGCCAAGTCATCCTCAACGCCATTTCATGCTCATGTTAGAATCCCTGTAGGAAAAGTTCCTGGAAGATAATCTGTAGGGTCGCAGGGTATGTGCATTTTTAGTTTTGGGAGATTTTTACTGAGAACTTTCCAAAGAAGTTGGACTAGTTTTCTCTCCCACCAATAATGCATGAGAGCTCCTGTTTCCATACAAAGCATATTGCCTGCATGGTCTCACTTGCTGGTCCTTCCCACGGTGGGTGAACACACTGCCTGCGTGATCACACTCAGGGATCCTTCCCACGGTGGGTGAACACACTGCCTGCATGATCACACTCAGGGATCCTTCCCACGGCGGGCGAACACACTCCCTGCGTGATCACACTCACGGGTCCTTCCCGCGGTGGGTGAACACACTGCCTGCATGATCACACTCACGGATCCTTCCCGTGGCGGGCGAACACACTCTCTGCGTGGTCACAGTCACAGGTCCTTCCCGCGGTGGGTGAACACAGGGACATTCATCTTTATATTTTTTATTTCTTTGTTTGAGAGAAGTTTGGCTTGTCTTTCTCATATTTAAAAGCCACTTATGTTACTTTTTCAGAAAACATGGATTTGAGGGGAGGGTGAAGTATTTTTGTACAGAGTGTTTGTTTTTTAAGCCCAGTATCCATAGAGAAAAGGGTACACATCACAGCCGTCTCAGCTGCTAGATTCTCACCAGGCGAATGCGCCCGCACCTGCACCCGCACCATCAGAGACAGGACACCTCAGGACCTTGGGAGCTCTCATGCCCCGTCCATCACCTCCCCAGTGAGAGAAGTCACCGCCTTGACCTCTGACACCAAGGATTAACTTTCTTGTGCAAACGTGGATGTTTAAAAAGGCGATTGTGAGACTAATGGTTTCTCCAAGAGAAAAGAGGTTGTTTCCTAGTAATTAATGAGTAGTGGGTTATGTCCTGCCCCGTGGACAAATGGTTCTCTAGACACAAATGCATGGGGCCAGTGACTTTTGGTTATGCCAGGCTCTGTACTGGATAAAGGGGAATTAGTCAAATCCAGCGAACTGGAATCCCAGCTTTCCTGATGATAAATGCAGGGTTTCCTAATTGTATAGGAGAGGCAGGTGTTCATTCGTTTGCATTACCTAAAAAAGTCCGCACGCACAATTTATCATTCTTCTAGATTCTATAACCCTTCTTTTTTTTGGTTGTTGTTGGGAAATGATCAGGTTAGTCTTTTTTTATTTATATTGAAGTAAAATTCATATAACATAAAATTAAGTATTTTAAAGTATCCAGTTCAGTAGCCTTTAGTGCACTCGCAGTGTTGTGCAAACATCACCAGCGTCTAGTTCCAAGATATTTTCATCACTTCCAAAGCAAACCCTGTCCCCTCTGGCCGTCACGCCTCATCCCCACTCCAAGCCCCCGCTGACTATGGGTCTACGTTCTGCCTCTGTGGATTTTCCTGCACATTCTGGACATTTTATAGAAATGCAATCCTAGGCCAGGGATGGTGACTTACGCCTGTAATCCCAGCACCTTGGGAGGCTGAGGAGGGCTGGATCACCTGAGGTCAGGAGTTCGAGACCAGCCTGGCCAAGATGGTGAAACCCCGTCTCTACTAAAAATACAAAAATTAGCTGGGCATGGTGGCGCGTGCCTGTAGTCCCAACTATTCTGGAGGCTGAGGCAGGAGAGTCGCTTGAACCTGGGAGGTGGAGGCTGCAGTGAGCCGAGATCGTGCCACTGCGCTCCAGCCTGGGCAACAGAGTGAGACTCTGTCTCAAAAAGAAAAAAAAAAGTGCAATCCTGCAGCATGTGGCCTTCGTGCCTGGCTCCTTTGACTGGGTGTCGTGTTTCCAAGGTGCACCCACGCTGTACCCTGAGCGGGCACTTCGCCCCTTTGGTGGCTGCGGAATATTCCGTGGCGCAGCAGCACTACGATCCGCTCGTCCACCTATCCGCTGACGGATGCTTCAGTTCTGTCAGCCTCGGGCTCCTGGGGACGATGTTGCCGCTGAACACGTGTGCCAGGGCTTGTTCTCCTGTCGTGTTTCCTGTTGGCGTTTTCGCTGCTCCCCCAGCCTTCTTAGAGAGTGTGGGTGGCACCAGGCCCTCTGCTCTCAGGAGGCCTGTGTCTGGCTCTAATCCAGGCAGAGGGAAGAGTCGTCTAGGGTCATAGAGGCTGCACCCAGGTTTGTTTGTGGGAGGGACTTCGATAAGGAAAGAACTGGGCTCTTCCCCATCCAGTCACCCTCAGGCAATCCAGAACAGTCCTTTGTTCTGCCAAGAAGAAGGGTAGAGAAAGAAGGAAGGTGCCTGTTTAGGTGCTGAGCACGGTGGGTGCAGAGAGGAGGGGAGAGGGAGCCAGGTGGAGGAGGGGTGCCTTCTGCGGGGCCTTCAGGCCAAGGCAAGGATTCATCTGGGTGCGATGGAGAAATGGTAACGAGGTGTAATGTGATCTGGTTTATGCTTTAAAATGAACATTGCTCTGAATGCTGGATAAAGAATGATTTTGGGGGGACAGTGGTGGAAATTGCCACAGTGGTCCGGTTTGGCTCAGGGAAACACACAGGCCTAGTGGGGCCCTGATGGACAGTTGACAAAGGCTTGACCCCACCCCAGACTGGTTTTGTATTAACACGTAGTTAACACCTGTGCTAAAGGTAATCTTTTTTTTGTTTGTTTTTTTTGAGACAGTGTTCCGCTCTGTCTCCCAGGGTGGAGTTCAGTGTTGCGATCTTGGCTCACTGCAGCCTCTGCCTCCCAGGTTCAAGTGATTCTCCTGCCTCAGTCTCCTGAGTAGCTGGGACTACAAGTGCCCGCCACCACCCTGAGCTAATTTTTGTATTTTTAGTAGAGATGGGGTTTCGCCATGTTGGCCAGGCTGGTCTCGAACTCCTGACCTCAGGTGATCTGCCTGCCTTGGCCTTCTAAAGTGCTGGGATTACAGCTGTGAGCCACTGCACCCGGCCCTAAAGATAACCTTAATGGAAGACGCTCACTCATCATCCCAGCATGCTCACGTGACTTGTCACTTGTGTGTACTCCCAGTGCCTCTCCGTGTACCTTTGTGGTTGACATAATCATCATATGCTTGGCCCATTTGTAGGGGGCTGCCATGCTCCTCGTAGAAGGCTGAGCAGTGTCCCTGGCCTCTACCCACCAGATGCCAACAGCACCCCCACCCTAGTCGTAACAACCAAAAATGTCTCCAGGCATCACCTGCTGTCCCCTGGGCACCACAATCACCTCCTGATTGAAAACCCCTAATCTAGACTATGTTCTGAAACTCACATTTGTGGAGGTAGGGTTTACACAGGTGCCTTTCTAGGTGCACACTGCTGTGAGTGCTGACAAATGCATGCAGCTGTGTAACCCACATGACTAAGCCACAGGCTTTTTCCCGTCACCCCTAAGGGTTCCCTCCTGTCCCCTGGCAGGCTTTCCCTCCCCTCACCCTGACCCCAGCAGCCCCTCACTTGTCCCTGCTGGAGTTCTGCCTCTCCCTGCAGGCCACATGCGTGGGATCGGCAGGAAGCCTGTGGGTCTGGAACCGTCTCTTCTCATGGTACATTTGAGACTCATCCATGATTTGGGCTGTGTGGTGGTTTGCTCCTTTTTGTGGCTGAGTAATATTCCACTGTATGGATGTGCCACTGTGTGTGTGTTT
The DNA here is from genome assembly GCF_000001405.40 of Homo sapiens. Lineage (NCBI taxonomy): Eukaryota > Metazoa > Chordata > Mammalia > Primates > Hominidae > Homo > Homo sapiens. The sequence goes on along the minus strand of NC_000012.12, from coordinate 130,676,647 downwards.
TCTTTTCTTTTTTCTTTTTTTTTTTGAGACAGACTCTCGCTCTGTCACCCAGGCTGGAGTTCAGTGGCTCGATCTTGGCTCACTGCAACCTCCACCTCCCGGGTTCAAGCGATTCTCCTGCCTCAGCCTCCTGAGTAGCTGGGACTACAGGCACATACCACCACACCCAGCTAATTTTTGTATTTTTAGTAGAGATGGGGTTTCACCATGTTGGCCAGGATGGTCTCCATCTCTGGACCTTGTGATCTGCCCGCCTTGGCCTCCGAAAGTGCTGGTGTTACAGGCGTGAGCAACCGTGCCTGGCCCCCGTTTTTTTTTTTTTTTTTTTAATCCATCCTCCACTGAGGGACATTTGGATTTTTTTTCCAATTTTGGGCAGTTAAGAATAAAGCCCCTAAAAAAATTCACCTACAGGTTTTTGTGTGAACACATGTGTGTCCCAGTTCATCAAGGCTGCTGTGGCAAAACCCCATCAACGGGGTGGCTGATAAATAGCAGGCATTGGTTGCTCACAGCGCTGGTGGCTGGGAAGCCCAGAATCAAGACATCAGCAGGTCCGGTGCCTGATGAGGGCCACCTCCTGCTTCACAGATGGAGTCTTCAAGGCTGTGTCCTCACGCGGTGGCAGTCGGGAGCTCTGGTCTCTTCAGCCCCTTATGGCGCGCTAATGCCATCGTGAGAGCCCCACACTCTAGCTCTCGTGGCGTCCTACAGCTCCCCACCTGCTGATGCCACCACCTTAGGGGCTTAGAATTGCAGCATGCGAGGTCTAGCCGGGGGTCCCACATTCAGACCATGGCAGTGCGTTTCCATGTGTTTTGGGTAAATACCCGAGTGGGATTTCTGGGTCATAAGCACAGCAGTTTCATAAGAAACCACCCAGCTGTTTAATACACTGGCTGTACCATGAACCTCCAGACTTTATATCGGAGTGCTGTAATTGTGTCAAAGTCACGTGGATTCTTTCTTTGTATAAAGCTGAAACCGATCTGATTGGTGTGGCTCTCAGAGAGCAGTTTCGGGGGAAACCTAGGATTCTCTTTAGACACCCAGAGCTTAGGGTGGACGGCCTGGAGGCATGGGGGTGGACGGCCTGGAGGCATGGGGGTGGACGGAAGGGAGTGGGGACAGGAAGGAGGCCTGGGCATTGCAGGAGCAGGGGCTCTGTTGGAGAAGGGGAGGCAGGAACCCAGCAGGGACAGATTTTGCCTCTGTGCAGAGCAGGCTGGCGGGTGGTGGATCAGGCAGAGCTGGGGCGGTGGAGCCTGTGGGCACAGACACAAATGAGGACAAGTGCTGGGTGGGGAGGCCTGCTCCACGGGGCGCTGTGTGGAGCAGGACGAGGAGAGAGGGAGGACTGACTGGTGGTTGGCCTTAGGTAGAAGCGTGAGACACCCATCGTTCCCGAAGGCCTGCGGACAAACCCGCCTGTCTCAGCAGAGGCCGCGGCTCCGTCAACCAGGGCTTGCGTCCCTTCCTTCAACCACTATCTGGCGGCCAACAGGTCCTTCGGGACAACTGGGGTCCTAGTCCCGGCTGTGCCCTTTTGTAGTTTGTGTCTTTGGATCAAGGATGCTCTCTTTGACACGAATGGGTGGGAACATCTGTAAAAAGCTCACTGCACGCCCCTCTACAGATGAGCAGATAAACGAAACGTGAATGTGTTCCATCCACACGATGGAATCTGATTCAGCCGCGAAAAGGAATGAAGCCTGACACACGCCACCACACGGATGAACCTTGCGGACACGCTGTGTGGAAGAGGCCGGACCCGGAAGGCCACGTGTTACAGGATCCCACGTATACGACCCGTCCCGAGCAGGCGAACCCACACAGACGGAAAGCATGCTGATGGAGGGTGCAGGGGCGGGGGTGGGGAATGGGGAGCGGCCGGTCATGGATATGGGGTTTCGGCTTGGGGTGATAAGAAGGTTTTGGAACTAGGCAATGGTGATGGTCACATAACATTGTGAAGCCACTCCATGCCACTGTATTGTATAAAAATGGTCAATTTCAGGCTGTGTGCATTTCACCCTAATTTTAAAATAACCCACGTGAGGGGTAAAGGATCACGTTAGGGATGGTACAGGGGTGTTGGTGTATGCCGCTATGTCCCTGGCTTGCCCAGCTATGCAGAACTGCCCAGGTGCCCAGGTGCACACAGGTGTCACCACACTGCCATCCTGCTCTGTCCCCCAGGAAGCAGCCCTGCTCTGCACAACTACGTCCTCATCCCCTCTGGTTCTGTGTGAGTCCATTCTCACACTGCGGTAAAGAACTACCTGAGACTGGGTAATTCCTAAAGAAAAGAGGCGTAATTGGCTCATGGTTCCACCAGCCGTACAGGACGCATGGCTGGGGAGGCCTTAAGAAACTTTTTATCGTGGCGGAAGGCGAAGGGGACGCAGGCATGTCTTACATGGCTGGAGCAGGAGAGAGAGAAGCGAAGGAGAAGGCGCCAAACACTTAGAGAAAAAGTGAAGGAGGAAAGGAGGAGGCGCCACACACATTTTTTTTATTTTTTAAATTTTAGACAGAGTCTCACTCTGTCGCCCAGGCTGGAGTGCAGTGGCACGATCTTGGCTCACTGCAGCCTCCAACTCCCAGGTTCAAGCGATTCTCCTGCCTCAGCCTCCTGAGTAGCTGGGATTACAGGTGCGTGCTACGCCACCTGGCTAATTTTTTTTTTTTTTGTATTTTTAAAAGAGATGGGGTTTCACCGTGTTGGCCAGGCTGGTCTCAAACTCCTGACCTCAGGTGATCCACCTGCCTCGGCCTTCCAAAGGGCTGGGATTATAGGCGTAAGCCACCGTGCCTGGCCCAGTGCTACACACTTTTAAACAACCAGCTCTCACAGTAACTCACTATCATAAGAAGAGCACCAAAAGGGAAATCCACCCCCATGATCCAGGCACCTCCCACCAGGCCCCACTTCCAACACTGGGGAATACAATTTGACCTCAGATTTGGGCAGGAACACAGACCCAAACCCTCTGAGGTTCCATGAATGCAGTTCCAGTTCTACTGCAATGGCCTTTCATCCAGGCTCGAAGCAGGATTTCTGGCAGGCCTTGACCCACAAGTGGCACGCCCACCTGGCCTTCTTCCCAAAGCTCCGTGGGCCTCTGGGCTGTGGCGCTTCCCCAGCCTCTGGAGGTCAGTAGCTGGTGGGCCATGGGGATTGATTCTGGCATAGCTGAGGCATCACAAGGTTCTTCAGTGCCTCAGCCTCCTTCGCTACAGCTCCAGGTTTGGTTTTGGGGGTACCGACCATTTGTTTAGGGTTTTGCCAAATAGGCTTTTAGCCTCTTTGTGCCGGCAACAGGTTGATGGGGTGGCAGCCCCTGGGAAATCTGACGGCCAGTCCCAGATCCAGGATGAGGTTGGCAGACGAGCCAGCCCGCGAGTTGAGTTGTCCGGCGAGGCACCCACCTCCTCTGCCTGAGCAGCTCCTGCTGTTTACCAGGAACCTAAACGGGGAGCGATGTGTGGATGTTCTAACAACTTAGCCCAAGTCCTGGTCCTTCAGGAAGGGCGGGAGCAGGCACTGGTGATTCTTCCATCCTCGAGTGGGAGTTCTTCCTTTGAGAAATCTCTGCCCTTTTTCTGAGACAGACTGTTCTTTCTCTGGGTCTTCCTTTGTTTCCTGGGAGCAGCACGAATCCCTGAGAGGGAAACGACTTGAGGTGGCTTCCTGAGGAATGAAGGAATTTGGGCAGAGGAAAGTGTGAAGGTGACGAAGTGTGGATCTAAATACTAGGATAAGGCCTGTAAACGCTGTGTTTTCAATTTTGAATTGGTGGCTAATGTTAACAACCCAAAGTGCAAAACTTTCCTATCATAAGCTGAATTTCTGACAGTTGTCTTGAGAAAAGAAATGAGAGGCTCCGGCGACACCCATTCTGTTTCTGAGCGGCTGCAATCAGCTTGCAGAGGGGAGCAGTGGTTCTTCAGTTCCCCAAAGCTGCTACCTCCCTGCCTGCCAGACTGGCCTCTGCAACCCCCCGTGGAGGTTTTGCTGTTAAAATCTGGAGTTCTGGTTCTGGCTTAGCTGGCAACTTGCCCACGTGCTGCTTCCAGTTCTCATCTGCACATAGAGATGCTGTGAGGCTGTTCCCCTCTGCAAAAGGAGATACTGTTCTGGGAGACACAAGGTCCTAAGTGGATTTGGAAGCACTTGGGAGAGTGAAAAGAGGCCTCACAAGATGGAAGTTTTGGTTCATAATTATGTGAGCCTGAGCTCAATCCACCCTACCGCTGTGAAGCGGTGTTTAGCCACCCTCAAACTTGCTGATGGAAAACGATTTCTTATTTCCATAAATAATGCTGCCAAGCGAGTGATTTAATTGATTTAATGAGTCGTATTGTGAGATGCAGACCTGGCCAAGAGCACATATTTATCTTTGTCTCCATCTGTGGAAATTTCCTTAGAATTAGAGCAGAGCATTTTGAGTGAGAGATTTGAGGGTTTAAAAGGGAATTATCTTAGAATTCTCCGAGCATTGATGAGACTTGGAGGCACATTCCGAGTCGTCCAACCGACACGAGTCTGTGGAGTTTTCAGCTTCCACTGGAGGTGGGAAATGTAAGAATGTGGCCCTTTTCCATGCTGAAACCATATCATATCATCTCAAATTATGCCCAGGAACACGTACGCAAATATGCTGGCCCACTGACCATAGCATCATGTGATTCATGTGACAATAAATAATTTTCTTCTAAGTGGCATGAAAATAATTTTGTTTTTGGTGCCTGACTTTCTCATCTACCAGTATATTTCAATATTGTATCATTTCCACATGCACTTGGAGGAGGCCATTTCAGGCAATCATTAAACCCATTCATTAAACCAGCGGTTCTCAACCGGATGATTTTGCCCCCAGGGACTATTGGTAATGTCTGGAGAAGTTATTGGTTATCACAGCTGGGGTGGGGGTGGGGACGTGCTGCTGGCCTCTGGTTGGTAGAAGCCAGCGGTGCTGCAAAACATCCTTCCATGCCCAGGAAAGCCCTGTGCAACAGATGAGGCAGCCCACAGTTTCGACAGTGTTGAGACTGAGCAACCCTGGCTTGAACAAATCTTTGGGGTGGGGAGGTTCGTGTTCATAGGTACCCATCTAGGCACTGGGGATAGGCTGGTGACTAGGAGAAGGTCCTGTTCTCATGCGGCTTAAATCCCAGTGGTGGCGTAGAGGAGGCAGACAGTCAATAATGAGATAATTTTAGTTTGTGCAATAAGGGAAATCGATCAGAGAAACGTGGTAGAGATGATGGAGGGAAAGACGCAAGTCAGAGATGTTAGGGACATCCTCTTGGGTGAGGAAACAGAGCAGTGAGGAATGACGGCATCTGACAGTGAGGTGGCGTAAACAAGGGGGACTTCATTTCTCACTTGATCAGAAGTCTGAAAGTGGGAAGCTGTGACATTGGATCAGGGCCGGGGTCTCTTATTTTTTTTGCCCCCTCAAGGTCACAAAATGGTTGCTGTAGCTCCAGGCACCACATCTGTGCTCATGGTAGGAAACGTGGCACCAGCCCCATCTAGCCCCTTCTACTTTTCTGTCCTATCAGAAAAGCAGAAGCCTTCCCGGCCTGTGTGGTGGCTCACGTCTGTCATCCCAGCACTTTGGGAGGCCAAGGCAGGCAGATCACCTGAAGTCAGGAGTTTGAGACCAGCCTGGCCAACATGGTGAAACCCCGTGTCTACTAAAAGAGACGTACTGGTGGGCACCTGTAATCCCAGCCACTCAGGAGGCTGAGGTAGGAGAATTGCTTGAACCTGGGAGGCAGAGGTTGCAGTGAGCTGAGATTGCGCCACTGCACTCCAGCCTGGGCAACAGAGAGGGACTGTATCTCATAAATAAATAAATAAATGGAAAGAAAAGTCTTCCTAAATCTTCTTTAACAGACTTCTCATGAGCTGGTGGGTGGATCTATGCCCCATGGACAACTGTAGCTGCAAGGGAGGGTGGGACAGTGAGCGTTTCTCCTTTCCAGCCTCTCTAGTGGAGGCGGGTGTGAGAGAAGGGTACTGGGAATGGGTGTCGGACTGGCGGCTTCATGGTGCTGAACAAGTGTAAACTTTATGTTGAGACCTCCATATATATAAAGTCGGCTAAGGAGCTGACCATGGAACCCCTGGGGGAAGGGTGCCTCAGTTGGAGGGAGCTGCACATACCAAGGCCTTGGGCCCAGAGCTAGGAGAGAGAGCAGGGCTGGCGTGTTCATGAGAACCCACATGACTACTGCCCTCTAGTTTCCCGAGGCAAAATGCTCACACGCTGGTGGCTGCCGGGAAGATCCGCTTCTCCATGCCTTCCTAGAACGTCCATCAGTAAGAAATCACCATAAATATAGAGTCCTAAAACTTCAGTTCTGGAGATCGGAAGTCTGAGGTCCTGGGGCCGGGATCATGGTGTCGGCGGGGCTGTGCTCCCTCCCAGAGCTCAAGGGAGGGCCTCTTCCTTGTCTCTCCCAACCGTAGGCATTCCTGGGCTCCTGGCAGCATCACTCCAGTGTCTGCCCCCGGGGTCACATTACCCTCTCCTCTTCTGTGTATCTGTGTGCTCCTCTGTGAGTCTTTTATAAAAACAGCAGTCATTGGATTCGGGGCCCACCTGCATAATCCAGGATGCTCTCCTCATCTCAAGATCCCTAATTTAATTATATCTGCAAAGCTTCTTTTCCAAATAAGGCGACATTCTTAGGTTCTGTGGAAAAAGGCCTAAATGTGTGTTACTGAGCCCCGGCCTTCAACCCACCACAGATCCCAAGTACGGACACTTGAAGACGGTGCTTGTTACTTCTTGGGTGGTTTTCACCGTCAGTGGCTACACTGCTTAGAGAGAAGAATCCTGGCACACTCGGAAAGGGTATTCTGACCACAGGCACTAGGAAAGAGCTCCTGCATTCCTAGTGTGTTCGTCCGTTCTCACACTGCAATGAAGACATACCCAAGACCAGGTAATTTATAAAGGAAAGAGGTTGAATTGGCTCACAGTTCCACATGGCTGGGGAGGCCTCAGGAAACTTACAACCATGGCGGAAGGTGAAGGGGAAGCAAGCTTGACCTTCTCACAGGGTGGCAGGAGAGAGAAGAGTGAGCTGTGAAAGGGGAAGAGCCCCTTATAAAACCACCAGATCTCGTGAGAACTTCCTCACTCTCGCGAGAACAGCACGGGGAAACCGCCCCGTGGTGCAATCACCTCCCACCTGGTCCCTCCCTGGACACGTGGGGATTATGGGGATTACAATACAAGATGAGATTTGGGTGGAGACACAGAGCCCAGCCATATCATCTGATGTGTCTTCCCTTGGGTCTTATCTTGTTAGTGCAAGCTACTATTCCAGTTTTTAGCCTATTTATTACATAGTTATCAAGCACGTGCTATTTGCATGCTGTGCCGTGAACACTGCCCCACCAGCCCAGGCGTGAGTCCTGCTGCTCCAGCCATGTCTGTCTCACCACAGTCCCGTGTCCCCTCTCACCCCTGTGCCCTGGTTTGGGCTGTTCCCTGTGCAGAATTCTCTTCCCGCTGGTCTCTGTAAGATACATGGATGTGTTTGGTTAAGGATAGGTCGAGGCACATGTCTGGCCAGAGTGACTCAGTGAGTTCGGCACGCAGGCGCACACCTCCACGTGTTATATAACCTGTTTGTTTAAGTTCATACATGGCTCTGAGCCACTGTTGTCTGCAAAAGGTATAATTGCCCTGCTAACGCTGTACAGGGGCTCTCGGGGCTTGGCTTGGCTCAACTTGGCTTAACATGGAGGGTGCACTGGCACCCAGAGAAAGAGAGAGAGAACCAGAGCTGTCCATCTGGGGAGCCAGGGCATAGCTTGGCATGGCACGGCATGGCATGGCACAGCTTGTGCTGTGCCCAGAGAGAGAAAGAGTTAAGCTGCTAACCCTGAGGGCAGGGGAGAGCCGGCCATGCAGCTGCTTGTGGGAGCCACCGGCTCAAGCAGCCGAGACTGGGCAGGTGGTGTAAAGAGCCAGTGTGAGAAAGCTGTTAATGAGAGCTGCTGCTGAATAAAACCATTTCACCTGCCTATGGCCCCCGAGTGTTCTTTCTGCTCATCCACCCACTCCCCTCAGACCTCAGCATGGGCTGGACCTGGACCCCAGGATCTGACCATCTGACCATCTCATCCCACACATGCTGCCTCCATTGCCCTCGCAGCTCCTCAGGTGCAGGAGGCGCGCAGGCTGCCCGATGTTTCTTCTGTGCACTCTGCAGACGTTCTGTGCAGCCTCCCGTCCCAGGTCCATATCTCTCAGCCACAGGCCCTGTATCTGTAAAATTAGGACATTGAGGCTGCCCTGCCATACAGGCTGTTTGTGGGGCTGAGTAGTTCCTGGGGTCAGGACCCCGTATGTTGGAAGCACTAAAATGTTATCGAGTGTTCTTACCGTCACCTTCGCTTTGAACTTGCTCTCAATGCAATTGTGACACTCATTCCTCAGCATTGGGTCGGGTTTCGCAGGTTAAGGGCATGGTCCACCTGAGGCCCCCACACTGCAGACACCAGTTACAAGCTCCAGGGAGGTGGTTTCAGGGATTGCAGCGGTTTCGGGCCACTTGTGCTTCTGAACAACTGGGTGCAAACCTGAGGAATTCCCACAACCCCCTCAGGTTTGAAAATTCCCTAAAATGGCTCAGGGAACTCAGCAAAGTGCTATACTTATTACAGATTTGTCATAAAGGACACAAGTCAAGAGACACACAAGGCCAGGTCTGAGGGAGGGTCCCAAATGTGAAGTTTCCATATCCTCAGGACACGGCACCACCCCCATCTATCACTGGCAAGGAAGCTCCTTGAGCCTCGGTGGCCAGAGTTCTTACTGGGGCTTCATTCCATGGGTGTGATTGATGGGAGTCATTGCCAGGTGATCAAACTCCAGCTCCAGCCCCCGCCCTCCCTGGGGGTCAGGCTGATATCACCTGGCTCCAAGCCCCAAACCTCTAATCACAAGGTCCACCTTTCCTTCACGACCAGTCCTCCGCCTGCAGCTGTGTAGGGGCTCAGCATGATCCCCTCACCAGGGGTCCTGGCTGGAAGGAAGCAGGGTGGTGGCTGTTTCCTCCCTGCTGGAAGCTTCATCCCTTTCCCCAAACCCACAGCGCCTGCCCCACATTGCTCTCCTCCCATGCCGCTTCATACCTTCTCTCTTCTCACAAGGGTGGGCTTCCAGATTTTGCCAGCCTGTGGAAACATCACTGTCTTTTTGATTCCTGTATCCTGTGACAACTCTGTAAACAATTCCTCTATTCATGCTCTTCAAATTATCCAGTTTAAGTGAGCCATCTGTTTCCAGCTGGGGCAGGAAACTGTCAAGTCTCTTTTCTCCCCTGAAAGACAGGGATGTTGTCTCTCTCTTCTCCCTCCCTCCTTCCTGCCTTCCTTTCTTCCTCTCTCCTTCCTTCCCTCCCTCACTCCCTCCCTCACTCCTTGCCTCCTCCCTTCCTCCCTCCCTCCCTTCTTCCCTCCCTTCCTCCCTTCCCTCCCTCTCTCCTTCCTTCCCTCCCTCATTCCTTTTTTTCTCCCATCCTCCCTCCCTCATTTTTTCCTCCCTCCCTTCTTCCTTTTCTCCCTCCCTCCCTTCCTCCCTCTTCTTCTTTCTCTCCCTCCCTCCCTCCCTCCTTCCCTTCCTCCCTCTGTCCCTCCCTTCTTCCTTCCCTCTCTCCCTCCTTTCCTCCCTCCCTTTTTTCCTTCTTTCCCTCCCTCTCTTTCTCCCTCCCTTTCGTTCTCTCCTTCCTTCCCTTCTTCCTTCTCTCCCTCCCTCCTTTCCTCCCTCCATTCTCTCCCTCCCTCCCTTCTTCCATCTCTTCCTCCCTCCCTTCCTCCCTCCATCCCTCCCTTCTTCCCTCTCTCCTTCCTTCCCTCCCTCACTCCTTCCCTCCTTCCCCTCTTCTTCCCTTCTCCCTTCCTCCCCTTCTCCCTTCCTCCTCATTCCCTTGTCCTTCCCTCTTTCCTCCATCCCTCCCCTCCCTCCCTTCCTTTGGTAAACATTATTGACTGATCTCTATGTGCCAGGATCTGTGTTGGGTATGGGGGATAGTTACCACCTCTCCTTTGTAGGACACAGGATTGAGCTCACAGCAGGCGATAGTGAAACTGGGGTGCATTGAGTGTGATTCACAATTTGGTATCTTGGACTGAAACTTTGTCTTGCAAAGGCAGTCCTGCCTTTAGCAATATATGCAGTTTTTTGAGCATTAGGATAAAGGAAGACAATACTGCTTGGTGCCGTTGTATTGCAGAGTGGCTCATCAGTGGCATTGGTGGGTAAACAGAGAGTCCTCCAGGGTTTGGTGACCTGTGCCAAGCCCCTTAGAAGCGAGGGGTGTGCCATGTTTTAGACTCTCTCTTCTTGCACACTTGCTGCTTCCATATCCCTTGCATAGTTCCGATAAAATAACAACTTCCCAGGTGTGCTTCTGTGTTCATTTGTTTTAGGCCCTTTAGTATTAATTTTAGAAAGAAGGGGGATCTTTTTTGGTAGCTTTTAATTTTGCTATAATTTCACACTTACCAAAAAAATGTGCAGAGATAGAACCCATACACCTCCCCTGAGGATCCACTCACTGCCAGCCTTGGGTCCTGTTAGCTTTGTCTTTCTCTCTTATCTACAAGTTGCTGTCAGATGATTCAGAAAAAGAGGGAGACAGGATGAGGCAAATGGTGTTTGAGAGTGAGTTCCAGATGTGATACTCCCTTCACCCCATACGTGCCCCAGCATGCATTTCCGAAGAGCAGGAACATTCCTTACAAAACCACAGGAAATAATCAAGAGGGGGAAGTGTAACATGGCTGCAGTATCGTGATGGGTCTGCAGTCAGATGGTCTCAGTTGCCCCATAAGGTCCTTTAGAGCTGTGTGTGTGTGTGTGTGTTTCTGGTCCAGGATCCAATCCAATACCAGGTACTACTTTTACTGGTGGCGTCCAGTTAATCCCCTTTAACCTGTAATGTTTCCTTGTCTTTCTTCCCTTGGACCATTTTTGAAGAGTGAAGGACAGTAGTTTTACAGAAGGTTCCTCACGGAGGGTTTGTCTGATGTTTCCTCACAATTAGATTTGGGTGTTTTTGTTTGTTTTGAGGCAGGGTCTCGCCCTGTCACCCAGGCTGGAGTGCAGTGGCGTGATCTCGGCTCGCTGTGGTACGATCTCAGCTCAATTCAACCTCTGCCTCCCGGGTTCGAGTGATTCTCCTGCCTCAGCCTCCCAAGTAGCTGTGACTACAGGTGCACTCCACTGTGCCTGGCTAAATTTTGTATTTTTAGTAGGGATGGGATTTCACCATGTTGCCCGGGCTGGTCTTGAACTCTTGAGCTCAAGTGATCCACCCACCTCGGCCTCCCAAAGTGCTGGGATTACAGGCATGAGCTGGGGTGTTGTGTTTTTTCAGGAATTTGCCTCCATCTCGGAGCATGGCATCAGGAAACACGTGATTTCAGGATGTCATGTTACTGGGGATGTTAACTTGATCACATGGTTGAATTGCTCTCCTGTGAAATTCCCAGGGCCCCCTCTTCACGTAGCCAGGAGTTGTGGTAGGGTTTGGTGAAGCCAGGAGTTGTGGTAGGGTTTGGTGAGTGAGTGGAGACTCTGGTTCCTCGTCGGACTCCAGCATGCTGCTCACACCTGCTGAGGGCGGCTCTGGTCCAGACAGCTCGCTGTTCCGGTTGATTGATTAGTACAAGGGGCAGTTTTCCTGTTGTCCCTCCGGCCTCTGTGAATGGGCCCATCCTTGGCAGGAAAGCCTTCCCTGCCCCGCCCCCCTTTATTTATGTTCATTTATATCAGTATGGACTGATGGATTCTTATTTTATTCCAAGGTTAAATTTATTGCCATTATTTTAAAGCTGAAATTGAAAGGTCAGCGGGAGCTCCTTCAAAGCTGGTTCCCATGTCTTTTGGACACGTGGCTGTCATTTCTGAGTCCCTCTTTACTTTCTATGAAATGAGATGCTGTAGGATCAACCTATACTTTCTCTGACATAGCTGTAGAGTTAGCCCCTTCCTGAAGGAGCCCGTGCTTCTCTGGGTGGCGAGTGATATTTAGAAATCAAGATCTGGGTGTGAGGAGTGCTCATGACAGCCGAGGTGTCATGACCTCCAGGTCCTGTAGTCGACAGAGCCAGGATGGGGAGTGTGTGATGCGTGTGCGTGCGTGTGTGTGCGTGCATGTGTGTGCGTGTGTGCGTGCATGCATGTGTGTGCGTGTGTGTGCGTGCGTGCGTGCGTGTGTGTGCATGCGCGTGCGTGCATGCACGTGCATATGTGTGTGCATGTGTGTGTGTATTTCTGTGTCTATTTCCAACTTATCTCTATTTGATGCCTTCAAATCCAGTTTAACCGCACATGTTTTATTCCAGCCTCTCCTCTTTCTGTATTTCAACTCCCTCCTCTGAGACTGAGAAACCTGGATTCTATTTTAGGCAACATACATATTTATCTGCTTAATCCTAGGGGAAAAGACTTTACCAAGTGGGGTTCAGTATTTGTTGACACTTCTTTTTTATTTTTATTTTTTTGAGCCTAGGGGTTACTATAGATATACAATACATATATACACAATTCTTTTTGTCAATTAAAACAATAGATTTTTTAAAAAAAACCCACAATATAGCCTGGAAATTGCTCCACAATGCTTCACAGAGATCTCCCCTCCTCAGGTCCTGCACAGTTCTTCGCTGTGTGAAGACAGCGCTTATTCAACCTGCCTCGTATGTGTGAGCATTTAGGCTGTTTCTGGTATTTCACAATTATTAACAAACCGGTATGGAATAACCTGTGCATATGTATTTGCATATCTTTAAAGGCCATTTTTATGTTGTCTTGAGGGTAAATTCCTAGAAGCAGGGTTGCCAGTCAGGAAGCCAGTGAACCCAAAACTTCGTTAAAGTACCCAGCGGGAAGTTCCGTTCTGACTCCTACCCCACTCAGAGGCGTCTGGGGACACCCATGTCACGGTGCTGCTAGGCTGGGTAACTTGCCAGTTTGAGAGTATCTCAGTGTAGTTTTCATTTGCATTTCTCTTCTTACAGGTGAAGTTGAACATCTTTTCATTTTTTGAGTGGCATTTTAGTGTCTTTTTGGTGAGTCATCTATTTATGTTTCTGGCACTTTGTACTTTTATAAACCTAATTTTTACTCTTAGTTGTGTTTCTTCCTGTTTTCAGTGGAAAAAAAGGCAATTTTAAGAAATAAAAGCTTTCTGTCTGCTGCTGAACTTGCCTAGTTGAAATCACTATTTTATTCTTTGGCCAGACATGTGGATTTGAATCCATGAAAGGCCAGAAATTCTGTCAACAGGTGCCTGGCCCCCTCCCAGGCTGTCTCAGGGCGCATGGACAGGGCTGTCTCCTCTCTGTCTTTAGGATGGTTGACAGCAACTTCTGAGGGGGTGGAGCAGGAGGGGAGGAAGGTGGCAGATACTTGACCTCTGACCATCAGTCATCCCAGCCCTCCCTCCACCCTGTTATCCTCTTGATACTTGGCAAAAATAACCCAGCCGGCCCCTCCTGCCTGCAGAACCTGCTGGTTGAAGGTGTTAGAGCCAAACTTGGCCGCACGTGGGAACCACCTGGGATGGTTTAAAAATATCCAGGTGCCTTCTTTCCCACCCACAGAGATTCTGGTTAATTATCCTATGGAACAGCTGGGACATCCAGATTCTTTTTTTTAGACAGGGTCTTACTCTGTCACCCAGGCTGGAGTGTAGTGGCATGATCATAGCTCACTGAAGCTCCAACCTTCTGGGCTCAAGCAGTCCTCCCAACTCAGCTTCCCAGGTAGCTGGGACCATAGGAGTGCACCGCCACACCCAGCTATTTTTTCTTTGTGGGGTAGAGATGGGGTCTTGCTATGTTGCCCAGGCTGGTCTCAAACTCCTGGGCTCAAGCAATCCTCCTGCCTTGGCCTCTTAAAGTGCTGGGATTACAGGTGTGAGCTACTGTGCCCAGCCTATCCAGATTTTTTTTTTTGAGACGGAGTCTTGCTCTGTCACCAGGCTGGAGTACAAGGGTGTGATCTTGGCTCACTGCAACCTCCACCTTCCGGGTTCCAGTGATTCTCCTGTCTCAGCCTCCCAAGTAGCTGGGATTACAGGCACACACCACCATGCCCAGCTAGTTTTTGAATTTTTAGTAGAGATGGGGTTTCACCATGTTGGCCAGGATGGTCTCGATCTCTTGACCTCGTCATCCACACGCCTCAACCTCCAAAAGTGCTAGGATTACAGGCGTGAGCCACCGCGCTCCGCCTCCAGATTCCTAAAAGCTTCCCAGGTGGCTTGGTGCTGAAACTGGCTGGCCTAGGAAACATAAGCAGGAAGCCTGGCCAAGGAGGAGACGCGAGACTCGAACTGTGCAAGCCCTCATGCACCCTTCACATTGGCGAGAATTGCCCCAGACTGACCTCTCCCCAGAGCGTGACGGGTCAGCTACTGGCTGGATTGAGGGTGAAATTTAGGGAATTTGTTGGAGACCCCAGGTCTTGTGTGATGAGCGGGAATGAATGCACCTGGGAGGGAGTGCTCAGGGCAATGGAGTCCGTGTGACCCCTGCTGGGGCGTGGGGCCAGCTGCAGCCTGCAGAAGCACCTAGTGCAGCCCCATTCCCTCCAAGTAGGTAAGCCCAGGTGATTTCAGTCCTGCACAGCTGAGACTCAGAGCTCCTAAGGGTCTTGCTCATGTGACACATACAGAAATAGTGCAGAGAAGAGGGAACACAGTCCAGACTTTCAGAGTTCTGGAACCTTCATTTCCACAGTCGTGACCGGGAACAGAGATGCATACTCATGAAGGGGCTACTCTGCAGGTGCGAGGCTTGGGTTTTTATCTAGGTGGCTTCATTTTGTCTTCACTGACCGTAGTTATTGCATCAGCTCTGATTCATCAGTTACCAAAACTCTAACCCAAACTGTGCTTAAGCAGAGAGGGGAATTTATTAGTGAGACTGACCTGTCAGAGGCTGGGCACTGATAGGGTCATTGCGTGTAGTTACGTAAGCTTTATGCCACATCAGATGCTAACGCCTGCTACACACACCACAGCACTGCAGATTTGCTCACCTCACTAGACAGTTGTCAGCGGTCAGCACCTCTTTTTAGTTTGTGCAAAGGGGTCATATGACCAGTAATGGTTTAGGAGCTCAAATACTGTGTGTAGATTCTTGGTCTCTCTGCACTTCTCAGCCAATGGCTCACATGCTTCTGGGCTAGAGGGCCATGGAAAGGAGCCTTTTTGTATAACTCCCACAACAATGCTGAGGCTAGTTAATTACTAGTTAATTACCAGCTCAGCTCACCTGTCTAGCCCTGAGCCAATCACTGTGCCCAGGAGAATGATACCCTCCGATTGGCTAAGGTGTGGTCACATGACTGACCCTAAGCAGCAGGGGCACCCAGATCACCTGGACTCAGTTGAGGAACAATAGATTAGTCCACAAGGAAAGCTAGGTGTCCTTGCCACCAAGAGGAGGCATGGCTGCTGGAATACAGACTGCGAATGGCAGCTGTCCACCGCGGCAGTTATTCTGGTTTTAAGGTAAGAAAATTGAGAATCTGAGATATTATGTACTTTTTTTGAGACAGGGTCTTGCCATGTTGGCCAGGCTGGTCTTGAACTCCTGGGCTCAAGTGATCCTCCTGCCTTGGCCTCCCAAAGTGCTGGGATTACAGGCGTGAGCCATCGTGCTGGGCCAATTATGTCATTTTCAACATCATGGGGCTTGTAGAGGGCAGGTGGGTGGTGTGTCTGAATACAAGTCTGCCTGGCCATGATGCAGGTGGCCTGCGTGACACGCCAGCTGTGATACTTCAGAGCCCTGGTGCGTGCCGCCATGTGAAATTGCACATGGGTTCAAGGGGCTCTGGCGTCTTTACGTCAAATGCTCAATCAGAGAAACAGGGTCCAGGGAAGGCCCCCACCTCACCCACCAAAGAGCCGAACCTGGGGTGGGGGCGCAGGCAGGGTGGCCCCACTCCTGCAGCCTCCAGCATGGGGCAGGAGAGTAGTTTCTGTCATGGGCCCCAGAGTTCAAGGCAGCTGGAGTCTGTGCTCACCAGCCCAGAGACCGCAACTCTTCCAACCCTGAGGCTCCAGCTTCGTCCAGATTTCTCCATATTCACGACCCCATTTCAGGCCATGCCTGTCTCCCAGTTTCCCCTCATACGGTTCCCACCAGAATCCTGCCCCTCCTCAGAGACCTCCATCCTCCTTGGTCCGTTGTTCACGTGGCAATAAGAACAGTCACCGAGAGGAGATTCCCATGAGATTCCAGAGAGAAGGGTAGAGAATGAAGAGAGGAGGTTCCTGCTCCCTTCCTGAATGCATGGTGCAGCACTAGCCTGGCCCTCTGCCTGTCTCGTAGACACAGGAGCCACCTGTGGCCATCGAGCTCTGGAACTGTGGCTTGACTGAACAGAAATGTGTCATGTTAAGATTTTTGAAGACGTAGTAAAAGAATGGGCTGGGCGTGGTGGCTCACGCCTGTAATCACAGCACTTTGGAAGGCTGAGGCAGGTGGACTGCTTGAGCCTAAGAGGTGGAGGTTGCAATGAGCCGAGATTGTGCCACTACTCCAGCCATGGTGACAGAGTGACCCTGTGCGGGAAAAGAAAAGAGAATGTAAAATAGTATTAATAACTCTTTTTTTTTTTTTTTGAGATGGAGTCTTGCTCTGTCACCCAGGCTGGAGTGCAGTGACAAGATCTCAGCTCACTGCAACCTCTTCCTCATGGGTTCAAGCAATTCTCCTGTCTTGGCCTCCCAAGTAGCTGGAATTACAGGTGCATGCCACCATGCCTGGCTAATTTTTGTATTTTTTAGTAGAGATGAGGTTTCACTATGTTGGCCAGGCTGGTATCTAACTCCTGACCTCAGATGATCTGCCCACCTTGGCCTCCCAAAATGCTGGGATTACGGGCATGAGCCACCGTGCCCGGCCGGCATTAATAATTTTAATTATTAATTCATTCCATGTTGAAATGGTAATATTTTGGATATATTGAGTGAAATAAAATATGAAAATTAGTTTTATCTGTTACTTCCACTTTTTTTTTTTTGTTTGAGACAGAGTCTCGCTCTGTCGCTCAGGCTGGAGTGCAGTGGCATGATCTGGGCTCACTGCAACATACGCCTCCCGGGTTCACGCCATTCTCCTGCCTCAGCCTCCGAGTAGCTGGGACTACAGGCGCCACCACCACGCCTGGCTAATTTTTTGTATTTTTAGTAGAGATGGGGTTTCACCGTGTTAGCCAGGATGGTCTCGATCTCCTGACCTCGTGATCCACCTGCCTTGGCCTCCCAGAGTGCTGGGATTACAGGCATAAGCCACCGCACCCGGCCGACATTAATAATTTTAATTATTCATTCCATGTTGAAATGGTAATATTTCGGATACATTGAGTGAAATAAAATATGAAAATTAGTTTTATCTGTTACTTTCCACTTTTTTTAAGGTGACCACTAGACAGTGTAAAGTTATGCAGGTGGCTGACACGGTGTTTCTCTTGGATAGCACTGGGTGAGCCCACTCTTGACCTTGTCATATACAGATCTTCAGTCTTTCCACAAAGGGGGATGAAGATGATTTACGGGGAGTCCCTGTGCTGGCATGGTGGAGGGAGGGAGGCTGGCATGGTGGAGGAAGGGAGGTTGGCATGGTGGAGGAAGGGAGGTTGGCATGGTGGAGGAAGGGAGATTGAGTGAGGTGAGGATGCCAAGAGCATGGTTTAGAGCCGAGAGTTTCAGCATTTTTTCTCACGTTGTGCACTTGCATCTCCGCCTGGTCTATTGCCACCCGCCTCCCTGTGCAAGACCATCACTCACATTCTTCTGGGATACAGGACACAGCAACGAAGGCTCAGCGGGTGCGGGCTGGTTGCAGGAGCAGAGTCCTCTCCTGCCCAGAACCCGGCTCGGGAGGGAGCTTGTTTTTTCTCATAAAATGGCCCCAGCCTTGCTCCTCTGTGGACTCAGGGCAACCGGAGGCTGCAGCTACCGCGCTTGCCTATGAATATTTAAGTGGCAGTTTAGCTTTCAGACCAAGCACATCAGTGGCCAAGATCAAGCTTTTTGACCTTTTGTCAATTTACTCAGTGAAATATGATGCTCCTGGTCTCCTTTTTTTAAACTGTTGTCTGCCGTCTTCTTTTTTTTCATAGTTGAAATGGCTGCGTGTTCCCCACATGCAGCATAGAGACTGTGAGTGTTCGCACCGATTGCAAATACACGAGTGCAAATGACAGATTCGTGTTCTTGCCCAGAAGGTAGGTGCGTGTTGGCGGCTTCAGAGATGGCCTGACTGTGTGGAGTTTCGGGACCAGTGGCTGCTAGACAGTAGCCAGCACAGGCGGTGTGTGTTAGTATTTGCTCAGGCTGGGCTCAGAGAACCCTTCATGTCAACACGCGAGCCTGGCTTGTGCTGTTCCCTCCTCAGGGCTGACCTTCCCTCCTCAGGCTCCTGGAAGCCGTGGCCTTCCGGTCACAAAGCTGCTCTCCTGAGCTGGGGCATTCATTGTTGGTTACTGCCGTCGTCTTTTAAGTACTGGGAAGGTGGGACGGAGTCGTGGAGAGAGGATGGGGGAACAACCCAAGCCCTTGGGAGGCAGCGTCACGTTGCTGAACTCTGCTCCTAAGCAAATGCGCGTGTGGAATACGGTTTGCCTTGTGTCCAGCCGTGCGTTCTCTGATTTTAAATATTCTCAGCCAGGCCTGTTTAAGGCCAGATAAATAGAACACCAAAAGGGAAATGTAAAAAACAACTCGTTGGGTAGCTGGTTCCGTGTAACATCAGAGGTTGGGGATCGCACACTGAAACGAGATAAAATGTTTGAGTGGAAGGCGGGACCTGGGGCCCAGTGCGCTGGGGCTCCATCCTCCGCCCTCACTGCCCCCCGCAGCTGGGGCTCCATCCTCCGCCCTCACTGCCCCCCGCAGCTGGGGCTCCATCCTCCGCCCTCACTGCCCCCCGCAGCTGGGGCTCCATCCTCTGCCCTCACTGCCCCCGCACAGCCCTTCTGCGGGTCACTTCTCCCCTGTGCCCTGGACGGAGGTGCCGGTGGATGCCGCTGCATTGCTTCGACGATGGATCTTTCTCTGTCTTCCATCCCCCAAGCTCTATCAGTTTAGTTATGAGAATATCCAAACCACATCTGACCTCGTCTGAACTTAGAACTTTTTCTTTCTCCTCCCGGGGCCTGCTTCCGGCTGGGAGCCTGCAGTGTGTGTAGAGGGGGTGATCTCTGCTTTATTTCCTGGCTGTTATGAGCTGAATTGTGGCCCTCCCATCCCACAAAGGTGTTGAAGTCCTAACTCCCAGTACCTGTGAATGTGACCTTATTTGCAAATAGGGTCTTTGCAGATGGGCAAAGTTAAGATGAGGACATGAGGATGTGCCCTCATCCCATATGACTAGTGTTCTTTAAGGGAGGGAAATTTGGCCACGTGTGGTGACACACACCTGTAATCCCAGCTTTGAAAGGCCAAGCTGGGAGGATTGCTTCAGCCCAGGAGTTTGAGATCAACCTGAACAACATAGCAAGACCCTATCTCTAGAAATAAAAATGTAAAAAAATAGTAGGCATGGTGGTACACACCTATAGTCCCAGGTCTGTAGGAGACTGAGGCAGGAGGATCACTTGAGCCTGGGAGTTCAATGCAGTGAGCTATGATTACACTAATGCACTCCTGCCTGGGTGAAAGAGTGAGACCGTTTTAATTTTTTTTTGACAGGGTATCATTCTGTTGCCCAGGCTGGAGTGCAGTGGTGCAATCTTGGCTCACTGCAACCTCCTCCCCCCAGGCTCAAACCATCCTGCCACCTCAGCCTCCCAAGTAGCTGGGACCACAGGTGTGCACCACCACACCCGGCTAATGAGATCTTGCTTTTTTTTTTAGTACATAAATTTTAGAAAGTTAATAACATAAAAATTTTAGAAAGGGGAAGTTTGGGCACAGAGATAGACAAACGTGGAGGGAAGACGGTGTGAAGACGCGGGGAGGTCGCTCACAAGCGGAGGAGTGCCTGAGGCTGCCAGGAGTCAGGGGGAGCCCGGGGCAGATTCTCCTGACAGCCTCAGAAAGAAACAGGCCTGCTGGGGCTGCTTGATCTCAGACTTCCAGCCTCCAGAGCTGAGAGAGGAAATTTCTGTTGTTTAAGACACTTGGTTTGTGGCATTTTGTTTGCCTCAGGACACAAATGCACTGGCTTAGTCCCAGGAGAGGGGACATGAAAGGGAAAGCTTCTCTCTGTATGACGCTGTCAGGAGCTGGCCCAGCCCCACTGGGACGGGCAGAATTCTAGCCCCTGCCTGCCAGGGGTCCCTGGAGATCCTACTTCGTCCTCCTCTTCCCTCCCTTCCCCTGTGGGAGGGAAGGTGCCTCTCAGATGGCTCCCTTGTGATTCTTGCCGGGTCCCCCAACCCCTTTAAGAACCATCTTCCATAGAACATTAGACAAACCGAGGCTCGCTCTCTCGCTCCTGGCCCTCCCGGGGCCCACACAGAAACCTCTCTTTATTCTGCTGGCAGAGCAGCTGGCCATGTCCCTTCTCCCCACCCTCCACCGTGTCCCCAGCCCCAAGCCTGCAGGCCGGCCTTGCTGGAACCCATGCTCTAAGATGGACATGAGAGAGCTTCCTCCATTCCCCAGAAGGGCTGGATTCCAGGACAGCGCTCCCACCAGCATCCTCCTTTCACTCCTGGCTCTCCCAGCATCTTCCCTCTTGTCTCCTCTGCCATGGGCTGCGTGGTGCCTCCGCCCACATTCCCGTCGCCTGTGCCTTGACCTGAGCTGCTCTGTCTGAAGCCAACGTCCCTCCCTTTTCATTCTGGCTGGCTTCAAGATGGTGTCCAAACAAGGGCAAATTCGAGGAGCTGAGGGAGAGCTGAAGTTGATGGTGTGTGTGTGTGCACATATGTATCTGTGTTTGCCTGTATATACATGTGTGTGCCTGTGTGTGAATGTTTGAATAATTGAACTCTGTTCGCTCTGTGTAGTAACCACACATTTTTTTCTGTGTCTATGCAACATTTACAAACATAGATCATATTTTTAGTTCAGAAAGAAAATCTCAATAAATTCCCTAAAGTGGAAATCAATGGTTTGGGGCCTGTTCTATGGCCCCAGAGCCTCCCTCCACTGCTGGTGTTTCTCTGACTCTCCGCCCTGCCCACCCCTCCTTGGTCTTTTCCTCCCTCTCATGTGTCCTCCTCAGGTCCTGTCTTCCTCTCTCCCACAGATATTTGAATAGTTACAATGCATCAGGCAAGATAAATAAGGTCCTTACAGAGTTTGCATTCTCACAGAGTGGCAGACAGTTGGTATATAACGAGGTAATTTCAGACAGCAGCAAGAGCAATGAAGAAAATAAAACAGGGAAGTAATGCTGGCTGGCAGGGTGGGGCGATGTTACACGCTGGAGAGGCCTTTGCTGCCCCGCCTAGGGCACACTCCTCTTTGTCCTCTGTCCAGCACCCCATTCTCTCCCTGTAGAGACCTCTAGTGTGTCATTTGTGTGTTTTCTGCATCCAGATTGCTGGGTTATGTTGATATGGTTTGGATGTGTGTCTCCCCCAAATCTCATGTGAAATGTGATCCCAGTGCTGGAGGTAGGACCTGGTGGGAGGTGTTTGGGTCACGGGAGCAGGTCCCTCATGAATGGCTGGGCACTATCCCTGGGTGATAAGTGAGTTCTTGCTCAGTTAGTTCATGTGAATTCTGGTTGTTGAAAAGTGTGTGGCACCTCCTCCCTGGCTTTCTTGCTGTTGCTGTCACTGTGTGACATGCTGGCTCCTCTTTGTCTTCCACCATGATTGGAAGCTTCCTGAGGCCTCACTAGAAGCTGAGCAGATGCCTGCACCCTGTTTTCTGTACAGCCTGCAGAACCATGAGCCAATCAAGTCTGTTTTCCTTATAAATTACCCAGCCTCAGTATTTCTTTATAGCAATACAAAAATGGCCTAACATGGAAAATTGGTACAGAGGAGTGGGGCATTGCTATAAAGATACCTGAAAGTGTGGAAGCAGCTTTGGGACTGGGTAATAGGCAGAGGGTGGAAGAGTTTGGAGAGCTCAGAAGAAGACAGGAAGGTGAGGAATTGTTTGGAACTCCTTGGAGAGTGGTTAAATGGTTGTGACCAAAATGCCAATAGTGATTTGGACAGTGAAGTCCAGGCTGATGTGGTCTCAGCTGGAAATGAGAAAGTTAAGGGAACTGGAGTAAAGATCACCCATATTATGCCTAAGCAAAGAACCTGGCTGCATTGTATCTGTGTCCTAGGGCTTTATGGAAGTTTGAACTTAAAAGAGTGATAACCTAGGGTATCTGGTGGAAGAAATTTCTAAGAAGCAAAGCATTCAAGATGGGACCTGGCTGCTTCTAATAACCTATGCTCAGATACAGAAGCAAAGAAATGACTTAAAGTTGGAACTTATAGTTAAAAAGGAAGCAGAGCATAAAAGTTTCAGAAATTCACAACCTAGCCATGTGGCAGAGAAGGAAAAAGCATTTTCAAAAGAGGAATCCAAGCAGGCTGTGGAGTGACTACTTGCTAGAGAAACTAGCATGACTAAAAAGGACCCAAGTGCTAATATCCAAGACAACAGGAAACAGGCCTCAAATGCATTTCAGAGATCTTTTAGGCAGCCCCTCCCATCACAGCCCAGAGGCCTAGGAGGAAAGAATAGTTTCAGGGGCCAGGTCCAGGGCCCCGCTGCCCTGCACAGCTTCAGGACACTGCTCCCTGCATCCTGGGCACTCTGACTCCAGCCTCAGCTCAAAGGACCCTGGGTGTAGCTTGGGCCAGAGTTCTGAGGGTGCAAGCCATTAGCCTTTGGGGCTTCCACATGTTGTTAAGCCTGCGGGTGCACAGAATGCAAGCATGAAGGAGGCTTGGTGGCTTCCACCTAGATTTCAGAAGATTTATGGGAAAGTCTGGGTTCCAAGCTAGAAGCCTGCCACAGGGGTGGAGCCCCCACAGAAAAGCTCCGCTAGGACAGGCTGAGGGGAACTGTGGGGTTGCAGCTCCCACACAGAGTCCCCACTGGGGCACTGCCCAGTGGAGTTGGTGAGAAGAGGGTCACCCTTCAGGCCCCAGAATGGTAGATCCACCAACAGCTTGCATTCTGAGCCTGGAAAAGCCACAGGCACTTAACTCTAACCTGTGAGAGCAGCCGTGGGAGCTGCACCCTGCAAAGCCACAGGAGCCTACCCCTTGCACCAGTGTGCCCGGATGTGGGGCACGGAGTCAAGGATTATTTTGGAGATTTAAGATCTAATGACTGCCCTGCTATGTTTCAGAGTGGTATGGGCCTTGTTGCCCCTTTCTTTGGCCAATTTGTCACATTTGGAATGGGAATCTTTACCCAACGCCTAGACCACCACTGTATCTTGGAAGTAAACGACGTGATTTTACAGGCTCATAGGTAGAAGGAACTTATCTGCAAATGAGACTTAGAGCTTGGGACTTGAGACGTGGGACTTCTGAGTAAATGCTGGAATGAGTTAAGACTTTGGAGGACTGTTGGGAAGGCATGATTGTATTTTGCAATATGAGAAGGACATGAGATTTGGGGGACCAGGGGCAGAATGATACGGTTGGGATGTTGGCCCCCTCCAAATCTCATGTCAAAATGTGATCCTCACTGTTGGGAAGGGGCCTTGTGGGAGGTGATTGGATCATGGGGGTGGATCCCTCATCAACGGCTTAGCACCATTGTGAGTCCTCACTTGGTTAGTTCACGTGAGATCTGATTGTTTAAAAGGGTGGCACTTCTCCCCTTGCTCTCTTGCTCCCATTCTTGCCACGTGATGTGCTGGCTTCCCTTTGTATTCCACCATAATTGTAAGTTCTGTGAGGTCTCACCAGAAGCAGGTGCTGGCACCATGCTGCCTGTACACCCTGCAGAACCATGAGCCAATTAAAACTCTTTTCTTTATAAATCACCCAGGTTCAGGTATTTCTTTATAGCAATGAAAAAACAATATAATACATATGGCAAAACCTAAGAGCCCTGCAAGACCACTGAGATGCTCCATATCCTCAAGGGAATGCAGATACGGCCCAATATAATCCTTTAAGAAATTGATAATAGAAACCCCCACTCTGCAAATCTAACCATTGGACAATATTAACAAAAATGAGCGTAACAGATGAAAAAGTGAGGGCACCAAAGAGGGAAACAAAACTACAAGCCATTTAGAAGTTAAGGACAAGGATCTTACATTCTAAGGGTTGGCAAACTTTTTTGGAAAAAAGTCAGATGGTAAACATGTTCAGCTTTGCAGGCTAGAAAGTCTTTGTGGCAACAACTAAACTTTGCTGCCATATACTAAGGCAGCCATAGATACTATGTAAACAAGTGGTGTGGCTGTGTTCCAACAAAACTTCATTTACAAAAACAGGTGGTGGGCCAGATTTGGCCTAAAGGCTACATAGTTTCCTGGGTCCTGCTATATACCAATACATAAGGTTATGCCAAAGCTACACTCCAAGGAAAATACATAGCTTCAGATCCTCTTATATGAAGAAGAGTATTTAAAAAACCCAAATTAATCAAAACATTCAATGCTAGAAACCAGAAGACTAACAAGATAAAGCTGAGGCAGGAGGGAAGAGTAAATAAAGAGAAAAGCAGAACACAATGATTTAGTAGACAACAGCAGAACCAGCAAACAACCTCAAAGCCTGGTGCTTTTTAAAACTTCTATGAAATAAAATGCTTTTAATTCCTAAACATTTTTTTTTTAACATCAAAAAGCTTTCCAAAAGCTATAATATGATAACTGCTAAGACACAGGACTTGTTCAGTCTCTCAACGAAGAGTAGAGCTGGTACATAATCCTGCAGATAATTAAATTCCAAGCACAAATTCATAATGTGAAATGTGTTAAATTCATGAATGTGCATCACTAGAAATCTTTAACTTAAGACTCTCACAAAGGGCTGGTTCTTTGAAAAGACACACAGACATGAAAAGATTCAGCTCGAAGGGTGTTTCCAGATCCCACCCAGGTGAAGTTTTGCTTTCTTCTGGGTTCATCGCTGCGTTTTCCATTAGCCTGAGGACCGCCATGCCAGGACGGCTGTGCCGTGGGCAGGCTCCAGGGCTGCCCGTGGTTTTCTCCTCTATAAAGTGGGAATGACCATCTCACCTGCTCAATAGGGGAGTGGTGAGCATGACACGGCTTCATACATACGCATCACAGGCTCAGCACCCTGCCTTGCACATGGGAAGAACTCCGAGATGTTGACAGCCTCCTCAACGCCATCGCCCTGCCATCTATGTCATCATAGTCCTTACGTTCCCCTCTAACAATGGATGCTTTGGAACCTGTCTTTCAGAGCCCCCTGAGGTCTCCTCAGGCCGCCAGCAGGGCCCGCTGATCTCTCTCACACCTGCCTGAGTGCCCTGCAGAATAAAATTGAAAAGTGCTGAGCTTTGTGGGACCCCAGATGTTGGTCTTTTGCAGAAAGCATCCCTGAGAAGCTTTGCTTGGAGGTAGAGATGCTTTAAGAAGCCAGGAGTGGAGCCTCAGTCCTGACCCAGGCTGTAGTTCTTCATTCTCAACAGAAATAAGTGGCTCGGAAGCTTTCTCAGCCTCCGCCAAGCATCCTTCCTGTGACATTTACAAAGCAGTTTCTTTTCTTTTCTTTCTTTTTTTTTTTTTTTTTTAAAAAAAACAAGGCTGTGTAAATTTTTGTTCAAGAAAATGCTGCTTGAAATCTCTCTGATATTTTCCTCCAAGGTCAGCAGGCTTGCATTTATTACCAGCGATTTTCTTTTAGGGCATAGGCCTAATTTAAATTATAAAAGCAATTGCTTGTTTTGAGGGGAAAAATCTCTCCCCCGACGCTCCACTTTGCCCCCCAGAAAACAATGATCGGTTAAGAAAACAACTCAGAGTCTCCCTTGTTTACTGAGTTGGTGGAAAGGGGTCTTCAGACAATTAGAGTAAATCTGGGCTTGGACTGAGGTCAGTATTTGTATTTGAAAGCACAATTTTCAGAAGGCTTCCACGGCGGATTTCAAATGCCAAGACAGGAGCATGCTCTGGGGACCCATCCGCTCACATGTGCTGCTGGAGGGGACACGGAGCCCCCAGGTGGGCAGGCCCCTGTGACTGGGTCACGCCCTATGGCAGGGCTTCCCTGCTGAATCCACAGATAAAGAAAACAAGTGTTGTGAGAAGCTTGCATTTAGCAAAGTGGTAGCAACGAGCAGAAGGCTGGCTGGAGTAGGAAGAGCACACATGCGGTGTTAAGAGCAGTTCTATTTAGAGCCCCAGGCTGGGAGCTGGCAGCACGTTTCGGAAGGGTGCCCAGATGTCCCCTGGAGGTTTTTAAGAATGGACCCGGCAGCTGGCTGCTGGGGAAGGTGGGCACGAGTCAGCACCCAGGGACCACGCTGCACATGAAGGGCAGAAATGTACCCTTTGGACAGCTTGCAAGCTGCCCACCAAGCCCCCTTGGTGCTGGGGGCAAGGCAGCAGCCGCAATTTTCTGTGTAGACTGCCTCCTTGGTTGCCTGCGAGTCCCCACTGCGTCTCCCCGAGGGTTCACCCCACACTGGAGGAGCAGGTCCTCAGGTTTGGTTTTTTTTTTTCAGCTTCAACAATATACTCTGCACCTCCCTCATCTCTGAGAGTCTCGTACCGCTTGTTCCTGTTGAATCTCCGACCTGCAGACAAGGCTTGACTTTGGAGTCTCCTGAGCCTATGGGTTGAAGGGAGGTGGGGCAGCTTCTCCAGGGCCCGCAGAGTGTGAAGTGCTGGGGTCACTGAGTAGAGTACTCCCAGCACCCGCACGTCCTCTTCGGGGGCTGGGGTAGCAGGGCACCCCTCCCTGTTCGGGTGCTGTCTTGGTGAAACTGTGAGCAGGGGGCAGGGAGACCACATCTCTGATTTTCTCAGGGCTGAGAGGATCTCCAGGGCTGAAAGTGGGAAAATCCAGGCCTACCAGGGTGAGTGAGTTGGTCCTCCTAGCATGGGGTATCCATTGTTTGGGGGTCTCCTATGTGGCCCGCGCTGTCTCTCCAAGGAAGAGTCTGCTAGCCGTTCACCCCGGATTTTTCCCCATTGCACAGAACGGCTGTGGGAAGCCACTTCTCAGCGGAGGGGCACATTTCCCAGCAGCCCTTGGGTCTGGGTGGCCACGTGGCTTGTTCTGGCCAATGGGAGAGTGGAGCCCTGAGTCGGGGGAAGGCGCCGCCCTTCCCAGTACCCCACTGGCTGGATGCGGAGGCCATGAGGCCCCAGGGGTTGGGCGGCCACGGAGGGAGGGGCCTGGGTCTCTAAGTCACTGCATGGAGCGGAGCGGCCTCCGGCCGGGAGCACTCATCTCTCCGCTGAGGAGGAGAGAAACGTACGTCGCAGCAAGCCCCACATTCCAGCGCCTTACTTGGCCTAGAGGCTGGCTTTGCAGTCACACACGCGCTTGGCACGGTTCTGTCCCTCCGGTTGCTCTCTTGTCCATAGCTTCCTCCTGCCACCTCCGTACCCACCTCCATACCCACCTCCGACTGAGCCTATCGGCCGCCACGAAGGGCAGGAAAAGCCGGGAGATCTGCTCCCGTGCCTCTGAGTCAGGAGGTCATTGAGGATCATGGAATCCACATGAAAATGGTGTTCAGGGCCCACAGTATTTAACCCGTGGTGCTGCAAAAATTACCATGTGCGATCCGTTTCTCGGCGGCTCACGCCTGGAATCCCAGCACTTTGGGAGGCCGAGGCGGGCAGATCACCTGAGGTCAGGAGTTCGAGACCAGCCTGACCAACATGGAGAAACCCTGTCCCTACTAAAAATACAAAATTAGCTGGGCGTGGTGGTGCAGGCCTGTAATCCCAGCTACTCGGGAGGCTGAGGAGCGAGAATCGCTTGAACCCGGGAGGCGGAGGTTGCGGTGAGCCGAGATCGCGCCACTGCACTCCAGCCTGGGCAACAAGAGCGAAACTCCGTCTCAAAAAAAAAAAAAAAGATACTAATTTTAGATAGTTTTTAACTTGATTATGATTAATGGAGTAACATATATTTATTGTAGAAAAAATTTTAAAGCACAGAAAATAATTTAGAAAAACACATACCTCATTAAAATCATCATGGATAACATCAGATGTATATAGCTTGAATTTGATTTTGCTGGGGGATTTAGAAGACGCATACAGATGGAATGTATTTTAAGGGGATATTACGAAGTTTTTATTTTCTCCTTTATGCTTTTCAATTTTTTTTACAATGAATACCTTATGTGTGTAATTCTAAAAGATAAGATGATTCAGTCCTGTCCATTATGATCCTTTAAATAAATTTATGAAGGTGGAATTTCTGGGTCAAAAAACCATGTTTTTAGGGCATTTGAGAAGTGAGAGTTCGTGTCTGTTTCCTCTTCCATTAGTGGCGCACGAAATGGGATTTCCCCTTTTCCCTTGACAGCTGTGAGAAACATTTTTTCATCTTTAGTATTTACTGTTGAAAATTTAGAAAAGAAAGATGTGTAAAAGTTTAGGAACTCATAATCTAGGGATGTATCTGCTCGGTGATGATCAGCGCGTGACTCCTGACATGCCCTTTGGCTTTCTGTACCACGTGAGGCGGGTGTGTACACACGTGTGTTCACATGTGTGTGCACACGTGTGTGCATGTGTTATCCAACGGAGCTGGGGTCCAACTCACCCACTGCAGTCGGGCCAAACAGCCACACCGAGGTTTGCAGCATGAGAAAGAGAGGCATTTAGTGCAGGGCGTCTAGCGGGGAGAACCTTATGTGGAAGACCCGGACTGCCAGATGGCTTAAAGGGGAGGGTCTTTAAAGGCAGAGAGGTAGAGGTTACCAGCAAAGTCACACACCAATACATGGAGGTTATGCATTGGTTTGATTTAAAGGGTGGGATCTCTGGATGCAGGGGCTTACAAATTGTAGGTATATGCAAAGATTTTCTGATTTGTAGTTGGTTAGGAGGAGAAACTTTGTGTAAAAATTTAGGGTCAGCAGAAAAGAATGTTAGCTCTGGCTCATGGGTGTGACCTCCTCCAGGCCCCTCAGGAAGAAATTTAGAACAAAGACTGGTGCTCAGAGCTCAGTCCTCCGCTCTCCGTAGCTGAGGTCTAGGTGCAGGTGAATCCATTTTGGTGGGGGTCTGGGTTTCTGAAAAACAACCCAGAGACAGATGTGATGATGCTTTAGCTTCTATAGGGAAGCAAACATCTCCTGACTCTAACTCCCTTGGCTGTTGTTTTAAGCTGCTATTACCTTCTTTTTTGTTGTTGGTTTTTTTGAGACAGTCTTGCTTTGTCACCTAGGCTGGAGTGCAGTGGTGCGATCTCAGCTCACTGCAACCTCCACCCCCCGGGTTCAAGAGAGTCTCCTGCCTCAGCGTCCCGAGTAGCTAGGATTACAGGTGTGCACCATCACGCCTCGCTAATTTTTGTATTTTTATTAGGGGCAGGGTTTCACCATGTTGGCTAAGCTGGTCTTGAATACTATTAGCTTTTTCCTTCTCAAGTTGCTTATTTACTTCCCAGGGCCAATTAGGTGCCTGGAATTCCCCGTGAAGGAACCCAAGATTTTCCTTTATTTCCATGCTGAGGGGAGGGGACCCACAGGCCCCTTAAGATGGGTCCCCACTCTGCCTCACATGCATATGTCTGTCCCGTGAGAATTGCGTAGGCTAAGGCTGGGCCTCTAGGCCAGGAGATGGGGAGCAGGTGCAGCTGGCAAACACCAATGTGGCTCCTGGGCTGCTGGGCGTCCTCACCCACTGTCATGCCCATGGCGCCTGTGTGTCGTGGCTGCAGAGTCTGAACTGCTGGGTTCTCAGCCCTGGTTCAGGGACTCTGTGTGTGAGTTGTGCGACCTGCAATAAATCATTCGCCCCTGGAGGCGGCTTTCTCTTGCCCTGTAGGAGATGACATCAACGATTTTTTTCCAACTCTAGCTTTGTACAATTTTAAGTTTTAGATAGGGCTTCTCTTTTCCTGACAATGGGGTAAATTTGAAGCTCCCTATACCTCTAAGATTGGTTGTCATTCTTCTTGTGGAGATGCGTGTGCTTGCGACCTTGGATTGGGGCAAGAAAGCATCTGAAAACAGGACCTCGAGGAGGAAATGGGAGCAGAGGGCCATTAGGAGCTGGAGGAAACAATCCCTTTTGCAGTAGTGAGGGAGGTAGCGAGGGAGGTGGCGAGGGAGGTGGCAAGGGAGGTGGAGAGGGAAGTGGTGAGGGAGGTGGAGAGGCAGGTGGTGAGGGAGGTGGTGAGGGAGGTGGTGAGGGAGGTGGTGAGGGAGGTGGTGAGGGAGGTGGTGAGGCAGGTGGAGAGGGAAGTGGTGAGGGAGGTGGAGAGGCAGGTGGTGAGGGAGGTGGTGAGGCAGGTGGAGAGGGAAGTGGTGAGGGAGGTGGAGAGGCAGGTGGTGAGGGAGGTGGAGAGGGAGGTGGAGAGGGAAGTGGTGAGGGAGGTGGAGAGGCAGGTGGTGAGGGAGGTGGAGAGGCAGGTGGTGAGGGAGGTGGAGAGGCAGGTGGTGAGGGAGGTGGAGAGGGAGGTGGAGAGGGAAGTGGTGAGGGAGGTGGAGAGGCAGGTGGTGAGGGAGGTGGAGAGGGAACTGGCTGCCGCACCACAGATTTCAATGCTTGGGTGAAACGCAAAGTGTTGTTCCCTGGGTTTTTTCTTTCCTTCTTTAAAAGCATAGGAGTGCAAACAAAGCTATTCAGTGACTTAGTAACTGAAAAGAGCTTTAATGAATCCATTTAGTTAGGCAAGGAAGACTAAACTGTAAAGAGTTGGTTTCAGATTTCTGTTGGTAAGAAATCTTTCTATTCAAAGAAAGTGCATCTCCAAGTGGCTTAAATATAAAAAGCATGTGTAAGTTTAAATAACCTGAAAGTCCAGCGATAAGGAAGAGATCAGGCACGGTTTGATCCAGAGACTTAATGTCATCAGCGAGGACTTTGTTTCTTCTCATCCTTCTCTCTGCTCTTTGGGCTAACGCCGACTCCTCTTGTAGCCACAAAATGGCTTTGACCTTGTCCCCCAGGCTATGTGCTTGCTCCAGTGGGAGAGGGCATGACTTTCTCCAATCCTAAAGTTCACTTTGAACTGGCTTGAGTTCTCTGCCCATCCCGTGTCCTGACTGTAGGGGTGGAAGGTGCTGGCTGGTTAACCCGATATCACATCCAGCCAGTGCTGGGGAAGAGCAGTGAACTTCAGGGGCCTGGAGGGAGTAACTCCAATGTCTGTAGCATACAAAATTCAATTCTGGTTTATTTTCTCCTCTGGATAATAGAAGTTGGTTTTGGGGGAGCGGTGTGCTGGTAAAAGCTGTGATTTGTAGAGAGCAGCCTGGCCAGCATGGTGAAACCCGTCTCTATTAAAAATACAAAAATTTGCCAGGCGTGGTGGACACACCGTAGTCCCAGCTACTCGGGGACCTGAGGCGGGAGACTCTCTTGAACCTGGGAGGTGGACGGAGGCTGCAGTGAGCCAAGATTGCGCCACTGCACTCCAGTCTGGGCAACAGAGTGAGACTGTCTCAAAAAAAAAAAAAAAAGTTCTGATTTGTAGTCTTTGCCTATTTCTGTGGTGTAAACACTCCAACCACAACTGATTTCAAACTACCTGTGACTTAACAACGGGTTCACAGTGTTCCTGAGTATTTCACAGTTTGAGAGACTAGGCGCTGGCTCCCGGACCCAACTGGGAGAATGTCCTTGGTCATTGCCGCTGGCAGGTGCTGCTTAAGGGGCCTGTGTGGGGAAACCCAGTGGGCCACAGCCCTTGAAGTCAGTCAGCATGTGAAGTCAGCCAGAGCCGTTGGGTGCTTTGCCCAGTGACTCTGTGCCACGTTCTCAGGCCGGAGGATGATTTCAGACATACCTAAGTAACGCAGTGGTTGTGGCCATATGCTCCTGAGGGCTCAGGGTCTCTGTCCTGTGGCTTTTCCGACGTCACTCGCTAGCCTTGCTGCCCCTGAAGTCTGACGGTGATTAGGATCACTTGGCTTCAAAATGTCTCCCGTAATTCCTGGGCTTTATACGCAGACACTGGGCTTAGACGCAGGTGTGCTACCTTGCACAAATTAATTTGCACTTGATGATACGGCTCCTCGAAGTAAGGATACTTTTAATCTTCCCATCCCATTTATATAGATTCTTTGTGATGGTTAATCTTCCCAGACTGGATAATGAATTCGGCCACAGGTAGAGTCCAGATCGATGTGCGATTGTATTTTAAATGCAGCAGGCGTCTCAGGGCTGGATCTTACGGTGCTCTTAACCAAGGTGACACGTGTCTGCCCTAATGGATTAAGAGCTGAGCAGCTCATGAAAGCTAATTTGTCTAAAACCACGGGGCAGGACGTGGTGTGTTTCCTCACAGCACCCTCTCTGCCTTCCAGTCTTGTAGCAAGTGTGTGTGTGTGAGTGAGTTCGAGGCCTTGTTAGGGAGTCTGCCTCTCCACTTCCTTTCCTTCGTCTCAATGGGAGAGGCTACAGGCCCCTGAATCCACAGTATAGCTTTTCTGCCAGTGAGAGCGGAATCCTTCATGTCCATCAGGACTGTTGGTGAGCACTGTTTTGGGAGGGTGGCTGCCTGGGCTCCAGCTCCTGCCTCAGGGCCTTTGCATGTGCTGTGCCAGCCGCCTGGGATCTCTCTCTGTCTCTGTCTCAGCATGGCCACCTCCGCTTCACTGCTCTAGGCTTTGCTCAGAGGACACCTTCTTGGGGGGCCCACCTTGACCACACTGTCTAAAATCGCTGCCCCTCGCAGACCCCACTGCTTGCTCTCCAGTTTCCTTGTTCTCTTTCACTCTCATGAGCTGAAACTGGCTGTTGTCTGCTTGCGTGTTTCTTGCCTCTGTTGCTCTGTGGGCATGTCTGCTCCTTGGGGCAGGACCTTACCCTTGCCCCGTGTTATTCACTGACACATGTCCCACGCAGGTGTTCAATAAATGTGAATGGAAGGACATGGAGCAGTGGTCCCCGCCTCCGCAGAGTGCAGCCTGGGTGGGCTTGCTTTCCCTCCGCATGTATAGAATTTGTTTTCTTATCTGTAAAGTGGGGGACCTGTCCCTGACCTAGTGATTTCTTTCTTCTCCCCAGTTCCATGGGGCACCTGCCCCTGACCTAGTGATTTCTGTAGGCAACAGCTCTCCTGTCCCCAGTCCCATGGGGTGCCTGTCCATGGCCCAGTGATTTCTGTAGGGACCGGCTTTCATCTCTGTGCTTCCATGGTCCTGGTCCTCAGGAGGTTTGGGCTCCGCCTTCCTGCCCTTCATCCTCTCCTGCTGGTCGCTTGTGGGGCTCACCTCTCCCTGACACAGGAGACATATGCTCCACACACATCACAGGACCTGCCAATGGGAGTGGGGAGCTGCTGCTGTGGCCCGTGCACCCGGGGCCAGGGCGAGTGTGAGCTCCCTGCGTTCCACAGGCAGGAGGCCTACATGTCACTGTGCAGGGGGGAACTCTCACCGGGGCTTAGCTCTCCTCTTAAAATGAAAGGTTGGCACAGGTTGGCAGGTGGCTGTTGCGGGGACTTCGTGTAAGCACAGCCAGCTGAGCCAGGACCCCTGAGGCAGCTGTTGGAGAACCATCGCCGTTTAGAGAGGCAGGGATTTGGAATGTGTCCAGTCCGAGACTCAAACTCCAGAGCAGGTGGGGATATAAATTCATGCCATTCTGGGGAAAGAATTGATGGCGCTCCACGGAGGGAAGCAGGTTCCCTCCTTCTAGCCCCTCTCTCAGTGAGCGGCAGTGTGGCCTGGCCGAGAGGGCACGTGACCCGTTCAGAGCCAGCCTGGTTCAGATCAAGGTGCCTGTGACCTGCTGGTGTGAGCTTCAATGTGTAGCCTAGTTTTCTTATCCCCAAGGTGGAGATAATGATGGGACTTGACTTATAAGGTTGTTGCTATCAGGATTAAATGAGTGACTTTAAGCAAAACATCGTGGACAGTGCCTGGTGCTTGGAAGAGGATAGATGCATGTTAGTCGATGTGGGTTGTCGAAGTAATAAAGGTTATTATTCCTAGTCGGATAGTCTGACTTATAAGACTAAACCCAGGC
This sequence comes from Homo sapiens, assembly GCF_000001405.40. Lineage (NCBI taxonomy): Eukaryota > Metazoa > Chordata > Mammalia > Primates > Hominidae > Homo > Homo sapiens. Next base: position 130,642,581 of record NC_000012.12, on the reverse strand, counting down.
TGGGCATGGTGGCTCACGCCTGTAATCCCAACACTTTAGGAGGCCAAAGCGGGCAGATCACCTGAGGTCAGGAGTTCAAGACCAGCCTGGCCAACATGGCGACACCCCGTCTCCACTAAAAATACAAAAATTAGCTGGGCGTGGTAGCGGGCACTTGTAGTCCCAGCTACTCAGGAGGCTGAGGCAGGAGAATTCCTTGAACCCGGGAGGTGGAGGTTACAGTGAGCTGAGATCGCGCCATTGCACTCTAGCCTGGGTGATGAGAGCAAAACTCCATCTCAAAAAAACACAAAACAAAACAAAACTAAACTAAACCCAGAGTCCCAGCCGGAGCCAGGGCCTCTCCCTGGAGTGTGGGGCATCATTTGGGGTGTCCTGGAGGGGAAGCCATCTTCTCTTTCTGGTCTGCCTTTGATTCCCACATCCCGTCCCCTGAGCCCTGAGTACCAATGCAAAGATCTTTCAGGCTCTAGTGGCAGGAAGCTGGGGGTACAGTGGTTAGAAACATGGCTTTAGCACCAGAGACGTGGCTTTGACTCTGGGCTCTGCTATTTACAAACTGTGTGACCTTAGACACAGCATTTGACCTCTGGTTGCCTCAGTTTTCTCATCTGTACAATGGGGGTAGTGGCTTATCTATAGAGTCAGGGTGGGGATTAATGACGTACAGCACTGAGGTATGACCCCATCCTCGGATGGCCCTGGCGAGCTGTCATTGTCACCTATGGCTTTGAGGGGCCCAGCCCGGTGCAGCCACGCTCGGCACCCCTTGCTGTGTTGACCACTCTGTCCTCCTGGTTTACTCTCCAGCCAAGCATAAGGGGCATGAGGTGCCCTGAGGCTGACTCATTTTCCCGGAGTGCTCTCAGCACGGCCACCTCTTCCTTCCCCAGGACTCCAGGAACAACACAGGCGCAGTTTGTTTTTCTGTTTTGCACGGCAGTTAATTCCCAGGCACTAATGAGGGGCTCTCTGCCCATGAGGCTGATTAGCAGAGAAGAATTGAGGGCGGCAGTTATGATGCAGAAGAAAGGCAAAGCGCTGCAGTCACCATCCTAAATCCAGCCCGTGATGCCGGGCCGAGTGTCCGGCAGTCACCATCCTAAATCCAGCCCGTGATGCCGGGCCGAGTGTCCGGCAGTCACCATCCTAAATCCAGCCCGTGATGCCGGGCCGAGTGTCCGGCAGTCACCATCCTAAATCCAGCCCGTGAAGCCGGGCCGAGTGTCCGGCAGTCACCATCCTAAATCCAGCCCGTGATGCCGGGCCGAGTGTCCGGCAGTCACCATGAGATGAAGGCTTCCTGCAGTCTTGGGAGACCTGGCCCTTGCAGTGCGGTCAGGGCTCACGATTTAGCTTTCTGTCCTTGGAATGGCAAACAGAAGAGGACTTGGGACCATCTGACCCTTCTGTGATCTCGTAATTATGACTGCATGCCTGCCAGTGGCTGCGAGTAGAGCACTGTGCTGGCATTCCAAGGCACGTGTTAGAATCAGTTAAAATGATGGCAAGACTGCGGTTTCTCCTGCCCAACCACAGAAACAGCGCTGAGTGCCAGGACGGCTGTGACGCCGACATTAGTTAGCTTTAATAGGGCCATGTCTGCCCTTTCTTTGGTTGATGGCGTTCCCAGTAGTTTCCTAGTATTAAAGTTATCAATTTAATGTTTCCAAAGGCCCACTTAGGCTTTTCTTTCACATCTGAAAAGAGAATAATTTTTCCTTTGAAAACCTTGGTGGCCCAGAGCAGCTGCCTCTCTCCCCTTGGTCTGTGTTGATCCTCTAACTTAGGGGGTGGCACAGGAGGGGGCAGAGGTGAAGCCCAGTGGCTGTGCGGTCCCTGGGGCCAGATGCCGACGTCCAAATCCCCACGCCTTGTCTTTCAAGCTGTAGGACCAGGAGGTGCCTGAAGCCCTCTGGGCCGGCCGTGGTGTCTCCCTCGTAACAAGCGCAGGTCATCACAGTGCCTACCTCACGGGCTCTTTCGAAGCTTCAGTGAACACTTTGAGTAAGATGCTTTGAACCTTTCTTAGTACAGAGGAAGCTCTCAAAATGTTGGCTGTGGTTACAGACACGAATAGTGTTAATAACTAGCATTAAAACGGAAAATGAAATTCTGAACATAACTTTATTTTAGAAAATAGCACGATACACTGAACTTCGGTTTGAAAATAAAGAAATAATTGGGCTGAAGATAAGCTTAATCTGTGATGGAAGGTTCCATACATAATTGTTCCAGGGCCTTTAGTGGGAGCAAAATTAATTTTCGTGTAAGATGATTAAGCTGATGAAATTGCTCTTGAGCGGTAAGTGTGTTTAATTAAATGCAAAGCATCGCTGAGCTCAGGTACACATTGTCCCCGGGGAGTGTCCTGTTCTCTGAGCTGTTTCCTTGAGCAGCAAGGTTGGTTCTAGGCGGTGTGTTTGTTCCCCATCTTCCTTGGTGGCTGAAATGTCTGTGATCGAGAATAACATCGTGAGATGCCCATTGTTCTGGGGCGGAGTGTACAGGCATGACCTGTGCAGCCTGCAATAATTCAAACCAACTAGAACTGACTAGAAAGCTAGCCAGGTCCCCACAGGGTTAGACTTCCTGGAACAGAAACGCCAGGAAGTTGAGGGCTCCCTCATATGTCAGGAATTTATGGAGTGATCCAAGCGTCTTAAGCTCTCTGGAATTATTTTATTGATTTACATCTCTGGAGAATGGAGCAGCCTGACTACGTTTCCTGGGGGAGGTTTTCATCTCGGCTTTCAATTTTCACTTGTTAATGATCTGTCATTTGTAGCTAAGTGGAGATACAAGAAATAAAATACTTCATTCAACAAAATAGTTAGGGTGCGGGTCCCATGAGCCAGGTGCCATTCGGGGACTGGGAGTATAGCAGAGGACACGGTAGTCCCAGCCCCCGAGCTGCCCAGACTCATCTGAATGAGCCCAGCCTGCTGACCAGGAGGAAATCCACTGACCCGGAATGGTGTAGACACTTGCTGTGTACAAAAGAACAGCAATTAAAGGGGTGAGGTACTTTTTTGGTCAGTTTTGAAAAAAATGTGATACTTAGTTGGTTTTTTTTTTTTTTTTTTTTTTTTTTGAGGCAGGATCTTGTTCTATTAGTCTGGAGTGCCTTGGCCTCCCAGAGTGCTGGGATTACAGGTGTGAGCCACTGCACCTGGCCAATAGATTTTTTTTTTTTTTAAGATGGAGTTTTATTGCCCAGGCTGGGATGCAATGGCGTGATCTTGGCTCAATGCAACTTCTACCTCCCGGGTTCAAACGATTCTCCTGCCTCAGCCTCCTGAGTAGCTGAGATTACAGGTGCCTGCCACCATGCCCGGCTAATTTTTGTATTTTTAGTAGAGATGGGGGTTTCACTATGTTGCCTAGGCTGGTCTCGAACTCCTGACCTCAGGTGATCTACCCGCCTCGGCCTCCCAAAGTGCTGGGATTACAGGCGTGAGCCACCGTGCCCGGCCAGGCTTTTATTAAAAGAGCAGTTTTAGGTTTACAGAAAAACTGATCAAAGAGTACAGGGAGTTCCCAAGCACCCCCTCTTCCTGACCCCACAGTTTCCCCTATTATTACTATGGTACATTTGTTTCAGTTGATGATCCAATATTGATATTGTATTATTAACTAGAGTCCATAGTTTACATTAGGGTTTACTCCTTGTCTTGTGCATTCTATGGCTTTTGACAAATGTGTCTCTGTCATAGCATCAGACCCTGTAGTTCCACTGCCCTAAAAATCCCTCCTGTTCTACCTGTTATTCCCTCCCTGCTGCTCACCCCTGGCAACCACTAATTTTTTTTTTTTTAACGATCTCCATAGTTTTGCCTTTTCCGCAATGTACTATAGTTCAGTGGTCTCCAACCTTTTTGGCACCAGGGATCAGTTTCATAGAAGACAACAGATGGGGAGGGGGAAAGGTTTCAGGATGAAACCTCAGATCATCAGGCATTAGATACTCATAAGGAGCATGCAGCCCAGATCCCTCGCATGCATAGTTCACAGTAGGGTTCACATTCCTATGAGAACCTAATGCCTGATGATCTGACAGGAGGCGGAGCTCAGGCAGTCACTTGTTCACCCACCATTCACCTCCTGCTGTGCGGCCTCGTTCCTAACAGGCTACCTTTACTAGCCCGCAGCTCGGGGCTTCGGGACCCCGATAGAGTTGGAATCATATAGTTTATATCCTTTTCAGACTGGCTTCTTTCACTTAGTGATGTGCAATGAAGGCTCCTCTATATCTCTTTGTGGCTTGATAATTTATTTTTTAAAAGTGTTGAGTTATTCCAGTATCTGGATATATCATTCATTCGCCTATGAAAGACATCTTGGTTGCTTATGGGAGTAATTCTAAGCTGAACTTAATCGGTGTCTATTCCCAAACAGGGTGGCTTTAATGTGTGTCCATCCGGGGAGACCCTGGAGAAATCAAGAAGGCAAGACATTGGCGATTTCTGTGCTCTGGACACCAATTTCGTGACTCACAAGTTATTCATCCAATACTATCTCATTCTAGCAACTAGATGTTGGTGAAGTCACTATACCAAAGCAGCTGGGGCTGGGTTCAGAGGACATTAGAACCCATGGTCATTAAGTTTGCATTCCAAGAAGGCTGATTTTCCCAACTGTCTACACAGTCAATGCCAAAGTCCCCAAATAACTTATTTACCAACCAGAATATTATCTTCTTAATAACCAAAGTCAGTAAAGCCGGCAGGACCCAGGGAATCTGCTCATCCCTCCTCTCCTTTCCCATGAGCTGTACAGGAAGGTACCCCAAGCCAGGCCTGAAGGTTTCTGGATAAACAACAAATAGGAAAGAGGACATTGTTAGCAGAAGGACATTTACACCAGGACATCGCAGCTCTACCTCATTCTGTTAGGCATCAGGGTTGGTTCTAACCAAGTCCCACAAATCCCTTTGCTCCCGGCAGACAGTGCAGGGATACATTGATCAATTCTTTATCTTCATTAATTTTAGGATTCCTTAACTGTGGCCTGAAGCTTTGGTTCTAATCACATTACTCTTATTATATGTTCCCAGGGTTGGTTTACATTGCTTTCATTTTAATGGGGGCTGCTTCTTGAACTCACTAATTGCATGACTAATTACACTAAAGCATTGTGGATCCTCCAGTCCGATGTGCTGTCTCAGGCACGCATCCATTCATTCATTCACTCGAAATGTGTCAATCCAGTGTTTCCTGCGTTCCAGGCACTGCTCTAGGCTGGGAGGGGCCCCATGGGCTGTGAGACCAACAAGGACTCTACTCCCAGAGGCCTCCCATTCCACTGGGGCAACTGGTGATAAGCATTTTAAATGGTGATGGGATGGGGAGATGCGGTGGGGCTTTAGCCTCTGCTGAGAGGTGATCTGAGGACAGGATGAGGCAGCAGAGGCAGGAAAACAGGATGCAGCTCCGCAGAACATCTCAGTGCAAAGATTCGATGGCTGTGGAGTGTGGAATTTTCTATATATACTGCTATGAACACTTTACCATTTTAACATTCAAATGCAACCTGGAGCCAAAGAGATGGTACTGAATAGGCATAGCGTACACACCTTCATGATTCTCTGCTCTTCTGTACCCAGAACAAGGCGACAAGACACCATCCCCAAGGCATTACTAGGTGTGTATTGGTTTGGGTTTGGTTTTTACTAAAAGTGGCAGAAAACCTAATTATATTGACTTAGTCCTAAAAGGGAATGTGTTGAAACACAACTGAAAAACCCAGCTGTAGGTATCCAGCTTCAGTTACAGCTTGATCCAGGGGCTGCAGTAATGCTGTCAGGACTTGGTTTCTCCTCATAGCTCAGCGCTGTTCTCTGCAGTGCTGACTCCACACCCAAACTCTCTGTAACGCCAGGCTGACATTCCTACCTTGCTGGGCTCATGTCATGGGGCTGGCTGATGGTTTAGTGTTCACTCATTTCCCCATCCATTCATTTCTTCAATAGTGTGCGAGTATCTGGCACATACTCAACACTGGGCTAAGAGCTATGTGGTTATTACCTCATCTAGTCCATTTAAGAAGCCCTTGGATTAGGGGATACTATTATACCTACTTCACAGCTGAGTCAATTGAGGTTTAGTGAGGTCCAATGAGTGTTCAAGGTGATTCAGCTGGTAAAAAAACAAAGCTGGGTCCTCGCACCTGCACAGAACCAGCTGGTAAATAAGATACATACAACCGCCAATCTCCACGTGGTTCTAGTTCTGTGAGGACCACCAATAGGTAGTTAGGAAATTAGGAATCTGTGTGGTGCTCAAGAGTGCCAGTAGGGAGGAAAGATGACATGAGAACACAGATGAAAGGTCTTAGAGGGAGGGCTTCCTGGGCGAAGTGACATCTGCCTGAAAGACAATAGAGCCAGCCATGTCGGGACAAGGAGTATAGACCAGCCTCATTGGGGGATAGCGAGTGTGAGGTCTGGCCGAGAGAGGCCAAAGACTCCGTTTGAGATCTTGGAAGGAGTAGTTCATCATAAAGCGTGGAAATGGAGGGTGGTGGCAAGAGATGAACCTTGAGGGCTTAGCGGAACCAGGTCACGAGTGGCATGGTAACCTTCACTCGGAGGCTGGAAGGCAGAGGGGCTTTGGCAGGGGAGGGACATAGATTTCCGTTTTGCAAGTTGGCTGTGTGGAGAAGACAGTAGGGGGTGGTAGAGTGGATGTAGGGGGCCCCAGTAGGAGAATGCAGGGGAGTGAAGTCAGAAGCTGGAATGTAGAGTGGGGAAGGGTTGGGAGGACGATAAGATGTGTGGGCATTCATCAGGTCCCTTTCAGATGTTAGGTGGGACTGCACCCCTGGGCCCCATCTTTCCATCTGGGCCTGTGCATGATGCATGGAAACAGTAGCAGGTGCCACAATGAGATAGCATTGTGAGTCACGAATTGGTGTCCAGAGCACAGAAATTGCCAGTGTCTTGGGGTGCAGCTCTCAATGCCAGCAGTATCCCCTCGAGCTTCTCCTTCCTGCTGATGTGCAGTGACCTGGGTGGTGGCCATTCTGTCAGCTTGGGTCCCAGGTGGGGATGATTTGGAGCAGAGCTGCAGACACAGGGCAGGTGCCACCAATGCACCCAGGTGATCTTAAGCCACTGTAATCAGAATTATTTGTAACCACAGCAGAGTCCAGCCTATCCTCACTGCTACATATGGGAAGGCAACAGAGAGGTTGAAGACTTCATTCATTTGGCATCTCAACAAGTGTTTCAGTAGCTCCTTTGGCCGGATGCTCTCCTGGGTGCTTAGAATACGATAAGCAGGGTCCCTCCCCTCCTGGAGTGACAGTCTAATGGGGACAGAGGTAGGTCCAGGCGCTGGCCCGCCTGGCTTGTGGTTTTTCTACAGCAGTAACCAGCAGCCCATGCAGTGGATGTGGAGAAAATGAACTGCTGAGCTTCCTGAGACTGGAACAAAGCAATCTGATGAAAGGCATGTCCTTAACTCTCAAGAAACCCTGGAAGGAGAACGGCAGGGGATGGGCTCCATCCTGCCTGGTCCCCTGGGGCAGGGGGAGCTGGGCTGTGTCACCTGGCTAGGGTCTTCTCATCTCTGAATCTCAGCTCCCTTTTTTTTGTGTGCTCTGGATTCTGTGACTTTAATTAATGTGCTGGAGACTCTGTTGTTACTGGAAACAGAAAATGATTTGTTTACAGGTGGAGTCAGCCGGGTGTGGTGGCTCAGGCCTGTAATCCCAGCACTTTGGGAAGCTGCAGCAGGTGGATTACTTGAGCTCAGGTGTTTGAGATGAGCCTGGGTGACATAGTGAGATCCCATCTCTACAAAAATATATATATTTTTTCATTAGCCAGGCATGGTGGTAAGCACTGGTAGCCTCAGCTACTTGGGAGGCTGAGGTGGAAGGATAGCTTGAAGCTGGGAGGTCGAGGCTGCAGTGAGCTGAGATCACGCCACTGCACTTCAGCCTAGGTGGCAGAATGAGACCTTGTCTGGAAAAAAAAAAAAAGTCATCTTTAAAGAGAGGCAGGTTTCTTTGCATTGGATGATGTGACGTGCTGGACCAAAGGCAGCATGTGGCTTGTGACGTGAGATGGACCAGGGCTCAAAGACCCCCAGTCAGAGACTTCGGGTGTGATTGTTAACCTGCCTGAGGCTAATTGTTCATTTGCTCCAAGGGCTTTGATGAGGAGTGTGTGAGATAGGGCATAGAAAACATTAAACCTGAGGACTCCTGGTGCAGGTGAGCTTTTCCTCCCGCTTCCTCACTCCGCGTTTCTTGCTTCAGATTCCTTCCCAACACTTCTGTCTCCTCTATTTCCATGTATACAGCTCAAGAGAACAGGTGGCATTACCCGCCTCCCCGTCTCCGCTCCCAAGGATATGTAATTCTGTGTCATGCATCTCCAGGAGAGTTGATCAGGGGTGGGGAGATTCGGGGGGAAGAGAGCGACTGAGGAAAGGAAGGTGGTGTCTTGTGACACAGCTCGTTGTCGAAGGACAGGTTCCCAGTGGCTCTGAACGCTGGGTGCTTGTCCCCCCTGTGACTCATTATGACAGGCGTGCTGTGTGCCAACGGCTCCCATTCGCAGATTGAATTACCATCCTATTCAGCTGACACAAAGCAGTTCCTGGCCGGCTTGGGCAGCCCATGAATAAGTAAATAGCCTTCCAGCCTGGTGCCGAGCACAAACATCCGAGGCTCAGAGAGGCTGGCGTCCACGGGGACCGGAAGGGGGGCCGGCGGGGAGGCCTGGACCAGTCTGTCTGGTCCACTAGACCACTAATCTCCGGTGCCTTGTAAGTACCTGCTTCTGGGGCTGGGGAAAGAGCCCCGTGGGTTAATGAGATACAGCTTAGACACAGACGGGAAATCAATCTCTTTCTAGGCTGTGGGCTGTAGAGCAAGGGTTGTTTTCTGGGCTGAGAGGTGGGAAGAGGCATTTCCAGCCTCAAGGGGTTGTGATAACCCCTGGTTTCTAAACCTTTGGGTCTTAATTGTGGCTCAAATCACTGTTACTACCCTGTGGGTATGCTGTTCCAAATCTGTCCTCAGGCCTTGTATCAGGCTAGAAAAGACCCTTGGTCTCGAGGATCAGTTTCGGTGGGCTGTGGGCGGGACACTCGGGATAGGATGTGGTTCAGGAGGAAAGGCAAGGGCTGGGTGTCCGGTTATTTGTCCCTCCAACTTTCCTCCCTCAGGAATTCACCGTTCTGGTGGGAACAGTTTGGTTTTGCTAGTTTAAGCATCACAGAACTGGCATTAGAAACAGCATCCATTCAAAGTTGTGAAATCTCAAGTGGAAATTCCTACTCTGTATTCAATTTTTGTGCAACATTTTCAATTCTTTGAGCTCAAATGATGAGACAAAGTTGAACACCCTTTAGATAATGAATATACTCAGACAATAGATATAATTGTAGCATTTTAATTTCATGTAGGTCCGCTGTTAGTTGAAATATACAGCAAAACGTGAGGGTGCTGACTCTGGCTTAAGACCTGGGGGGTTCTTTTTTTATTCTATGTAGCGAGGACCTTGTAGTAAACAGATGAAATGAACTGCGTCTATGCCTAACATTAAATAGCAAGAACTGGCTCCTCCCTCCTGGCAGAAGGCATGATCCTGTGCTCCGTGAGGAAGATGTTTATGGGGCAGAGCAGGTGGCCGGTGTTTTATGTGTCCTGGTGTTCCACGGCAGCAGTAAAACGTACATCAATGAATCATTGTTTTTGTTTTCCTCTCTGCCTAAATGGCTCTGTTAATTAAAACTTTGTGTAAAGTGGTCTTCAAGCTCTGTACTCAATTTTACATGGGCTCATTAGGGTTGGTTATGCACAGCCCCACAAATCCTTTAACTTGCTGGACCACTTTTGAATTAATAATTAACATACTTCACATGTAACCATACAGAGTAGTTTTTTATGCCCTATCATCATTAGCAAGCTCTCCAGTCAGCCTGGTGAGATATTAAAGCCCCTTAGCCTCTTTAACGATGGAGTAGGCCGAGCCGAGGACAGGAGGGGCCCCAGAGCAAAGAGAACAGGGTGGTTGAAAAAGCACATCCCGGCAGCCCAGGAAGATGAGGGGAGAAAGCGGTAGGTTTACTTGTTCTGTACGGAGGGCACCGACCTGCACTAAATGCATTGAGAAGCCAGGAATCATTGCCCCACCCCCCAATTTTTTCTTCTGTAATAGAACTAGAAAAAAAAAATGTACATCACTTGCAGATTATCGTGACTTCCTGTAATCTCGTTTTTTCATGTTATTCTTAATGATTTCTCTGAGAGAACATGATTCCTTAGAGGAGCAGAATAGGATGTGTGTTGGTGGAGGTAAGGATTTGGGGGTTTGCACTAAAAGGAGGTAGTCAGCAATGACGACGATGTGCCTCTGCCTGCAGGGATCTCACTGGAGGTGTCTGCCTTGATTTGTTTGCATCCAGCCCATCTGATCTGGTTAGAAACGTCTCTTTTATTTTTTGCTGAAATCGTCCCACGATGAAGTAGGTGGACCAGTGGTGTTACATCAGTTGATTTTAGGAGATGTATAGATTTTTAAAAATGTTTTTATGTGATAACTATTTGTTTCATGTAGTTTAAAGAAAAGACATGGGCATATCAAGTAAGTTAATGTGATAGTATAAGGTTTCCTTTGAGAAAGATTTGTGGAGGAAGACTTCAGTGAGTTCCCAAGCCAGACACAAGCATGCTTTCTTTTGTGCTGCAACAGTAGTTTATAACTTGAAAGTGCATGCATGTAATTTGAAAAATTAAGTGTATAAAGGTATATGGAAACAATCTCGTGCTGTCTCTTCTTTCCATACCCAGTCCCTTGAGCCCACTTTCAATACTTTTAGTGGTTTCTTCTTGAAGCTCTTAAATAATAGTAAAAATTGCCAATATTGTAACTTTTTTTTTTTTTGACTTACCAGTTTTCCAAAGTAAAAAAATATTAGCAGCACTTTCTGGGGTGGTAGATAAGTGGTTCTCAAAGGGCTTTGAGCGGGCAGTTTTGCCTTTCAGGGTTGGCGTTGGGAGACACTTCTGTTTGTCATGATTCAGGGAAACGTGTGTGCTACTGGCCTCTGGTTGCTACTGGCAGGGATACTGCTAAACACCCCATAGTGCACAGGACAGCCTGCACAAGGAAGAATTACCTGGCCCCAAATGTCACACTGCTGAGTTTAAGAAGCTCTGTGGTAAATGAAGATTTAGTTATCTTAGTTTCCCTCCCCCAGTCTATACACATAGTTAAATTGCTACTTTATTTAAGTGAATACTTAGTTGTTACGTTGTTATTGTGTGTATATTGCTAATGGTAGCACCAATTAGTGACTGTGGTTACATCCCTTTCGTTGTATGGCTTTTTAGTTTTCCTGGAGTTATTAATAGCCTGATTTTCAATTGTGCCATTTGCAATCCACATATTAAAAACTCTTCTCCCGTTCTTTCTGATATCAAAAGCTTTTCTTGAGTCTCTCTTTTCTCTAGATTCTTTATTTCTAAAGCTCTTTGTAATCTTGTTTCAAACCCATTGCTCTTGAGAGCTAAGGCTCAGCTGTCACCTTGGAATTCTTCTCTATCCCTGTTTAGGGTAGGATTTGTTGTTTCCTGGATCCCGTGGCTTTCCCTTTTATCTTTTTTTTTTCCCCACTTGTTTTGCTGCAGCACAGCTTCCAGTCATTTCCTAAGAAAGAACAGGCTGCGGAGGTACATTTTATGAGTCTTTGCATGTATGGTAATCTCTCTTCTCTATCCTCACACTTGACTGACAGCTTGTTTTGGGTATAGAACCTTAAGTTGGAAATAATAGTCAATCAGAATTTTAAAGACATTCTGTTGGCTTCTAAGATTGCTGCTGAGAAGTCTAATGCCCTAACCCATTTTTTTCCTTTTTAAAATTCCACCTCTTCTTTCTAACGGTTATGGGAAGTATTTAGGGCCTTCTCTTTATCATTCACCTTCTTGAATCTCATGGTACTCTTTGCTTAGGTCTGTTCTCATCTGTGTTGCAGAGCACTCAGAGATCCTTTAATCTAGAACATGTTCTTATGTTTTTCTGACAATTTTCAATTTATCGTGATTCTGGGCAGTTTAAAAACTCTAACAAAATAGAAGTAAAGGAATTTCTGATATTTTGGTTGTTTATGTCAACATGAAGGTCTACTGATACATATATATATAGGAATTTTTGTTTTTAAATATTTGGTGGCCCAGATGAGAATTCCCCAAGAGTTTATGTGTAGCATGCTTTTTATATTTTTTATATTAATTTTTATAATTAATTTTTATGTTAATTTTATTAATTAACTTGACAATAACTCTTTCTGTAGTTGGCTGGGCATCAGTCAGCTGATTGTTGTTATTATTTTCTCTTTCTAGAAACCTTATTGGTAAAAGTTAGACCTCCTGGATTGATAGTCTCTTTTTATCTTTAATATTTTCTAGCACTTTGGGACATATCTTTTATCATCCAAATCTGCCATTAAAATTTTTATTTCAGCAACTATCTTTTTCATTCACAAGAGTTCTTTTTGTCCTTCATTGGTCTTTTTAGCATCTTGTTCTTGACTTTTATGTGCTTTCTGAAGATACTTGTTAGACTTGTTGCTTTTTTTTTTTTTTTTTTAAAGCTTGATTGGTTGGCTGGATGATCTCTCTCTCTTCTGGGTTTTATCATTATGTTCTTTTACTCTTCCATATTAGAGGTTTTTAAATGAAGCTGTACTCCTTGGTACTCCAAGACTGCTTTTGGAGCATAGTCTTGACAGGTTGGGGGAGGTCAGTGGTGAGCTCACTCCAGGGTAGCTGTGAGGGAGCTGAACACATTTTGTTGTAGAATCTCCTCATGTCAAACATGGTCTTTGCTCTTGGATTGTAGTTTTCTACCAAAATATTTCCAGTCTCTTGCCTAGTTTGAGAGTGGTGAGGGGTAGCATCCACCTACCTGCTTAATGCATTGGATCTGGGGAGGGGTATCCACAGGTGGACTGTCTAATTTCTGTTTTCAATATAATAGCACTTGGCTGTTATGACCTCTACCTGCTGCATGTGAGTCCTGAGCTCCCTCATTAAATATCTCTAGAAAATAAACTTCAGTCTCCTGCCTAGATGTGTTTCCCTCACAGATTGCTTGCACAAAATTCTAAATTTTATTAGATTCTAGCTTGAACTAACATTATGCATGCCTGTTCTGGTATTCCCTGTCAGACGAAGAGTCCTGGAAGGCCTTGATCTTACTCATGCTTGGGCCTAACAGCTGTCAGGAACTTTGCAGGTGCTCAGAACATGTTTGCTAAATTGAAATAAATTGAATTTTGACCATACAGATGGTTCTTCAGCTCCAAGTTCTAGGATAAAGCCTCACTTGCTTTTTATCCTTCCTCTCACTCCTGCTGGTTCATATGGATGCAGGATATCAGCAAGCTTTTTGATGAAACCGAAGTTAATTCAATTTATCATCTTATTCTGTGGTTCTGAGCAGGTTAATAACTCTTTTTAGCAAAACAGAAGTAAAGAAATTTCTGATATTTTGATTGTGCATGTCAACATGAAGGTCTACTGATATACAGGAATTTTTGTTTTTGAATATTTGATGGCCAAGGTGGGAATTCTTTAAGAGTTTACTATGTGTAGCATGCTTGTTGGTTTTTATATTTATTTTTATTAATTAATTTGACCTATAATAACTCTTTCTGTCATCGGCTGGGCATCAGTCACATCTTGATAATTAAGGATATGTGCAGTGCATGCCCAGTTATTGACTTGTGCCCTCAATTCTGTCCCTTGCTATCATCTGTCTATCCTGGATAATTAGCCCTAAGTGCATTTCTTTTGGCAAATTCAGGAACTTGATGGTCTACTCAAGGAGTCACAAAAGCTTCATGTCAATGGCTGTGTTGTATTGTTGCACTGTTCCATACCAGGAAATTTGGTTGAAGGGAAAGAAAAATCTCAGGCTGGGAGGACCATGAGTTCAGTTTCAAATCTGTCCCTCACTCAGCCCTCAGTGTTCTGAACTGGAAAATGGTAGCAGAATTCCTGCTTCTCCCTGGCTCTTAAGCATCAAGGAAGGTGAAGGAGGCAGACAAGCAAAATTGCAAGTCATTCTTTGGTGACAGAAGATTGTGTCTACTTCTTCCCGCAGCTTGGAAATGACCCGCCACACCTGAAGCCTGCAGGTGCTGAGGCCACATTCGATCAGACCCAAGCTTTGGGAGACCGCTGGGGAAATTTCCCACTTCCTCTCCTGAGACCAGGAACTCAGCAGAGAAACTTTGTGGTAAGTCGTCCTTTCTTTTCTCAGAAGCAGTATTCCTCTGTATCAGTTAGGGGCTGTGTCTGTTCTTTCATGGTTTGTTGATTTATTTGAGGCATATTTATCGAGTGCCAACTGTATGTCCCCTAATTAAGAGGACTAAGTAGTAAACAGAGCAGATGTGTTCCTTACCCTCACAGAGAGAGGAACATCATGGGGAACAGCCGTGCAAAGGCCCTGAGGCAAGAAAGAACTTGATGCCTGAAAATCTGGGTGTCTGGAGCACAGATGGGGACAGATGGACAGGGCAGTTCATTCAGGACCTCAGGGCTGGCTGTGCTAGGGTATTGATTCTAAATCTCAAGAACAATGTCCAGAGAGTAGTGATTGATTTTAGGTGGAGAGTGACATGATCCAATTTTTATTTTAATAAGATCACTTCCAGTTCTGAATGGAGGTGGAGGTAAGCGTGGGAGCAAAGAGGATTAGGCGGCGACCATGTAGTCCACATGACTGGCAAGGGTGGCCTGCACCAGGATGGTAGTGGACGTGAGGGTCATTGGAGAGGTCCCGGATATATTGGGGCAGCAGGACCTGCTAGCCATTGTGATAGACTGGGCTGAGAGGGAGTGCAAGGGGGTGACAAGAATGGCCTTCATATTTTTGGCGTGGGCTGCATGGTGGAAGGGGAGGACCATTTCCTAGGATGAGAAAGACTGAGAGAGCAGTAGAAGTGTGGGGAGATTCACATTCAGGTTTGCGCCGAAGCCCAGTTTTGAGTTTGAGTTACCCGACTGACACCTAAATACACGGGAAAATCCACAGTTCGATGGTCAGGTTCAGGGTTCAGGAGAGAACTCTAGGCTGGTTTCTTCATTCCTTGTGAAATGTTTGGTTTGAGGTTTCCTGTGCAGAGGTGTGATCTGAACTCAGGGCAATAGTTCATTTCACCCTGTGTGATCATGAGACAATCTTGGGTAGTAAGAATAACAGCTGCTTTCTGTTACTAAAGGTTTTCAACCCGGAAATGGCTGGCTAGGCACTGGTGGCACTGACTGTTCCACCTGCATTTGATCGCGCAGCAGAAGATGAATCAGCTGGACCTTTGGTGCCCCTGCTTGGGCTTGGCAAATGAGTCTGAGTCTCAGATTCCAGTAAGCGTGGTGGTGGTGGAGGAGATGGTGATGATGCTAGCCGTAGTCCTGGTGATGGAGGAGATGTTGATGATGCTGGCGGTAGTTGTAGTGATGGAGGAGACGGTGGTGATGCTGGCAGTAGACTTGATCGAGGAGATGGGGATGCTGGTGGTAGTTGTGATGGAGGAGATGGTGATGATTTTGGTGGTAGTCATGGTGATGGAGAAGATGATGGTGATGCTGGCGGTAGTCGTGGTGATAATGGTGGTAATGGTGATGCTGGCGGTAGTCGTGATGGAGAAGATGGTGGTGATGCCGGCAGTAGTCGTGGTGATGGAGAAGATGATGGTGATGACTGATAGTCATGGTGATGGAGGAGATGGTGGTGATGCTGGTGGTAGTCGTGTTGATGGAGGAGATGGTGATGATTTTGGTGGTAGGTAGTCGTGGCAACAGAGGAGATGGTGATGATGCCGGCGGTAGTTGTGGTGATGGAGGAGGTGTGATGAAGCAGTAGTTGTGATGGAAGAGATGGTGATGACTGGTAGTCATGGTGATGGAGGAGATTGTGGTGATGCCAGTGGTAGTCGTGGTGATGGAGGAGATGGTGGTGATGCCGGCGGTAGTCGTGATGGAGAAGATGGTGGTGATGCCGGCGGTAGTCATGGTAATGGAGAAGATGGTGGTGATGCCAGTGGTAGTCATGGTGATGGAGGAGCTGATGGTGATGCTGGCGGTAGTCGTGATGGAGAAGATGGTGGTGATGCCAGTGGTAGTCATGGTGATGGAGGAGCTGATGGTGATGCTGGCGGTAGTCGTGATGGAGAAGATGGTGGTGATGCCAGTGGTAGTCGTGGTGATGGAGGAGCTGATGGTGATGCTGGCGGTAGTCGTGGTGATAATGATGGTAATGGATCCAGCCAGTATGTGTTCAGTAGACCTAAATCCACACCCAGTCCTCTGATTCCTATTTTATGCATTCATTTTCCATAGAAGAAGGCAGAAAAGGTCTGATGTGAAACTTAACTCTTTCCAATGTAGGATATACACTTGGTAATCATTTGTTTCTCATTACAATAGAGCCACTAATCATCACTTAATGAGTAAAGGCAGCATCCTTGGAGGTGGGTAAGATTCCTGAAAAATATTTCAAAACCCTTTCATTTTCATTATTAATATAATGGTATCAGTTTCTTCAATGAATATAATTTATGACAATATGTTTATCTGTATGCCCTAAAAAGACAAATTGTGTCATTAAGAACACTTTCAAAGAGTGTGTTTCAACTGAGTGGTGTGGGTTATTAGTTGTAATTTTTTTCCAGTGCATTTATTATACTTGGCCTATGGGATACAGAAGCCAATCAGTCCTCCTAGGGATCACAAGCAGATTATTTTGAGGGCTTATTACTTTTTTGATATTTTTAAATTTTGGTCATTCTGGGGTTGGAAGCTAGAGTGGAGTGATGTATGTGTGTATGAGTCTTTCCTATATTTGGAATGAGCTGGTCTTTTTTTGATAGATTGTTGGCTGCTTGGAATTGCAGATGCATCATTAAGCTATTGCATTTAAATTTAGCTCTTGTTCTCACTCTAGAAGGGAATGGAATGTTTGAATTATTTCACCATGAAGGGAGAGCAATTAGAAAATAGGTCCTCATGACTGTTTGAAAGAGTGGGCCTAGTTCGTGAGTCTGAGATGGGCTGCACATTTGACTTGGAAGAGGAGGCTCTCTGAGAGTAGCTCCAGTCTGGAGGAAGTTAGAGCTGCCTGAAGCACACCTCAGTGGCTGCTAAATTTTAATCTCTCCAAAGGCAGCATTTCCTGTCTAAATCCACAATGACCATTCTCAACGGCTCTGTCGTTTCCCTCCATCCAGACAGGTCTCGGCGCCCCTCTATGTCAATAAAACATATTAAGATGCTTATTCACAGATCTGAGTTGGAAAAGTTATCAACAACTTTCACAGGGGTTGTGAGTATGTGTGAGCAGCTTTAAAGTTATGCTCATTTCAAAATTGCTGCAAGAGAATAATTTGAAAGTGCCTAGCATAAAAAGATTAATGTAATAAATATCCTAATTACCCTGATTTGACTTTCACACGTTATATGGGTGTATCAAAATATCACGTGTACCCCAATAATATGTCCATTTATTATGTATCAATTTAAGACACCCAGATAGGTCGGCTGGCGTGGTGGCTCATGCCTGTAATCTCAGCACTTTGGGAGGCCGACGTGGGCGGATCACAAGGTCAGGAGTTTGAGACTAGCCTGGCCAACATGGTGAAACCCTGGCTCTACTAAAAATACAAAAATTAGCTGGGCGTGGGGTCGTGTGCCTGTAATCCCAACTACTTGGGAGGCTGAGGCAGGAGAATTGCTTGAACCCGGGAAGCAGAGGTTGCAGTAAGCTGAGATAGTGCCATGACACTCCATTCTGGGCAACAGCGCAAGACTCCGTCTCAAAGAAACCCAAATATAATCCTAGTTAAAGTGAATTAAATCAGTACAGTAAAAGAAAAAACAAAATTATTTTACCTTGTCAGATTTGAAGGGCAGCAGATGCTCACTGAAAAAGTCACATCTCACAGAGATGTATAAAGTAAAACATTAAAATCACCTGATAAATATTTCCTGTTCCTAATTCCCATTGGCAATCATTATGAAGAGTTTGGTGTTTCTTTTCAGAATTCTCAGACCTTTCCCCACGCATACACAAATCTACACACACACACACGTCTTGGTGTAAAATAGAGGCAGGTGTATAGACAAAAGTGGATGTGGACACACAACTCCATGTGTGCATGTCCAAGTACACACATAATCTGTTCTGCAACTTTTAATTTTCATTACTTACATACTAAATTTATATATTTAATTTGTAAAATCTCATGTATCTTGACTCTTCTACCAAGCTAACCACTGTCATCAGTTTGGACCTTCCAAACATATGTGAAACTCTGTCCTATAATTTTGTATGTGCTTTAAAGAAAACTATATTTTTCTGCAGATTAGTATTTTCCATTTCCAGAACATTTCCTAGAGACCTTTGCCTGTTATTTCCTATGAGTACATTGGCACCCAACCTCAGCCTTGTAAATCGCTGTGTTTCACCCAGCAGTGTAGCTATACTGAGTGTCTCAGCCTGGGCTCTCCTAGAGCAAGCCCAAGATAAGTATTCCAGCAAAAGTGGTTTCATGGGAAGGTGACCCCAGGAAATTTTGGGAGGGGAGTGTGGAAGTGAGACAGGGCAGGGCAGGAAGTCAGTAATGGGTGTGTGTTATCCAGCCAGTTGCCACTGTGGGTGATGGGGACTCAATCCTGCTGTGGAACCTCTGGGAGACTGTGGTGTACACCGTGGGATTATCTGCTTGAGGGATGAGGGAGCTGGGGTATTTATCCACCAGCACTCTTCACTTGGCTGAGGCGGTCTTGCAGGTGCATGGAGGCTCCAGCATGTCTTGCTTGCCCTGCATGTAGGTCAGGCTTGGGTCTCAGCTAGATGGAGCCCCCAGGCACAGAAATGCAGGTGTTGGTGGTAACCAGCTTGGTGTGCATGGAGTTGAGCGCTAAGAGGTTATGGGAGGCAGCTTATGCCCACTGAAGGCACTTGCTGCTGTTGATGAACAATTGTGCTATATGTAGATGCACACACAGATGACAACAGTTAACTAACTGTCCCCTAACCATGCCTAATTATTATCAGTACTACAGCAGGGAACATACTTGTCCATGCTACCTGTGTACATTACTCGAGAATCTGTGCAAATGTGCCTCTACTTCAGGGGGTGGGGGCAAGGGGAGGGGGAGCATTAGGGCAAATACCTAATACTTGTGGGGCTTAAAACCTAGATGACAGGCTGATGGGTGCAGCAAACCACTGTGGCACATGTATACCTGTGTAACAAACCTGCATGTTCTGCACATGTAGCCAAGAACTTAAAGTAAAATAAAAGTGCTTCTATTTGTATAAGTGTTGAAATATATAGAAAAAGCTAAAGGGGAATACATGTGTGTGTTCATCATAATATGCTTTTTAAATTCAATAATGCAGGATGGAATTACCTCAGTCTTTAATAGTATTCAGTTGACCTTCGTTTTATATGTATTTGTGTAAGTAGCCCAGCAACCTGATTTTGTACACTACAGATGCTTGGCAAATATTTGTTGAGATAAGAAACCATTGATACTAGAAGGAAATGGCCCCAACAGTATCCCCAGACCTCAGTCCACGCCATCTGTTCTTTCATTTTCTCTGTTAGATGAGTCTTCTTGTTCCTACCTGCAGGGCTTAGTAGGCAAGAACTGTTTACTCGATGCCATGAGCTCTGGGAACAGAGGTTACATCTAAGCATTGAGCAGGGTCAGAGAGAGAGAAATTTTGTCTTCTATGCCTTTTGTGGAGAATTTTGCGACTATCAGCCTAGTGGAGGCATTGCCTAAATCTGCCAACTAGCCCAATATTTCCAAGAGTGTTGTACAGGCAATAAAATAGACAAAAACAATCAACAAACCCTAGCTAGCTATGGTCATGTAGTTATTGGAAAAAATACAATTATTAGGAAAAATATAACTAGTAGGCCAGGTGCAGTGGCTCATTTCTGTATTCCCAGCACTGTGGGAGGCAAAGGTGGGAGGATCGCTTGAGTCCAGGAGTTTGGGACCACCCTGGGCAACAAAGTGAGACTCCATCTCTATTATCAAATATATATTATATATAAATATATGAAAAATAGTAGAGAATTATACGTACAATTAGTGAATAGTGAATTTATGTACAAAATAACTAGTGAATTAACCAACAGTTTTGTGTTATATGTAGTTTCCTTTTTCAATATAATTATGTATGTAAAACACAAGCCCATTTAAAGAAAGAGGGTCAGTTAACAGTGGGCACAGAGATGGCAAAACTTGTGATGTTTGGGGACTCTGTTCCCCGGAACCTCCTATGCAGCCTTGTGGGGGCTTCACGTCTGCTCCAGTCAGCCACAGGCCCTGCCTGTTACCCAGGATCCAACCTGAAACAAACAGGCCTGCAAGTTCTCAGGGCTCATTTTTGGTCAGGACCCCAAGACTAACTGTCTCGGCCTAATTTTATTTGTGCGGAAATGTCTAGTTAAAATGGCTCTTAATGTCGTTACTCTTCATGACTAAAGCAATTATGTATTTTAAATTCCATTTTGTTGGTTTCATTTTGTTCTGTTATTATTTTTTAAAGTAGACAAGTCGACGTGGAATGGGCTCTGTTGATACTGAAGTCTCAGTGCCAGTTACAGTCAAACGAGTCATTAGTGCTGTCCTGGGCCTGTCGGGAAGTGTGTGTGATGCTGGCCTGCTGGCCTCAGTACCAGGCTGGGTTCAGCGATGGCTCCAGGTTTACCTTCAAGGGCAGTAAAAGGGTAGAGTACAAATGTGTTTGGCAAGAGTTTTGGAAATGTCGAGGAAATAGTCACACTTCCAGCTATGGTACCCAGGTCTCGGTATCATCCATTTCACTCGTGTCTCTTGGTAAACTCGGGCCCTGGGATGTCATTTACTTGCTCCTTTTGTTCTGCAGGACACATAAATGAGGCTGCTGATATAGCCGTGGGCTCAGAGAGGCCTTGGGGCTTGCTATGCCCCGTGGTATTATATTATGTGTGTCGCGATCTTCAGATTTCAGATGACAGAGAACCAGCTCAAACTAGCCTCAGCAAAAACGGGAGCTCTTGACAGGTGTAATTGAAGAGAGGAGATTCTAGCTTCAGGAACGGCTACGTCCAGGAACTCTGCCGATGTTTTGGGAATCTCCATCCTTTTCCTCTGTGTTGGCGTCAGTCTTTAATCAGAGTCCCTTAATGGTGCACTTGGAGTTCACAGGCCTGGCGCTGTTCCCACATTGTATTATCATATCTACAGTTAGGCCCAAAAAGCCAGCAGGGCTGTGTACGACCATGGCACGTGCCCCCTGCTTTTCTCTCATGGGGAGGATCCACCTGGAGTCCATCACCCTAACCCTCACCTTTCAGAAGACCCATCTCCAGAGCCTGGTGACTGAACTCAAGGGTTTCCAACTCACCTAAGGTCACTTTCCACGTAGGAATGACCAGCTCCCAGGGTGCTGGTAAAAAAATGAACCCACCCTCACTAAGGGGTGACTCCATCTCCTTACAGAGGTGTGTGCATATTTTCAGGCCTCCCCATTCAGCCAGATCTCAAGGCAGGTTGCTCGCCCGCCCATGGCTAATGTAACCATGCCAAGGATGGCTCACAGGTGCCCCAGGCCCGGAGTCCAGGTCTGCAGGTTCCAGGTGCTCACCACTGCTGGGTGGGGTGGTTGACTGCGGGTCACAGAGTCTGTTACAGGGTGAGGGGTGTTCCCTACAAAAAGAATGTTGGAGGCCCAGCCCCCTCAAAATGTGATCTTACTTGGAGACGAGGTCTTTATAGAGGTGACCAACTTAAAGCAAGGTCATTAGATTAGGCCTTAATCTACTATGACTGGTGTCCTTACAGAGAGGGGGATTGGATGCAGAGAACATTGGCAGGGATTGGGGTGGTGCTTCTAGGAGCCACGAAGTACCAAGAATGTCAGCCACCACAGAAGCCGGGGACAGGCACGGGCAGAGCCTGCCTGTGACCTGAGGAGCAGCCCTGCCGACACCCCGAGCTTGGGCATCTGGCCCCTGGGACTGTGGGGCCGTGCATGCCTGTTCTTCAAGCCTCCTGGCTTGTCGTACTTTGTCACGGCGGCTGGAGGAAACTAACGTGAGGTCTCTGGTTGCACGCAGCAGAACCTGGTGCTGGCCACCTAAAGGGGAAGGGGATTTGCTAGAAGGACCAATGGCGAGGGCCAGCGAAGCATCAGGGATTGGGAGCCTCAGGGAGGAGGAGAGCTGCAGGATGACCCGCCTGGGGTGGGAGGGAGTGGGAGACATGCTCTGGCTGCTGGTTCTTTTTTTTGTCCTTGGGTCCCTCTGCTCAAGATTTAAATTCAGGGGACTGATTGTTTAACTGCCACCACTTCGGTCTTGTGCCCATCCCTTGGCTGGAGAGGGTGAGGCACCATGACTGCCCTCAGCAGACCACTTCCAAAGCAGAGTCTGGAAGCTCTGGCCAGAAGAGTGAGCCACTGCCTCGGAGGCCCTTTTCAACCGGTTGCCGCAGGGGTCCAGGAGCCTCTTTCTCGACATCAAGTCAAGTCTGCACACCATGTGTCAGGGGGCAGATTTCAGCACAGCGTCGCACACCTGCTCCATGTTGGCCCTCTGTCTTCCTGGCACAGAGCACCAAGGACAGCATGTGTCTGCAGGGCCACCTCTTTGCCCACACAGTTACTGTCCCTTTACGTGTTTTGACCGGCTGTCCACCCCAGGCCTGTGCAGTCTCCAAGAGTAACCAGGCAACAGAAGCATTTGCCGCTGATAGATATCCACAGACAGCAGCCAGCTCCCCGGTGCAAACAAAAGGGCTTCGGATTAGGAGAGGAGGTTGATAAGGGACCGTGAGCACAGCTAGAGCTTACTCTTTAACCTGGGGCCATGGTGTCTGTGCGGTCCCCTTGACGACACACCGTGGCTAGATTAGAGATCCACACTGATCAGTCGCCATGGAAAGAATAACACGTGCGTGTGCATTTCCTGTTTTGTGTGAACATCTCCCAGACCCCTTAATACAGAACTGGGACTTTCCAAAATCGCCACTTGGTTTAGCATGGGTGACTCACATGCAGCATCTCCACTCTGTACACTGGAAAGTTTTAGATATCTGAATTTGAAGGACCAGCTTCCCAAGGAGTAAAAAAATCAATAACGTGATCAGTAAAGAGCATAATGATTTCAGTCCTGGAAGAGGTGAGGGAATGAAAGCTCTGACTGAGCTCCAGAGGTTGGTTTTGTAAAGCAGTGACTGTTGCGTAGCACCCTCCACTGCCTGAAATCGTGTGCGTTTGTGGTCTGTGTGACCTGCTGTAATGTGGACCTCATTGAGGAAGGGATTTCACCTTTGCTCGCGTAGTATTCCCAGTACCTGGAAAGCTGCTCTGAAAATAGCGCAGAAGTTTGTGGAATAAATAATTGGATGACTGAAGGAAGAAGTGGATTAATTAACACTAACATAATGGGAAAACTTATTTCTTCAGTTTTGCCTATTTGGTGCCATAATTTGAAGGTTGCTTGCTATAAAGTAAGGGGTGTGTGTGTGTGTGTTTAACATAAAAAGTCCATCAGCAATAAAGCTGTTAACTAACTTCTGGCTTTTAGATAAAGACCCATTTGTGATGAAAGTCTGGACAGAGGTCCGAACATTCGTCCTCTCTTCCTCCCTCCATCCCTTCTTCGGTCCTCTCTTTCTAGGTGGGCTGAGGCTTGCACTATTAGCCAGATCCTTGTACAACTGGGTGCAGCTAAAATCTCTTCTCCATCCCGTTCGTGCACAGTCTCCCATTTACATTGCTTTATGTTGTTGAAATTTTGACTTTAAGATTATTTACATTACAGAGCTATAAAGATGTTTCCGTCTAGGCACTTTCCATGGAAGGCATTTTGCCTGAATCACTTCCTGAGGAGCCTCCCACCTGCCTTCAGGATGCTTGTTCAGGTGTGGCTGTGAGCAGGAAGAGCCGCAGAACTCCTGGGAGCCCACAGCACTAGGCAAAAGGGCAAATACACTAGCCCCTGGATGTGGCAAACCTCATCCTTCCCCACCTGCTGAACACCGGGATGTTTCAGGGAGGGCGAGAAACCTAAGACTGAAGGGAACCTGATCTTTTTGTCTTTACCAGGAGGAGGGGGCCAGTAGGATCCGCTGTGGGGCTCGCTCCTTGGACCAGGGCCCATGGAGTGAGATGAAGATCCTACGATATATCCAGTGCTGTACATTGTCTATAAAAAAGGTTAATTAACACGTGTAACCTTCTAATCTGATGTTCTCTGGAAAGAGCTTTTTGTGTTGACTGGATCAAACCAGGAGTGAATGTGATGAGAGGAAGGCGTTGAGTGCTGATCATATGCAGTATGAATGATTATTTAGATAATACATTAATATTAGGCCTGGCATTGACGCATAGTTACGGGCAAGCAACCTGCCATCTAGGGGAGTGGAGAACATCATTAACTCTTCATTTGCAAAATTGCTTTGGGGATCCGTGACTCTTATGAGAGTTAGATTTTCTTTCTTTTTCCCCTTTTTTACTTTTTTTTTTTAGAAGAGGTCTTTCTATGTTGCCCAGGCTGGTCTCAAACTCCTGGGCTCAAGTGATCCTCCCGCCTCAGCGTCCCAAGGTACTGGGATTACAGGCGTGGGCCACCACACCCGGCCGAGTTAGATGTTTCTAAGAATCTCCCAGTTCTAAAGAGACCTGGCAATCTGAAAATCAGCTGATGCAATCAAAGTTTTCCAATGATTGGACAACATCTCTAAGTAGCCCAGACAACGGAGTGATTCCTGTTCTACCAGAATAATCTAATTTGCGTGCATTCTGTGAATTCAGAACTGGGGTGCATCTGCGGACCTTCGAGGACTGAAGGTGCTGGGCTGCTTAGCGTCAGGTCATAGACACTCAGCCCAAGGCCCTCTCTGTTACTTTCTGAAGCTTCAGCTGAAATAAGAAGCAGCCCACCTTTGCTAAAGGAAAGGCCGCCTCCAGGCCCTTCTCAATACCTCCCACTAAGCAGCTTCTAGCAGTATCTAAAGCTGGTGTCAGCTGAAACCTGCTTGTCGTTTCTGCCTGGAGCTGTAGCTGGCCTAGGCCTGTGGGGCCACAGCATTGACTGAACTCTCAGCTGGTGCCCCAGGGCAATGTGTGCTAGGAAAAAAATGGAGTCTGGTGAAGGGAGATGGTGACTCACTCCTTCCAGTGAGGAGGGAGAGGAAATGTCAGTGAGAGGCAAAGGGCAGGGATGACGCCATTTGCATGAGGATGGACCTGGGTTCTAAGCCTGGTCCAGCAGCTCCCAGCTGCAGGGCGTGGGCCTGGGCTCTAGTTCCCTAAGCCTTGCATCCCTTGTGTGCTGGATGGAGGTGGCAGCACTAACTCGGGGCGGGGGTCGGGGGTGGGGGATCGTTGGTGACAATGAAACACAGAAGAGACTGGTAGGGTCTCAGCACCAGGCCTGGCCCACAGGAAGCTCAGAACATGAGATGTAAGGCTGGCAGTCCTGGAAAAATGAGAGATGGGGTGGAACCTCTCATCAGTGGGACATGGGGGCCTCTGCAGAGGAGGAGGGGGGCCCCTGCACCCCAACTTCAGGTCAGCAGCTGACGCCAAGGCCCATGTTGCGGGGACCCACAGCCCACACAAGCAGTCCCCGAAAACCTTTCCTTCCTGCTCAGGCCTCTGGCAGAGCTCTCCAGGCCTCTGTGCTGGAAACCAAAGTCACCCTCTGACTTCTCCTTCCTGTGGCCTGCTTGTGCTGGCCAAACTCTTTGCTGGCTGCCACATGGCGATGTAGAAGGAGCTCTCCTGTCACTGGAGAGACTCCAGAGCACTGTGCTGACCCCATCTTGGGACATTCACGTCTTCCTGCCAGCCCTGGGCTCTGCCTTGATGAGCTGGGAAGGTGCGGGATTGGGAAGATTCCGTAACCTCTATCTCATTCATTGTCTCCTAGGATGGTGTCCTGCACATTTGGGCGCCCAGTAGACATGGCTGATGGGTTGGGCGACTTTTTCTATGCCTCAGTTTCCTTAGCTCTTAAATGGGTTTAAAAATAATCCTGCCTTGTAGACAGGTTTGAGGAGAAATCAGCAAGCCCTCAAGAAGAGGTTTGCAACCGTGGTAGTTGCTCAGGTGATTCCGCACTGGCCCGAGCCAGGAGCCCTTCTGAAAACGGCAACAGTCAGAGAAGATGAGAGGAGGAGACTAATAGGGGAGGCAGAAATAAGGAAGGAGAGAGGAGGAGAAGGGAGCAAGACAGCGGAGGAAGAGAGAGAGACATGGGGGGAGAACAGATGGGGGTACAGAAAGGAGAGGAGAGCGGGGAACCGGAGACAGAATGTGGCATGTGTCTAGTCATCTTCTTCAGATGTCTAGGGATGAAAGGGGACACCGTGAACAGCTCCCCATTTGTCTGGTGGGAAACGTGCAGGCGGAACGTTGTGATCTGTAACATCAGACATCCCTTCTTGGACACAGAGCCCAGCGGGTAGGTTTAAGAATGCAAAAGGCTAGGGTGTGTGTGCATCCGACTGCGTCACTCTCCTGCCAGGCAGGGAGACTGGTGCCTGCCAGAGGTGAAAAAGCAAACGCTGTTGTCCAGACCACGTCCCCGCCCGGAGCAGGAGGGCATCTAAGAGGCGTATGGGGACTTCTCCATGTAGCTTGTCTGGGTGGGCTCAGGGGGGCTTCCAAGAGTGATGGCAGACGTTTGAAACCGGTGCCAACCACCACAGGAAAATGCCTGTCACTGTTCATGAAAAATGGTGCTGTTTAAACTTAGTGGGCATTGGTTTTCTTAATTCTCCTCTCCTAATTCTTATACAGTGTCACATTCCATAGCCCAGGTAAGCAATGCATGTCCCTCCACCCCTTTCTCCCTGTCTATAATCAAAGACAAACACCTGTATCCCCACAGCTAGGCCTTGGGGGGTTTGTTGGTTTATTAAAATGAGAATCTAGGCTAGGCCCAGTGGCTCACACCTATAATCCCAGCACTTTGGGGAGGCTGAGGCGGGCAGATCACTTGAGGCCAGGAGTTCAAGACCAGCCTGGCCAACAAGGTGAAAACCCGTCTCTACTGAAAACACAAAAATTAGCCAGGTGTGGTGGCAGGTGCCTGTAATCCCAGCTACTCTGGAGGCTGAGATGGGAGAATTGCTTGAACCCGGGAGGTAGAGGTTGCAGTGAGCCGAGATCATGCCACTGCATTCCAGCCTGGGCGACAGAGTGAGACTCCATCTCAAAAAAATATCTATATATGTTTGTGTGTACACATATATATATATATATATATGTATGTGTATTATGTATATATACATAATTATGTGTACATATATACATTTATGTATATAATATATAATATGATGTATATGTTGTAATATTGTAATATATATATTATATAATATACAATATAATATATATGTATATACATAATGTATACATAATACACATATGTATATATACATAATACACATATATACACATACACGTGTATATATGTATATGAAATATACATGTGTATTTATACACATACACAGTATCTGCACGTTTCCTGCCAGACAAATGGGGAGCTGTCCAAGCTGTCCTATTTCATACCTACACATCTGAAGATGACTAGACACACAAGTTATCAAAAATATGTATATAGTTTATAAAACATTTTGTAAAGTACATATAAAATATATGTATTTATATACATATATATTTTATATATCTGTATTTTATATATATATATTTGATAACTTGTTTTACTCAAAAGTGCGTCATGAACATTTTTCATGTCAACACATAGAATTCTAACTTGTGATTTTGCATTTCCTCATTGTAGTCTGTGGCACGGATACACCACAATTTTCTTTGACCACCATGAAAAGATGTTCCTCTGCAGACCTGCAAGATTTCCCCTTTTTTCTTTGCCCCGTCACTGCTATGCTAAAGATCTTCATGTGCGCATTCTTATGTTTTTTATTTTGTGGAATCAATTTCTGGGAATCTCTGGGTCAGAATTTGTCTATGCTTTTTAATTACGCCTCCAAGAGATGGTTTCTCAGAAAGACTCCAGGAATCAACATTCCCACTGGTTCTGTGTGGAGCGGCCTATTGCTTTTTCCTTATACCCCAGCGCTGTCTGTTACTGCTCTTCAGTTTTTCCACATCTAACATGTGAGAAGTGTTGTGTTGTTAGGGCAGAGGGAATGTCGTCGGTTTGTTTACGTTGCTCACTGAACGTCTTCTGAGGATAAGGGAGGTTGGGCACAAGGTTGGTAATTAATCACATGGTTTTCGCTGATTCCTGTGGGTGCTGCCCCAACTCATGTTAGTCCTTGGCCGTAAGTAACTTCTGTTTCTTTATTGTACTCTTTAAGGAATGGGAACAATGGCATTGATTTCTTCTGCTTCCAGTCACATAGTATACGTGCAACTGTGTTACCAAGTCTGAAGTGCTACCGAAACATAAAGTGTAGGCCAGCCTGTTGCATCAGGTGAGACAGCGTTCAGCTGCAAGTAACAATAGAACCTGCTAACACTGCCCTGCAGAGACGGGGCTGGCTTTTCTCATGCAGAAAGTCAGAGGCCACCATTGCAGGGTGGCATGAGGGCTGAAAGGACCTGCCTCCCTCCCTCTCTGCTGTCATTGGGGTCCTATGGTGGCTGTTGCACCTTCTGGCATTGTGCCTGCATCCCAGGCAGGAAGAACGGAAAAGGCCGATGAGAGCTGTCTCTTAATGAGACTGAGTTTTTTTTTTTTTTTTTTTTGAGACAGAGTCTTGCTCTGTCACCCAGGCTGGAGTGCAGTGGTGCGATCTTGGCTCACTACAGCCTCTGCCTCCTGGGTTCAAGCGATTCTCCTGCCTCAGCCTCCTGAGTAGCTGGGATCACAGGCACCCGCCACCACACCCAGCTAATTTTTGTCTTTGTAGTAGAGATGGGGTTTCACCACGTTGGCCAGGATGATCTTCATCTCCCGACCATGTAATCCACCTGCCTCGGCCTCCCAAACCGCTGGATAACAGGCGTGAGCCACTGTGCCCGGCCGAGACTGAATCTTTACCGAAGAAAGGAAGAAGTCTGTGCTGGGCGTTCCCTGCTTGCCTCCCAGATCCACCCTCTACCTCCTTCTGTGCTGTCCTCTGCCTGCGGGGTGGGGGGCTGGGCTCACTGGACTTCCTCACTCAGGTTCTCTTGCCCTGTGGCTTCCAGGTGGCTTGGCCGATGAGGTCGCAGTAGGAGCCTGGAGATTGCGGCAGGGGTATCTGTGGGTTGCCCACTGGCCCTCTGGCGGGGCGGTCGCAGCTCCCACAATTGGAGTACCTGGGGGCGGCGTCCCCTGCCTTGTTGGCCCCGGCAACCCGCCAGCACTGCTGTCAACTCTCCCTCCGTCCCATCCCCTCATTACTCACCAGGCATGGCCTTCTGGCTGGTGTCCTGGATTCTGACAGATGCGACTTTCCAAAGGACACTCGTGAGGACAAAAATGTCACCTAGTCATCCTTGCCGGCCAGGGAGCTGGGAAATGTATATCAAGGAAGGCCAGGGAGAAACAGCTGGTGAATGGTAACCCAGGGTCTAAGTAGCCTGTGCAGGTGGCGATGACGGGGGGCTGGAGACTAGGTGGAGGCTGTGTAATCATCGGGGTTACCCGGGAGGTCCTGGACTTGGGGGAGGGGGGAGGGAAAGGAGAAGCTGTTTTACCCATCCGGACTCTCTCTATTGCAAGTGACAGATCCCAGCTCAGCCCTGCAGGCTGTGTACCTTGCTTCACCCGGATGGGGTCTAAGCCCAGAATAAGGTACCAGTGTCTGCATCCAGGGGGGCCTGCGGTGATGTCCACACGGTTTGGTTACTGGGGAAGCCAGTTGTTTAAGACATAGAGCTGTGTTTGACAAGCTCCTCCAGGTTTCTCCCGTTTTGCATTTACACTGTTTCCTCTGAAGTCTTGCCACCACGGTCTTCACCATCCTGTCAAATGGTGTTTTAATTATTTTAAAAAACACCATTTTCCCATAATGTGCTCTCTTAGCTTGGGTTGCTGTACAGAATACCCCAGACTGGGTGCTGGGCTGGGGACCCCCAACCTGGGGTGGCTTTTCATTAACCCAGCAGCCAGGCCAAACTTTGTCTGGATTGGGCTTTGCGCACAGCAGAGCAGCTCACGCATGGTGACCTTTCAACCCCTGGCCTGAGGGCTTGTCCAAGCTGAGTAAATATTCATACATGAGAGAGAAGGTGATGCTTTATGAAAAAGCCAAAAGCTGGATCCCCTGGCCAACTGAAACACCCGGGGCCGCACTCAGCCCTCAGAAGGCCTGTTTTCACCGTGGAAGGTGAGGCTGAGGAGCGAACAGGTGGCGGCCTGTTCTCCAGTCTGGGCCGGACACAGGTCAATCCAAGCAGCTGCTCTCCTTGGAGGTCACCTCTCTGGCCCAGAGAGGTGACCTTGCGTGACTCTGAGCTGTGCTGTGTGATGTCTGAGCACCTGCCCTGGCACACTGTCTCTGGAAGACTTGGATCTGCTGCCCAGATCCCTGCAGGCCCTGCGGGCTCTTCAGGGCAAAGACTCATGACGCCTTAACTATCCAGGACATGCTTCTCAGAGGATGCATTGTATCTGCTTCGGGTATCAATCCTGCAGCCAATTGGTTTTCCCCAACTTTCTACTTGCAAAGCAACTTCTTAGACCTGGGGTCCTCTCTTGCAGGCGCCCTGCATGGCAGAGAACTTTTTCCACCACAGCCTTCGTGTAACAGGCAGTTACATGGGTTTCATGGGTCGAC
Organism: Homo sapiens; assembly: GCF_000001405.40. NCBI lineage: Eukaryota > Metazoa > Chordata > Mammalia > Primates > Hominidae > Homo > Homo sapiens. Next base: position 130,611,795 of record NC_000012.12, on the reverse strand, counting down.
ATGGGTTCCGTGTCCTGCTTGCCGGGCCTGAGCTGTTTGTCAGGTGTACAACCGAGAACCTTGCAGACCAGAATCCAAGACTCCGCAGCATGTGTGTGCCGGGGCGGGACACGAGCTGTTGGAGGAGAAAGCCATCAGTGTATTTAGAGGCAAAGGGCTTCCTAAATCGAGGCTGTGCAGGCCTCCTGAAGGTCCTAGCCCAGGCTACGGAGGTAAATCCTCTCCGCAGGAGACGCGTCGCCGCCAGCATGGTGGCATCTGCCACTTACACCTGCAGCGAAGCCCGGTAGCCGGCAGCCGGTGTCTTCCAGCGGAGGATCGGGGGCAGAGATGCGGGTAAATGAAGCGGCCCCAGGTGCCCTGGCTTCTGCGGGAGTGGAAGACAAAAGGGCCCCCAATATCCTGCAACGTATTGTCTGATGGAGGCTGTAGCTCAAAGAGATCCTTTACGGGAGGGACGTCAATCATCAGGGAGGAGAAGGCGGCTCCTGGAGAGGCAGGCACTGAGTGCTTCCCCTGTGGGGTCTGGGGGACGTGGGGACAGAGCTCGTGGGATGGGAGGGGAATGTGCAGTTCCAGGAGCTGCGGCGGTTCCCGGTCCCTGTGGTGTTGGCAGCGATGCCTGGAGGCCGGAGCCCATGTCAGTGGCCTGAGGCTGAGTTCAGGCTCTGCCCGCTTTGGGCGGCCTGGCTAGAGGCACAATGCTCTCTTCTCCTGGCCTTTTTGAGGCCTCCTCTGTGAAATGAGGTGTTGGATGAGACTCCCCAGGGTGAAGTCACCTGGGAGCTGATGCTGCTAGAGCTTTAGAAATGAGGGAACTCGGAGGCAGAGTGGCCAGGGACTCGCTGGGCAGCAACAGCCTCCAATGGATGTGAGTTTCTGAGACATTGCAGGTGTTACTGGGGGGAGGTGACAGTGAATTTAAAGCAGGAAAATGGCCGGGCGCGGTGGCTCACGCCTGTAATCCCAGCACTTTGGGAGGCCGAGGCGGGCGGATCACGAGGTCAGGAGATCGAGACCATCCTGGCTAACACGGTGAAACCCCGTCTCTACTAAAAATACAAAAAATTAGCCGGGCGTGGTAGCGGGCGCCTGTAGTCCCAGCTACTTGGGAGGCTGAGGCAGGAGAATGGCGTGAACCCGGGAGGCGGAGCTTGCAGTGAGCCGAGATCGCGCCACTGCACTCCAGCCTGGGCGACAGAGCGAGACTCCGTCTCAAAAAAAAAAAAAAAAAAAAAAAAAAAGCAGGAAAATTACTTTGATGAGTCACAAAATGTTTGTTAGTCTCTTGTACATTGCTAGGACACATTACTTAGTTTTTATCCTTTTGTTTTTATTTATCAAAGAGATAAGTGTTTATTAAATCTGTTAAGTATTATACAAGCATGGAGAGGTTTTTAAAAAATTACCTGACTTTTGGGGCCACACAGATGGCGTAGACCCTCCCTTCAAAGTGTAGCTTTAAGCCCTGGAAATGGAGCAAGACTTGATGAAGAGAGGACCCTGGAAGCTGAACTGCCAGAGGCCCCAGAACGGGAGGGACCGGGAGGAGCAGGCTTCCCATTTTCCCCCAGAACGGGAGGGACCGGGAGGAGCAGACTTCCCATTTTCCCCCAGAACGGGAGGGACCGGGAGGAGCAGGCTTCCCATTTTCCCCCAGAACGGGAGGGACTGGGAGGAGCAGGCTTCCCATTTTCCCCCCGTGATGGTTGACTTTGTGCCAACTTAACTAGGTTGAGGGATGCCCAGAGAACTGGCCACACACTATTTTTTGGGGTGCCTGTGAGGGCGTTTCTGGAGAAGGTGAGCATTCGGATCAGTGGACTAAGGAATCGTCACAAATGTATGAGGGCATCCTCTGATTCATCGAGGGCCCAAGCAGAACAAAAAGGCAGGGGAGAGGTGAATTTGCTCCCTTCTGGAGCTGGGACTTCCGTCTGTCCTGCCCGCAGATGCTGAAGCTCCTGGGTCTCAGACCTCTGGACTCTGGGCCTCAACCAGTCCCCCTCCAGTGCCCTACCCCCACTTCCCAGACCTGCAGCCCTGGGCTGGGAGCGATACCGTTGGCTTCTGCAGTTCTCAAGCTTGCAGTCTCAGGCTGAATTCCCACCATCAGTATTCCTGGCTCTCCAGACGGCAGATCATGGGACTTATTGGCCTCTGTAATCACACGAGGAAACTCCCCAAATAAGTATCTTCATGTGTATCTATCCTGTCCTGTTTCTCCAGGGAACCCTGACTAACCACCCCGCTTCCATCCAACAGAAGAAAGTGACCCAGGCCCAACATTTCCTGACCCCCGACCTCACCAGAGAAGGTCCCCCAGGTGGCTCAGTTCTCCTCTGGGGGTCGGGGTCCCTCTGACCATATCACCAAGGAGGGTTAATCAAGGCCCTGCCAACATCAGTGTCAGGATTTCATTTTTTTTTAAAATGGCTGAACAGCATTCCGTTGTGTAGAGAACACATTTTCTTGATCCATTCATCCGTCGATGGACACTTAGGTTGATTCCACACCTTGGCTAGTGGGAATGGTGCTGTATAAACGTGGGGGGGCAGACAGCTTTGTGACAGACTCAGTTCATACGTGGGGGTGCAGACAGCTTTGCGACAGACTCAGTTCATTTTCTTTGGGTCGGTACCAGTGACATAGTGGGCTCGTGGCCATTCCATTTTTGCTTTTTGAGGAACCTCCATACAGTTTTCTGACAACATGGATGAACCTGGAGGATGCTGCATTAAGTCATCAGTCAGGCACAGAAAGACAAATACTGAATGACCTCACTCATACATGGCAGCTAAGAAGTTGATCTCGTAGAAGTAGAGAATGGAATGTGGTTACCAGAGGCTGGGGTGCTGGGGGCCATGGGGAGATGCTGGTTAAAGGACGTGTAATTACAGTTAGACAGGAGGGTGCATTTCAGATCCACTGCACTGCAAGCTGACCATAGTTAATGACGATGTATTGGTTAAAAATGTTAAGAGAGTGGGTATTAAGTTCTCTCACCACAAAATAACTATGAGGTAATGTACTTGCTAATTAACTAGATTTAACCATTCCACAAGGTATGTATATGTCAAAATGCCACGTGATACATGATAAACTCATACAAAATCAGAGTCCTAAAGAGGAGTGGCCTGGGCAGCGCTCTGTCCCCACAGGGCCTGAGCCTCCCCTCCCCGGTGGAGATGCTTCTCCCCACTGCCCACCTCCCCCCAGGAGGAGGGTCCTAGCCCAACAGCTCCTGACCTGGGGAAGCCTCTTCATCTCTGGGGAGCTGAGACTTCCCTCCTCCCCAGTAGAGAGACACCAGGGTGGGTGATCAGACCTGCAAGAGGCACACGTAGCCTGGACTGAAGGTCTCTTTGGCCCTGAGAACTTGAAACTTCCCTGAAGGGCCCAGAGAAATCAGTGTAGGCAGGAGGCTACATGCAATGCCAGTGGGCTGTGCATAGGAAATGCTGTCTGCGACCCCCTGTGGTGGTGTCGTTGGCCTTCCTGCCCAGCATCCTCTAGTCCTAAGAGTCTCTTGGTTTCCCATTGTCCTGTTGTGTGTTGTTTTATTCAGCCGTAAGCTTGGAGAACTTGCCCATTCACAACAGAAACCAAAGCGTTTTCTAGCAGCTCTTTCCACTGGATATTTTTCCTTTTCCTGCCCTGGTTCCCAGGCAGGGGCTGGGAGGTCAGACATGGAAGGTTGACTGGAAGCGCTGTCCTAGGACGCTGAATCTTTGAGTGAATCAAGGAAAAAAATCAATGTTTTGAGCATATTTACTTCAGTGGCAAGTTTCCAGGTTGGGGGACAGGAACTTCTGGCAGGTCCTTTTGCAGGGGAACCCCTACCTTCTGCGCCTGGCCCTCCAAACCTCTGACCCCCACACATTCCCACATCCTGCTGGGAGCTCCCCTTTTGGTGGAGTCATGGCCTTTATTTCTGATGCTTGCACCCAACACAGAACCTAAGCGGCTGTAAAAATGGATGCTTCTGCTTGGTCAGCGTGGAGAGAAAAGTGGAAAAAAAGGAGATGGAACTTGAACCTGGTGGAATGAATAGTTTTCTGGGGCTCCCCTTACTGAGCATTCCGAGCAGTTTCTGACCAATGCAGGCTTCTCCTTGCTGGGGAGTCGGATTTGTGTCTGACTCGCTCTCGGGCTGAGTGTGGAGAAACAGTCGCCGGTGAGGATGACTTAAGGAGGCAGTGGTTTCATGCCTGTCCCTGAGAAACTCACAGGAGATGATCAAAGCACCATGAATAAGCAGCATGTTCCCACCGAGCATGTGGAAGCATGGTTCTGGGTGTGGAGACGTGGCAGAAACCCACGGATGCACAAGTAGCCACGATTAGCCGGGGCACTGTGTGGCAAATTCAAGGAAAGCTATCAACTGGAGGCACCCGTCTATTAAACATCATCTTAATCAGCCTGTTAAATTGTGATCTGAGCAGATGCGGTCATGGGTAGGGCCCTTTCTCCCCGCCTGGAAACATCAGCAAACACTTAGTGGGAATGTTTCAGATGACCGGGTCTGTGGGAGAGTGAGTGCTCTGCCCAGGTGCATTACAGGATTTAAGCTGGGACTATATACAGAAATTAAACGTGAAGAAGGAATACTTTCTACACCTCAGGCTCACTGGTAGAGTGAGCTGTGTTTAAAGAATTTGAACTGGGCCGGCCGTGGTGGCTCATACCTGTAATCCCAGCACTTTGGGAGGCCGAGGCGGGTAGATCACGAGGTCAGGAGTTCGAGACCAGCCTGGCCAAGATGGTGATACTCCATCTCTACTAAAAATACAAAAATTAGCCAGGTGTGGTGGCAAGCGCCTATAATCCCAGCTACTCAGGAGGCTGAGGCAGGAGAATTGCTTGAACCCGGGAGGCGGAGGTTGCAGTGAGCTGAGATCGCGCTACTGCACCCTAGCCTGGGCGACAGAGCAAGACTTCATCTTAAAAAAGAATTGGAACTGCTTGTTGTGGTGACTCGGACTGTTGCGGCCTGGAGACATTTTGCATTATTTTTGACTTCAAGCAAAAGCCAGGCTGTAGGACCAGGGCAGAATTCTTCACACAGGTCATATTTAGAAGGTGAGGAGGAGGCTGGAGAGTATCTCCAGTTCATGATCTCTACCGCTTGCTCCAACAGTTTACAGCTCATGAAGTGCAGACTTTCAGATAAGGTTTGGATGGAAGCCACTAAGAGTTTTGCTATAAATGGTGAATCCCAAGAGACACTCCACAGAATACCTTTTGGGACTTGTTGGCTCAGCTTCCGCCTCTTCAACCTGCACTCCTCCCCGCCTCCACAGCGCTGATGCGGTGACAGCCACCTAAAGACCTGCCTCCTTGCGTGGAACTGAGGAGCTGTGTAGACGCGCGACTCCCTGCCCACGCGTCACGCTTGTGCCTCTCTGCAAACCCCATGCTTCCTTTTTTATGGCCTAGCCCAGGCAGTTAGTGGTAGAATAATAGTGAGAGGGGGTAATCCCAGGAATGCAATGTTCTGACTGTGATTTTTAATTTGGGAGAACGTTTTTTCTCAGAAACATACAGACAAGAAAACACCTGTGTGTAATTCCCACCATATAGACTCTCAGGCAGGGCCAATCTTTTTTTATTTTTTATTTTTTACCATATTTACTTCCAGTTGTTATTGTTCATACTTTCAAAAAGTTACACATTAACCTTTCATTTTTAGCTTTTTTTTCCTCTCTTTTCTTTTTCTTTTTGTTTTTTGAGACAGTCTCGCTCTATCTCCCAGACTGGAGTGCAATTGCATGGTCTCGGCTTACTGCAACCTCTGCCTCCTGGGTTCAAGCAATTCTCCTGCCTTAGCCTCCCAAGTAGCTGGGACTACAGGCTCCCACCACCATGCCTGGCTAATTTTTTTCTGAATTTTCAGTAGAGATGGGGTTTTACCACGTAGATCAGGCTGGTGTCGAACTCCTGACCTCAAATGATCTGCCCACCTCGGCCTCCCAAAGTGCTGGGATTACAGGTGTGGGCCACTGTGCCTGGCCCATTTTTAGCTTTTACTTATGAAAAATTGAAAGCATACCTTGAAATGGCAAGAATAGCACAATGAACCCCCACACAGCACACAGACGCAATCATGTAACAGCATTGTCATATTTGCTGTCTGCCTGTCTATCATCATCTATTTTTTTACTGAGTTATTTCAAAGTTGTAGATATTGTCACTTTATTACTACTTTATCATGCATCATTAAAAATAAAATTATTTTCTACACAACCACAATGCCATTGTCATACCTAAAAATGAACAGTAATTCCCCAATAGCATACGGTGGTCATCCCATATTCAAAATTTTTAGTTATCCCCAGGACATTTTTTATACCTTGTTATTTTGATTGCACCCAGATCCAGCCACGCCTCATGTATGATGTTGGCAGCCACGTCTTTTTAGTCTCTTTTAGTTGGAAACACGGTTTCCCCGCGTGATTGACTTATTGAAGAGACCAGACCACCTTTAAAAATAAATCAGGCATTACAAGTAAAGTTCAATTCTTTGATTTATAGAGTCTACTGCAACACCTACCCACCCTCCACTCCCAGAAGCATCCATTATATTATTAGGATAGTATGTATCTTTCCAGCTTTTAAAGTATACTTTCACAGTCCTGTGTCCTGAGCAATGGAATGAGTTCTGAGAAAGGCGTGCTGGCAATCTCGTCATGTGAACCCTGCAGTGCACTTGCACACACCTAGCCGGGGAGTCTACCGCACCCCGAGGCTGTGTGGTGGAGCCCATTGCTCCTGGGCTACACACCTGTGCAGGATGTGACTGTACTGGACTTTGTAGGCAACTGTAACACAATAGTAGGTATGTGTCTATCTGAACATATCTAAACCTTGCAGAAAAGGCACAGTAACATGCAGTATAAAAGATAAGAGAAAGAGGCCGGGCGCGGTGGCTCACGCCTGTAATCCCAGCACTTTGGGAGGCCGAGGTGGGCGGGTCACGAGGTCAGGAGATCAAGACCATCCTGGCTAACACAGTGAAACCCCGTCTCTACTAAAAAATACAAAAATTAGCCGGGCGTGGTGGTGGTGCCTGTAGTCCCAGCTACTTGGGAGGCTGAGGCAGGAGAATGGCGTGAACCCGGGAGGCAAAGCTTGCAGTGAGCCGAGATCGTGCCACTGCACTCCAGCCTGGGAGACAGAGCGAGACTCTGTCTCAAAAAAAAAAAAAAAGAAAGAAAAGGGGCATCTGTATAGGGCACTTACCATGAATGGAGCTTGCAGGCCCGGAAGTTGCTCTGGTGAGTGAGTGAGTGAGTGAGTGAGTGAGTGAGTGAGTGAGTGAGTGGAGAGTGAATGTGAAGGCGTAGGATGTTCCACTGCACGACTGTAGGCTTTATGGACACTGAACACTCGGGCCGCACTGAGTAGCCTAAAACATGATTCAAAGGCATTTTTCAAAAATTGTTTTTATTTCTTCAATAATCAATTAACCTTAGCTTACTGTGAGGTTTTTTTTTTTTTTTTTACTTTTTAAAAACCTTTTTGACTCTTGTAATAACACGTATCTTGAAACACAAAGACATTGCACAGCTGCACAAAAATCCTTTTCTTTATATCCTTATTCCATAAGAATTTTTTTCTATTTTAAAACATTTTAACACCGTTTAAAATGTTTTAAAAATGAAGACACAAACGCACACATTAGCCTGGGCCTACCCGGGGTCAGGATCATCACATCACCGTCTTGCACCTGCATGTCCTGTCCTGCTGGAAGGTCTCCAGGGGCAAAGCACGCGTGGAGCGGCCATCTCCTAGGGTGACAAGGCCTTCTTCTGGATAATTTCTGGAAGGCCTGCCTGAGACTGTTCTACAGTTATTTTATAAGTAGGAGTACACTCTAATGAGAAAAGTAGAGCATAGTGAGATATCTAAGCGAGTGACATAGTTGCTTATTATCACGTATCAAGCATGATGTACTTTGCAGGATCATATGTGCTAGGCTTTTCTAGGACTGGCGGTGCAGTGGGTTTGTTTACAGCAGTGTCACCACACACATGAGTCATGCACTGTGCTGCGATGTTACCTTGGCTGTGAAGTCACCGGGCTATAGGGCTACAGCGAGCTTTCACCTCTCTCAGAATCTTATGGCACCACCATGGCAAGTATGTGTCCCTCCTTGACGGAAACATTGTTCCTCAGCTCGTGACTGCAAGTGTATCTTATGCCTGTACTTACCCATCTGTCAGTCTCCATAAAAACATGGTTTTATGTAAATTTTCTTCATAAATATCATACTGGGCACATGATTCTGCATCTTCTATTTTTGATCTGCATTGTGTTTTGAGATGCACTGGGGCTGACAAATTTTCCTTATCCATTTCTCTATTGGGTTGTTTCCACTCTTCCATGATGCAGGTGCTTACACCTGCCTTCCGAGCACATGTGTTGAGTCCGTTGAAGTTAGTAGGGTTATAGGATGTGCTCACTTCTATTTCAACAGAGACTTCCCAGTGCTTCTAGCAGCTGGGCCAACTGACTGATGATCCTGCCAGTTCTGTACAGGTGGGCATGCTTCCCTGCCTTGTCAACACTTGGTATAGTCAGATTGGTAAAATGTGCACATCTGATGGGAACCCATTGTTTACATTTGCATATCCTGGATGGCTAGTGATGGCCATGTTTTCATGTGCTCATTTGCCACTTGAGTTTATCTTTTGCTTGTCTTTTTATTAGTACTGTTTCTTGATATATTTTGAATATGAAATATGGTGCCAATTTTGGTTTTAAAATTACGAGATTGACAAGTGGAAATTGTATTGCTTCACTGACCAGTGCTGCAACTGAAAACCTCATCTCTATAAATGAGAAATATGTTCTTCTCCTCTTCCGGGAGGGGGTGTGTTAATTATTCCTGATAGACCCCTTGCAGGGTGAATTCTCATAGCTAAAAAGTATCATTGTCATAATTCAATTTTTGAGCTGCCAAAATAACACTTCTCTGTTTATGCTAAAAGAACACCAAATCCTATTAAAAATGGAAACACGTTCTTAACATTGTTGATTACAATATGGTGCAACAGAACCACCGTTGGCGAATTCTTCTGTCATGCGACCGTCTACATCTGTTTGTTCAATTCTTTAATGACTGTTACTTACGCATCAGACAATGATCAAAGTACACGTTTGCTACCAAAAAAGTCAAGCAAAAGAAGTCAATGGTAGCCCTGCCAATGGCACACAAGGCGGGAGCCATCCCACGCTTACAGGAGTCCCTGGGGAAGCAGCTCCCAGCGCTGCCACACAGGTGGCCGAATTTCTGGGACTTGTGCACATCATCCAAACTGTCCTTGCAAATGCAAGAAACCTCCCCCAAATGGGCGGAGGGCATTGAAGGGACACATCCTCCTAACTTCAAAGGGTGTGTCTGGAGCACAGCCAGCCCCACCTATGATGCTGAATGTTCCTTTGGGACCTCAGAGCTGAAATGGATAAGGTAGGTTAGGTGTTGAGAGAGATGGGCGGCAGAGTGCCTGTGTCGTCTTCAGCAAAATGTGAACAATGTGGGTACCTACCTTAGGATTTCTCTGATTATTATGAGGGTTAATGGGTTAATGTTTGTCATATGCCTGGCACAAGTTAGCACTGTATAAATATTTCTTTTTTCTTTTTTTGTATTTTTTAGTAGAGACGAGGTTTTGCCATACTGGCCAGACTGGTTTTGAACTCCAGACCTCAGATGATCCACCCGCCTCGGCCTCTGAAAGTATTGGGATTACAGGCACGAGCCACCGTGCCTGGCCAAATATTTCTTAAAGAAAGAAAGAAAAATCTCTGGAGACCTTTCTTGGCCAGAGGCTGCAGGGGGTGTGATAAGGAGCTGTCCCTTTATTCCTTCTCATTGACATTCCATTTAGTTAAAAGGTTCGCTGAAAGCTTCTACAGGGATTATGTCACACCTATTTGCATACTGAACATATATAGTAGCTGCTCAATTAAATGTTTAATTAAATTAATGTGCTCCTCCAAGCAGTGTCTTTCCCAGCAATAGGATCAAATTCTCCTGTCATTTGAGATTCAAGACTATTGTGAGTGTGTCTTTGAAGAAGTAGATCAATAACTCTCTTCCTAGTTACATATGCACAAAGAACCTGGGATGAATTCAGAGTGACTTTGGAGATAAGCATTCTATGTGTGCTGGAAGATAATTGCATTACAGAGCTCATAAACCTCTCCCCAAACACTGAGGTCTCTAGACTGGGCTGAATGATGCCTTGGAGCTCAGCACCACTGCAATAACAAACTTAATTAAGGCATCAAGCTGGAAGCCAGGCTGGGCAGTAAATTAATTTTTAATCCATGGATGTAGCTGGCTTTTCAACATGATGGATATACCACAACCCAGAGGCTGTCAATCCAACAAGAAGTAAAAGATAATCACATTCACCAGCCGGTTTGCTTTTTTTTTTTTTTTTTTTTTTTTTGCCTGCCCTCTTTGACCCCATCCCCAGGGTGGGTGAGCAGCCCGTGGCTTTTAGGCAGTTGATATGGTTGGTCTGATTTCACTCAGGTGAGAGCTCCGGCGGCCTGGACTAACTCAGTTTTAGCTTGTGATCTTGATTACTGGTCGTCCTTCTGGTTGGTTAAATCACACAGAGAATGAGCCTTGTCAGTAAGAGTGTTAACCAAACCCTGATTCCCAAACATGCTTGCTCTCCTGACAAGGTGTATAAATGCTCACCGTGAGTTGAGCGTGGACTTGCAGAGAATGTGCAGTCAGCACCCTGGCAGGAAATGAAGGGTGTACTCGGCTAGGGCTTGGAGATGGCTACAAGGGACAACTTATAGAGGTGTGGGGAGGTTAAGAGAACCAATAAGTAGTGATGCATACAGGGTCTAGCAACAGCAGGAAGCTGTTACCATCCCTAGACTTGAAGGGGAAGAAGCAGCGTTGTAGCAGCTTGGTCATCCCTTGGAGCATTCAGTTAAATGAGTTTTCAGATGAACTACCGGATCACGGGCTTCTGGCCAATTTCAGTCAGGAGCATTCTGTCTTACAGACTAAGAGTACATATTGGTTTTAGGGTGAGGGGGCTTATCACAAGCTTGGAATGTTTTTGTGTAGGGGAGAAGTTTATGGCAGTGTTGGAATGTCTCTGGGCAGAGGGGAGGTTCTATTGGGGCTGACATCCTTCCAGCCAGAGGGGAGGTTCCACTGGGGCTGACATCCTTCCAGCCAGAGGGGAGGTTCTGTTGGGGCTGACATCCTTCTGGCCAGAGTAGGGGTTCTGTTGGGGCTGACATCCTACTGGACAGTGGGGAGGTTCTGTTGGAGCTGACATCCTTCCGGCCAGACGGGGGAGGTTCTGTTGGGGCCGACATCCTTCTGGCCAGCGGGGAGGTTCTGTTGGGGCTGACATCCTTCCGGCAGGAGGGGAGGTTATCTTGGGGCTGGCAGGTCTCTGGTCGGGGAGGGGTTTGGAATGTTTCTGGTCGGAGACGTCATTTGTGTTGTATGGTCATGCTGACCTTAGCCATTAGGCTGATGCCCTTTGGATTTTGGTGGGTTTTGATCAAGGTGAAACTTAAAATGGCAGTACTTGTCCAAGATGGCAGTGCTCCTGCTCTGTCAGTCCTGACAACATGTGCCTAAGGTGGTCGGGGCACAGGTAGATTTTATGCATTTTAGGAAGACATGAAATATCAATCAATATGTGTAAGATGTACACTGGTTCAGTCAGGAAAGGTGGGGCAACTCCAGACTAGAAAGGTGGAGGCAGAGTGGGGGCTCCCAGGTCGCAGGTAGGTAAGAGACAGACGGTTACATTCTTTTCAGTTTCTGATAAGCCTCTCCAAAGGAGGTGATCGGATATGCATTTCTCTGTGGGCAGAGGGGGGACTTTGAATAGAATGGGGCAGGTTTACCCTCAGCAGTGCCCAGCTTGACTTTTACCTTTAGCTTAGTGATTTGGGGGCCCCAAGAATTATTTTCCTTTCACAATAATTTCACTTGGGTGGAAAATGTAGTGATGAAATGGCTGGATATACGTAGGTGTGCATTTAACATTTGCAGAAACTGTAAAACTGTCAATATGTACAACTATAACACATTGTAGTTAATTGCCAAATTATTTAAATGGTAGGGCCATTATATACTCCGATTAGCAGTATATGAGAGTTCCAATCATCTGTATCCTTGCTAGCACTTGCATGCCCAGTGTTTTTAATTCTGGTTAGTTTAATGGGTAAGTCATGGTATTATGATATTTTGAGTTTTATTTGCACTTCCCCAGTGACTAATGCTATTGCTCATCTTTTCATGTGCTTATTTGCCATATGTCTTCTTGGGTGAAGTGTTTTTCAAATCATTTTGCCCATTAGTTTAATTGGATGGCTTGTTTTTTATTGAATATTGAAAATTCTTTGTATAATCTGCATACGCTCTCTTGTCAGATATATTAGTTGCAAATGTCTTCTCCCAGTATGTTGCTTTTATTGTCATTCTCTTAATGATGTCACTCAAAATGCAGAACCTTGTACTTTTCATGACATCTAATTTACCAGTTTGTTCTGACAGAATGTACTTTGGTGTCAGATCTAAAAAAAGTTGTTTAATCTAAAGTCACAAATTGATGATCTATTTTGCGTTAATTTTTGCGTATCGTGAAGGATGGGTTTACTTATTGCATATGATGTGAAGGATGTTGAAGTTTACTTATTGCGTATGACTCTCCAATATTTCCATCACCATTTTTGGAAAAGATAACTCTTTCTCCATCAAATTCTCTTTGCATCTTTGTTAAAATCAGTTGTAACTTAGTGTGGTGGCTCACAGCTGTAATCCCAGTGCTTTGGGAGCCCGAAGTGGGAGGATCGCTTGAGCTCAGAAGTTTGAGGCCACGCTGAGTGACATAGACCCCATCAAAAATTCCAAAAGACAATCAGTTGCTAATACATTTGTGGGTCTATTTATGGGATCTCTATTCTTTTTCAGTGGACTATTTGTCTATCCGATGCATTACCTTACTATCTTGATTACTGTGGCTTTATAGTAAGCCTTAAAATAATGTTCTCCAATTTTTTTTTTTTTTTTAAATGGAGTCTTGCTCAGTCGCCCAGGCTGGAGTGCAGTGGCATGATCTTGGCTCACTGCAAGCTCCGCCTCCCGGGTTCACGCCATTCTCCTGCCTCAGCCTCCCAAGTAGCTGGGACTACAGGCACCTGCCACCACGCCCAGCTAATTTTTTGTGTTTTTAGTAGAGATGGGGTTTCACCGTGTTAGCCAGGATGGTCTCGATCTCCTGACCTTGTGATCCACCCACCTTGGCATCCCAAAGTGCTGGAATGACAGGCATGAGCCACTGCACTTGGCTCCAATTTTGTTTTTTTGGCAGGGTCTATTTTACATCCCTTGCATTTTAATGTGGATCTTTAGGATTAGCTTGTCAATTTCTACAAAAAAAGCATAATTGGATTTTGACAGGGTCATGTTGAATCTGTAGATCAATTCATTAAAAAATGACCTCTTAACAACATAGATTCTTCCGATCCACAAACGCAAGATATCTCTCTGCTTATTTAGGTCGTCTTTAATTTTTCTCAGCAATATTGTGTTATTTTCAGTTGGCAAGTCATTCATATCTTTTGTCAAGTGTGCCTGTAGATATTTTGTATTTTTAAGGCTATTTTAATCTGTATTTTTTTAAACTTTAAGTTTTTGTTTGTGGCTAGTATATAGTGACACATTATTTTTTGTATGTTGATCTCCTTTTCTGCTACCTTGCCAAATTCATTTAATAGTTCTTTGTAGCTCTTTTGTTAATTCTGTTGGATTTTCCACCTAGCCTATCCTGTTGTCCACAAATAAAGACCATTTTCCTCCTTCTTTTCCAATCTATAAATGCTGTCTATTTCTCATTCTTGTCATATTGCATTGGCTTAAATCTCCAGTACAATTTTAAATAGAAGTGGTAAGGGTGACATCCTTGTCTCGTGTCCAATCTTAGGGAGAAAGCAGTCAATTTTTTACCTTAAGGTTGTTAATTGCAAGTATTTCATAGGTGCTCTTTATCTCATGGAGGAAGTTTCTTTCTCTTATCATGTTGCTGAGTGGTGTTATCAGTTATAGACGTTGTCATTTCTCAGATACTTTCGTGTGCACGTCTAGTTAGATCATCATAGAATTCTTTGTATAATGAATGACATCGATTGATTTTTCACATGTTAAACTAAACTTGCAATCCCAGGATAAACTCTATTTGGTTAAGATGGGTTACCTTGGCCAGGCATGGTGGCTCACGCCTGTAATCCCAGCACTTTGGGAGACTGAGGCAGGCGGATCATGGTTCAGGAGTTTGAGACCAGCCTGACCAACATGGTGAAATCCCGTCTCTACTAAAAATACAAAAATTAGCTGGGTGTGGTGGCATGTGCCTGTAATTCCAGCTACTCAGGAGGCTGAGGCAGGAGAATCACTTGAACCCAGGAGGCAGAGGTTGCAGTGAGCAGAGATCGCACCACTGCACTCCAGCCTGGGAGACAGAGCGAGACTCCGTCTCAAAAATAAATAAATAAATAAAAATAAAAACGATGGGCTTTCTTTTGAATATATTGTTGGATTTAATTTTCCAAATTGTGTTTATAATTTTTTTTGTTTATGAGTCATAGTGACCTACAATTTTGTTATAATGCTTTTGACTTTGGTATCAGGGTAACTAATGCTAGCCTCAAAGAATGAATTGGGTAGAGTTCCGTTCCTTCAGTTTTTTGGAAGAGTTTGTGCAGAATTGGTATTAATTTGTCCACAAATAATTGTTAGAAATCCCCAGCAAAACTATCTGTGGAGTTTTCTTTGTATGAAGGCTTTAACTATAAATTAAGTTTCTTTAATAAACATGGAGCCACTCAAGTTATCTATTTCTTCTTGAATGGACTCTTGGCATTTGTATCTTCCACGAAATTCATCCATTTAATGTGAGTTATTTTTGTAGAAATACTTAGTTCAGATATACGGTTTGGTTATCTTTGAAAAATCTGACTGAAGAGAGCAGAGTGATTGGATGGCGTTTCCCAATGGCACAGGAATATCAGTGGGGCTGTTAGGGGCTCTTAAAATGTGTGTCCTTATTTCATTTAACAACTGTTACCGAGCACTTACTGTGTCCCATGCACCGCATTACACACTGTGACTACGGCAGAAGAGACAGAAAACCCTCTTTGCTGTGTATTCAGTGGCTCTAGGCTTCGGCATTGTGTGTGCTTGTGAATTCACTCTACGGTTTTCCTACGTTGTGAGTGGGTGTTACTAACTATGGGTGATGAGCCTCAGTTTCAGAGCCCTGTAGGCAGAGTTCACATCCTGGTTTTGCAATTGATGGGCTATGTGGCCTTGGGCAAGGTTGTCTGAGCCTGGTTTCAACGCCTGTGAAATGGGAAGGTGGGGGTGGGTCATAGTGCCCCTTTCTGGGTTTTGTCAGCATCGTATGAGGAGATGAAAGTAACGCCCTTGGTGTAATGACTAGCACCCAGTCAGTGCTCAGTAAACGCAGGCTGTCGGCATTATCACCCATGGCTTCCTGATGAATGGGTTTCCACGTGTCTGTTTTCTGCCTTCCTGCCTACCTGCTTCCAGACAGTTGTGAGTTTAAGAACAAAATCAGCTGATTAGTTGGAACCGTGCGCACATTCGGGGTGAGTGGATTCAAAGGGAAGGTCTGAAATGGCCTCCTAGAAAGTAAACTGTGTAACATCAGGGACGATGGCTTTGCAACATCTGTGTTGGTTACTGGGATGTCTTTCTACCATACTTCTTGGCTGAAGCAGTATGTTCAGAAACTGCACAGCAGATTTTCAAAAAGAGGAGGTATCATGGTATCAGTGCTAGATTTCTGTCTGTGTTGGAAAATGCCAACAATATCCACACTGGGTACGTTGAGTCCTTCCGCCTTTAAGCTCCTTGCACACTTGATTTCAGAAACTCAAGTTCCTTAGCCGAACGCTGGCTGAAGGCATCATGCTGCACTCTCCCCTGCTCCCTGGCACAGGGCGTTTGCCCTGCTCAGCCCCAGGGGTGCTGTCTTTGAGCAAAAGTCTCCCGGAGGAGCTTCCCTTCCTTCCCTCTGCTGTGAGTGCACGCGCATTGTTCTCACACAGGCTCTTTGCCGCTGCAGAAGCAATGACAGCTGTTAATTATTCAAGGCAAGGAGAGATGCTTGTTAAAGATGAAGTTTTTTATTTTTATTTTTATTTTATTATTATTATTATTATTTTTGAGACGGAGTCTTGCGCTGTCGCCCAGGCTGGAGTGCTGTGGCGTGATCTGGGCTCACTGCAAGCTCTGCCTCCTGGGTTCACGCCATTCTCCTGTCCTGAGTAGCTGGGACTACAGGCGCCCGCCACCACGCCCGGCTAATTTTTTGTATTTTTAGTAGAGACAGGGTTTCACTGTGTTAGCCAGAATGGTCTCGATCTCTTGACCTCATAGTCCGCCCATCTCGGCCTCCCAAAGTGCTGGGATTACAGGCGTGAGCCACCGCGCCCGGCCAAGATGAAGTTTTAATAGTCTGAGTTTAGCTGCAGGGCAGCCCATCAGGCTTTGGGCATGGTTTGCTGAGAGAGATGGTTCAATCTCATGGGTGTGAGTACAGGCTCCAGAGCTGGACTTCCTGGGTTCAAATCCAGTCTTTGACTGCTACTAACTGTATGTCTTTAAAGTGCATTATTTAACTGGGCTGTTCTTTTACTTGCTCAGGGGTAATATCTGCTAGTGCCAATCTTATAGATTTAATGGCCTTAATAACGAAGGCAGTGTTTTAAAATAGTGTCTGATAGGGTGTAGAAGTTTAGCAAATGTGAGCAGCCACCATTACAATAATTACCATTGCTGTGTTTCATTGTATTACTCCCCGGCAAGAATAGTTTGGCCTTCTTTGCTCAGGACATTCTCATCCCACCCCAAATTGAGATGGAAGATGATTTATGGTTAAAATAAATCCAAAATATCTCTGGGAGTTGTTTACTTTAGAACAATGGGTTTTTAGAGTTTTGGGACCATAAATCATAGACATGTACATAGAGATATAGTAATCACATGTACATACATACTTCCATATACACAAACATACCCACACCCCCCCCTTAAAACAAGCTTGTCCAACCCATTACCCATGGGCCACATGCAGCCCAGGATGGCTTTGAACACAGCCCAACACAAATTCATAAATTTTCTTAAAACACTATGAGATTTTTTTGCAATTTTCTTTTAGCTTATCAGCTACTGTTAGTGTATTTTATGTGTGGCCCAAGACAATTCTTCTTCCAATGTGGCCCAGGGAAGACAGAAGGTT
Organism: Homo sapiens; assembly: GCF_000001405.40. Taxonomy (NCBI): domain Eukaryota; kingdom Metazoa; phylum Chordata; class Mammalia; order Primates; family Hominidae; genus Homo; species Homo sapiens. The sequence goes on along the minus strand of NC_000012.12, from coordinate 130,594,474 downwards.
GGACACCCCTGCCTTAAAAGATAAGTATTATACAAGTAAACCTCCCTCTTCTATGTGCAATGCAATCTAGAGTCTTCTGCTCTCCTCTACCTGTCTTATCTTCTGTCTTGTTTACAAAATACTGGTCATAATCCACTAGATTGACCTGAGCATGAATTGTGACCCACATTTTGAAGGACAGTTCTCTGGCAAGAGCTCAGCCAGAGTTAGCTTTCTGATGGTGAACAGTCTGAATTGGGAGTCGGGGATCTTTGCCAGGGTCTTGACATCACATGACTGTGCAACATGACGGAAGGTTCTTCCCAAAAGTGAAACCCATCTTCACTTGGTGAAGTGAGGAAAGGAAGACAAGGCCAGCAAATTCTTCAGTGTCTACAGTGGACAGATTATACTTTCCTCCGGAATGTTAGGAGGGTAAAAGGAAATTATTGGTGTTGAATGTTTTATGGATCAAGACACAGCCTTCTGGTATTGGAAATAATCATAACAATATTACTGAGATGCTGGTGTGGAGCTGGAAGACATTGTAACGCAAACCACCAGAAGAGAACCTCATAACATTAACCGTTATTGAAATAGAAACCTAAGTTGTAGCGATTGGGAAAGGAGATGGAAAGTCCTCTGGAAATGTGAGAAGAGCAATTCTTGACAAGTCAGTAATTATTTTTCAACCACCCATGAAACCAGGGATTTTCAATGAGAGGTCGATCAGCAAATGTTGCCTTCAGACAGACACACTGTGCTTGGCATGCAGTGTTTAGAAAAAAATACTTGCTAACATTTTAAAATGGAGATAATTCACATAAAGTCAGGATTTCCCATAAAATCAGACTGGACATGCATGACGTGGAATGGCTCCTGCAAGAACAGAGCTGCCCAACTCACGTCGCCATCCAGCCCACGGAGCACCCAGATTCTCCTCTCCCTCCAGCCGCCAAGGGTGCGGGACCTTCTTCAGTGCTGAACTTCGCTTCCTGCAGAGAAAGGTTTTCTTTTCTTCCTGTCGAAGTTGCAAATGCAGATAATCCCACGGCTAACAAGATTGGTCTCTCAATTCGTAGGTTCAGGAGTGTTTCTCAAGCGTCTTCCCTGTGCGGGGCACTGTGCCTGTCCTTGGGTATGTGGAGGAGGTGAAGCACCCCCAGCCCCATCCTCCTGGGCCCAGCCATTTAGTGGTGGGAGAGCAGTGTGAACGACGCCCTGTTGCGGAAAGGTGTCCAGTGCTGTGATGATGAGGGCGGCTGCCACTACAGTTAGAGACTGCTGTCAGTGGGTGGAGGGTCCCTCCTTGGGGAGCCACACCGGGGCCAGGCCATGAGGAGTGGGTGAGAATGGGCTGGTGGAGAATGTGCTGGCAAGGATGCTCCACGTAGAGGGAATGGGCCCGGGAAGAGCCTAGTTTGTTTGAGGAACTGAGCCGAGGCTGAATGATGCGATGTGGATTCTATCCGAGCGGAAGCAGAGCCCTGGGAGGGTTTTCAGCAACGCAGTGAGATGACCAGGTTTGTGGGTCTGACGTTTCCTCTGGTGACAGTATGGAAGATGAGGCCAGAAGGGTCAGCGTGGAAGCCGCGCTCGCTCTCACCGCTCCCGACATCGCAGCCCGGATCCTCACCAGCTCGCTGTCCATCTCTCCCGCTCCCGATTTCCCTGCCTGGGAAACAAATCCACGTGCTGGGCGAAACGCTCTTCTCACAAATGCAGGCTGATTGGCCCGCCACGGCCAAGGTCCCCCGGGTTCTCTGTGCCCTCAGTAACTGCCTGCTGGGCAATGCATCCTTTTTTTTTTTTTGACAGAGTCTCTATTGCCCAGGCTGGAGTGCAGTGGCGCGATCTCAGCTCACTGCAACCTCTGCCGTCCGGGTTGAAGTGGTTCTCCTGCCTCAGCCTCCTGAGTAGCTGGGATTACAGGCGCCTGCCACTGAGCCCAGCTAATTTTTGTATTTTTAGTAGAGATGGGGTTTCACCATCTTGGCCAGGCTGGTCTTGAACTCCTGACCTCGTAATCCACCCTCCTCAGCCTCCCAGAGTGCTGGGATTACAGGTGTGAGCCACTGCATCTGGCCAGCGCATCCATTTTTACACAGAGAAGCAAGTGCCCACAGGCAAAGGGGTGGCTGTCAAAACAGAAAAGAGACCACTATTTCGTTCCCCTTCTCTGTGTCCACAGCCTCCCTGGCACTGGGACTTAGGATAATTTTTGAGTTTCCAGGAAACACCCGCCAGGGCTGATGGTAACAGGTTGTGGTGAAGAAGCTTGCTTGACTCAGTTACACAGGTGGAAGAGGACATAGTTAAGCTATAACCAGCATAACCAGCATATGGCATGTGCTGGTAATCAGTCGTGAGACTGTCATGAAACAGCTGTCCGTTTCTTACCTCTCGGGAGGAAGAAGGGCTGTGGACACCCAGCCCCACAGCCCCTTGACCCAGCTTTGAGCTCTCCTGCAGACGCTGAGAGTTTCCGCCCAACAGGCCTCCTCCACGCCTCTCTGACTCCAGGCCTGGGACGTGGCTCGGCTGGGGCAGTGGTGCAGCGCAGGGCAGCCATCCAGGCTGTCAGATAAGATGCAAATGCACAGTTAACTTTGAGTTTCAGAACAAGTGATTTTTAGTGTCTCTATCTGGGGTTGGATGGTGGCTTCCCAAATATGTCTATGTCCCAATCACTAGAACCTGGGAATATGCCCTTATTTGGAAAAAGGGTCTTTGCAGTTGTAATTCAATTACAGATCTCTGGGTGAGATCGTCCTGGAGCACCTGGGTGGGTGGTAAACCCAAAGAAAAGGGCCCTTCTAAGAGACAAAGGGGAAGGCCACATGAGGGTCAGGGCGGAGGCTGGATTGCCGACAGCCCCCAGAAGCTGGAAGGGGCTGGAAGGAGCCCCCCCGCCCCTCCCCGGAGCCTCTCAAGGGAGCCCAGCCCTGATGACACCTCGATTCCAGACTTCTGGCCTCCAGAACTGTGAGAGAATAAATTTCCACTGTTCTAAGTCACTCGGTGAGTGGGAATGTGTCAAGGCAGTCCTAGGAAACAGCATGATATTCCCTGGAACAGTGCCTTCAACACCCAGGCGACCCTTCCTGCCTAGGAGCCGTGCTCCCCATCCATTTATGAATCCTCTGTCACTGAGTTTGCTCTCGATGGCAAAGTGGTTGCGACAGGGACAGTCTAGCCTGCAAGATCTAAAAAAATAATGACTCTGTACAGAAAGTGGTTCTGGCTATCTGTGGAGAGTTGACGTTCCAGCCATGTGCTGGGTCCATGTCAGAACCAACAAGTCCATTGTGGATTGTGGTGTCTTGACTTCCTATTAACCTCCTAATTTTTAAAGTCAGTTTCTGGTTCCATACCCAGGACCTAGGAAAATGATATTTAATCAACATTTTTGGTAACAGCAAGCTTAGCCCTATGGATATGACCTGGAGTATGCACCCTGAGAAGATGTTAATCCTTCTCTTGAAGTCCAAGTGCGTTGCTCTCGTTGTTGGATGATGTTGAACGCTAGAGTCTGCATCCCGCTTTCCCCTGGCTGCACTTGCTCTGGGGCGACAATCCGCTTCCTCACGGAAGTTCGTGTGCAACTTGCACCTAGCCAGCCAGCCAGCCAGCCATCCGGGTGACACCTTGGGGGTGAGGATTGTTTTGCTGGTAAAAATGGAAGGTGGAGTCCTTGCCATCCTGGGCTTTCCTGGCAGTTTTTAAAAACCGCATTCCTTCAAAACTATCAGCAAATGAGAGGTGCCTCAGAAGCGGGGAGGTCTGGTTGCTCCTGGCAAGCGGAGGGCTCCAAAAGAAACAAGTTTTGTGTTCAGAAGAAATGCAGGGAGCTCCACCTGCCACCTAGTGCAGATGTAAACCCTCTTATTTTTCTAACCTCATCTGTCATCCTTCTTTAGTGCAAGATCCTCAACTTTTTTACCAGCTGAAAAGTGTGTGCTGTCCACTGATGAGAGAGGGCTGCGGGGAGCCCTTGGGTGGATTGAAGACTTCATGGAATGTTGCTGGAATTGCTTATTCTGGCGGGGACTCTGATGGGCGGAGCTGAGGGACAGTGGGGATGCAAGCTTGAGCTTGTTATTTGGGGACCGCTGGCCTCTTTGTGCTGTGGCCCTGGGGAGTCTATCTCCTGGTCTCTGGGGAGATGAGGTTGATTAGGAGCAATTACGTGTGTTGTCAGTTGGCAGGTGGCCTTGAGCTTCAGCCTAGGGTGTGGGGATGACATTCCTCCATGTGGATTTCTGCTTCCTTCATGTCCAGTGCTGTGCTGAGAGCCCTCATTGGGGAGACCGCTTGGCATTGTGTTATTTGACTCTAAACTTGCCTTTCCCCGTGGGTGTGGGGATTGCCTTCCTGGTGTAGAAGCGTCTGCAGGAAGAATGCTTTCACGTGTTTCCTGTAAAGATGTAATGAATTCTTAGTAGATTTGTATCTGAGAGTCGAAGACTCCAATCCCTCCCAGAAACTCACTCAAGAACAGCAGTTTCTAACCACATCTGCACCTGGGGAGCCCGAGGGGGCCGTGCCAGTGCCTCACCCTGAGGACTGTGGGTTAGCTGCTCTGGGATGTGGCTGGGGCTTTGGGAGTTTAAAAAAATCCCCTGGTAATTTCAGTGTGAAGATAAGTTTGCAAAGCCTGGCTTCAAGGTAGGCTCTAATTTTCACTGGGAATCAGGGTGGGTTCAGGAGGAGCTATTCAAACTGGGTCAATTTTTAAAAAATTAAAAATACTTAATTTTTAATTTTAAAGATAATAATGTCTATAAGGGTACACTGTGATGTTTCGATCTATTTATACATTGCGGAAGGATTAAATCAAGATAACACATCCATCACCTCACCTATTTAGTATTTTTCTGTGGTGAGAACAAACTGGGCATGGCTGGCACTCCATCCGTCAGTCATTTGGTGGAGTTTCAGGAGTTAGCTGCCTGTGTGGCAGGACTGGAAGCCATAGCCTTCATCTCGTCCTGGGGCTGACCCTATCCTCCAGCAAAGATTTCAAAGCAGCCTCCTGGGAGAAATAAGGAGCTTTGTTTGCAGAGAAGAAAGTGATTCATTGAGTACATCAATGAGTGCTTTTCACCAAGAGCTATTTTCTTTTTCTTTTTTCTTTTTTAAAGAGTCTTTCTATTCATTTTAGCAGAAAGCAAAACAAAACAGAACAAAGCGTGTGTTGTATGTGTGCGCACATGTGCACTTGTGAAGGTGTGTGTGTTTGTATGTAAGAATCTTTTGATGAAAGAGCCCACGTTACTTTGCTGGAATTAATTGGGTTGACAGCCCTGCCAGGGTCTTCCTGAAAAGGATTATTACATTTCATTGTTGTTGCTGACTATAGCTGGGATATGAGGGTAGAGTCACTGGAGATCTGAATATTGATTTTTCAATTACTGGTTAGCAAGTCTTATCGACACAGTCTCCGACTTCTCTTAGGACAGAAAGGGCTTAGGACAGAAGGCTGACGTCCCGAGTGTTTAATGTACCAAAGTCTGGAGGAGATTAATTTCATAAGGAATTCCTGATTCCATCTTTGCAAATCCCCCGTGGGGCTTGCAGCTACCAAAGAAGAATTTGAATCATGTTCAGGACACCAGTTTAAGCACAGTCTACATCAGATAACTTCTGTGAGCTCTATTATGTGGTCATCTTGGCAGACACTTAGGGAAGCTACTGAGCTTCCTGTTTCATCTGGGAATGAACCGATATTCATGTGTTCAACAGATGACAGGATAATACAACATACAGTAGGTGACAAAGTGAATATGCTCTGCGGAGATGTCCTCAAATGCTTTCCGAACCATTGAACCATATGGCATTGGACTCGCTTTCTTGTCTCCTGAAATCTTTCTGGTTCTGACAATGAGGACCTCTCTGGTGGGTGCTGATACACGTCCACTACCTCTCCAACAGCGTGTCTCCCTTCAGCTCGTGCAGAAAGAATAGGTCTTGGGTGACTCGCAGTGACCGGGACAAGGTGGCACATTTAGCCAAGATCTGATTGCAGTTGGCTTTTCTCATGTTTATTTTAATGGCTGCTGTTTGTAGTGAATGATGCTGGTTCTCCATTTCAGTGTAGTGAACTCAAGTCTCCTTGAAGGTGAGTCTCCTTGAGAAAATGTTAAAGTGAATTGATTTAAATACAAATATTACAAAATGAGCTAAACAGACCGGATGTGGATATGGCACCAAGAATGGATGGAACCTGCTTGTCAGTGGGTTGGGGAATACTCATAAATGAAGCTCAGAGCATGAGAAGGGGCTGGAGGCTGGAGAGAGGGGAATGAAGGGCTTCCTGGAGGAGGCAGGACTTGGGCTGGGTTTTGAAGATTGGAGAGGAGTTGGATTGTTGGGCCAGAAGGGAAAGGAGATGATTCAGATGGGATGGGGGAACAGCAGGTTCCAAGGCTCAGGAGCAGGAATGGACAGGAACGGGATTGAGATGCTGAGGGAGGCGAGGACCCCGGCTTGCTGGATGAGGGGTGCTGGCAGGACTGTGTGGAGGGACAGAGGAAGGACAGGGACATCATATGTGCTGGCAGGTGCAGAACAGTGTGTGGGGGGCAGCACCAGCATCCAGGCAGGAGGGGAAGTTGGAGGACACCGCTCCCCCATCTCTTCTTTTTTTTTTCTTTTTTTTTTTTTATTATACTTTAAGTTTTAGGGTACATGTGCACATTGTGCAGGTTAGTTACATATGTATACATGTGCCAGGCTGGTGCGCTGCACCCACTAACTCGTCATCTAGCATTAGGTATATCTCCCAATGCTATCCCTCCCCCCTCCCCCCACCCCACCACAGTCCCCAGAGTGTGATATTCCCCTTCCTGTGTCCATGTGATCTCATTGTTCAATTCCCACCTATGAGTGAGAATATGCGGTGTTTGGTTTTTTGTTCTTGCGATAGTTTACTGAGAATGATGATTTCCAATTTCATCCATGTCCCTACAAAGGACACGAACTCATCATTTTTTATGGCTGCATAGTATTCCATGGTGTATATGTGCCACATTTTCTTAATCCAGTCTATCATTGTTGGACATTTGGGTTGGTTCCAAGTCTTTGCTATTGTGAATAATGCCGCAATAAACATACGTGTGCATGTGTCTTTATAGCAGCATGATTTATAGTCCTTTGGGTATATACCCAGTAATGGGATGGCTGGGTCAAATGGTATTTCTAGTTCTAGATCCCTGAGGAATCGCCACACTGACTTCCACAATGGTTGAACTAGTTTACAGTCCCACCAACAGTGTAAAAGTGTTCCTATTTCTCCACATCCTCTCCAGCACCTGTTATTTCCTGACTTTTTAATGATCACCATTCTAACTGGTGTGAGATGGTATCTCATTGTGGTTTTGATTTGCATTTCTCTGATGGCCAGTGATGACGAGCATTTTTTCATGTGTTTTTTGGCTGCATAAATGTCTTCTTTTGAGAAGTGTCTGTTCATGTCCTTCGCCCACTTTTTGATGGGGTTGTTTGTTTTTTTCTTGTAAATTTGTTTGAGTTCATTGTAGATTCTGGATATTAGCCCTTTGTCAGATGAGTAGGTTGCGAAAATTTTCTCCCATTTTGTAGGTTGCCTGTTCACTCTGATGGTAGTTTCTTTTGCTGTGCAGAAGCTCTTTAGTTTAATTAGATCCCATTTGTCAATTTTGGCTTTTGTTGCCATTGCTTTTGGTGTTTTGGACATGAAGTCCTTGCCCATGCCTATGTCCTGAATGGTAATGCCTAGGTTTTCTTCTAGGGTTTTTATGGTTTTAGGTCTAACGTTTAAATCTTTAATCCATCTTGAATTGATTTTTGTATAAGGTGTAAGGAAGGGATCCAGTTTCAGCTTTCTACATATGGCTAGCCAGTTTTCCCAGCACCATTTATTAAATAGGGAATCCTTTCCCCATTGCTTGTTTTTCTCAGGTTTGTCAAAGATCAGATGGTTGTAGATATGTGGCGTTATTTCTGAGGGCTCTGTTCTGTTCTATTGATCCCCCATCTCTTCTTCTTCTTCTTATTCTTTTTGAGATGGAGTTTCCCTTTTATTGCCCAGGCTCGAGTGCTGTGGCGTTATCTTGGCTCACTGCAACTTCTGCCTCCTGGGTTCAAGTGATTCTCCTGCCTCAGCCTCCCATGTAGCTGGGATTGCAGGTGCCTGCCACCATGCCTGGCTGATTTTGTATTTTTAGTAGAGATGGGGTTTCTCCATGTTTGCCAGGCTGGTCTTGAACTCCTGACCTCGTGATCCACCCACCTTGGTCTCCCAAACTGCTGGGATTATAGGCGTGAGCCACCGCCCTGGCCTCTTCATCTTAATTTATAAATTCTCCTGAGGGAAGACAAAGCTATGAAATACATTTATCTCATCAGAGACAGATTAGTGAATATTTCCTGGTTAATCACAGAAAGTGCCTGTGGTCACTTTCATAACTACTTTTGAAATACTTTTAAGCTACTAAAATACATTTCAGCAATATTAGAGAAATCAGTCATAGGAAAACAATGAGCTGCTCCCACATGGGTACTTTGGCCCATTTCCTCCTCTCTTTTCTCAGGGACGCTTTGTTTTTAGTAGTCTCAGGGCTGGCAGACTCAAAAGGCCTGTGGGGGCCAGACCAAGAAGTGAAATGTGGGAATCAGGCAAGACGTGAGAGAACCCTGCAGAGTCCAGGGCAGCGGGGAGTGGTGGGGACTGTGACCACGTCACCTACTTCCCTGCAGGGGCAGCCTGGATTCAGTGCCCACTGAATTTCCTGGGCTCAGTGCTGCTAGATCTTTGGATTTTTCAAAAGATGTTAGAAAACCAGATTCTCATGTAGAATCTTCTGGTTTTAAAAACTGGCCTCTTTTTTTTTTTTTTTTTGAGACAGGGTCTCACCGTCACCCAGGCTGGAGTGCAGTGGCACAAACATGTCCCATTGCAGCCAGGACCTCCCCAACTGGGCTCAAGCAGTTCTCCCACCTCAGCCTCCCGAGTAGCTGGGACTACAGGCACATATGACCACAACCTGCCCTAAAAGTGGCCATTTAATTCAACATTTTCCATTTTCATGTGTGCTAATACTGAGTAGACCAAACAAAATGTGTGTGGGCTGTGAATTTCCTACCGAATTTTCGACGAATGTATTTGATCCCCTTTTCACTCCCCAAACGTCCAAAAGGCATCTCCCCATCGCCCCGCCTCATGAGCAGAAAGTAACAAACCAGAGGACCCTCCCCTTCTCACTCCGTGGGGGACATGGTTACACCCACGGCTTATAATGGTAGCAATGATGGGGCTGGAGTGGTCATCGGATTCAGTGGCTCACGCCTGTTAACCTCTCACTTTCAGAGGCCAAGTCAAGAGGATCACTTGAGCCCAGGAGTTCGAGATCAGCCTGGGCAACAGAGCGAGACCTCATCTCTACAAAGACAATTTAAAAAAAAATTTCTGGGCATGGTGGTGTACATCTGTCATTCTAGCTACGCAGGAGGTAGGAGCATTGCTTGAGCCCAAGAGATTGAGGCTGCAGTGAGCTATGATCATGACACTGCATTCCAGCCTGGGTGACATAGCAAGACTCTGTCTCAAAAAAAAAGAATGGAACAACTTTAATAAATAAAAATATAATAGTTACAAAGAATGAAATTTTAATACAAAATAAAAAGTAGTTACAAAGAAAAGAGTAAAAGATGATGGTGATAGTGATGGTAGTGATGAAGGTGATGATGATGTAATGGTGATGGTAGTGATGATGATGTAATGGTTGTGATAGTGATGATGTAATGGTTGTGATAGTGATGATGTAATGGTTGTGATAGTGATGATGTAATGGTTGTGATGAGGTGATGGTGATGAGGTGATGGCAGTGATGATGATGTAATGGTCATGATAGTGGTGATGTAATGGTGGTGATGTAATGGTGGTGATGAGGTGATGGTGGTGATGTGATGGTGGTGATGGTGGTGATGAGGTGATGGTGGTGATGAGGTGATGGTGGTGATGTGATGGTGGTGATGGCAATGAGGTGATGGTGGTGGTGGTGATGAGGTGATGGTGGTGATGAGGTGATGGTGGTGATGTGATGGTGGTGATGGCGATGAGGTGATGGTGGTGATGGTGGTGAGGTGATGGTGATGGTGGTGGTGAGGTGATGGTGGTGATGAGGTGATGGTGGTGATGGAGGTGATGGTGGTGATGTGATGGTGGTGATGGCGATGAGGTGATGGTGGTGATGGTGGTGAGGTGATGGTGATGGTGGTGGTGAAGTGATGGTGGTGGTGAGGTGATGGTGGTGATAAGGTGGTGAGATGATGGTGGTGATGTGATTGTGGTGATGATGTAACCACCGTTACATATGTGGTTACATCATATGTAATGATAGTGGTGATGTAATGGTGATGAGGTGATGGTGGTGAGGTGATGGTGGTGATGGTCATGGTGATGATGATGTAATGGTGATGGGGGTGATGGTGATGTAATGGTGGTGATGGTGATGTAATGGTGGTGACGGTGATGATGATGTGTTGGTGGTGATGGTGATGCGATGATGGTTGTGATAGTGATGATATAATGGTAGTGATGAAGGTGATGATGTCATGGTGATGAGGTGATGGTGGTGATGGTCATGGTGATGATGGTGTAATGGTGGTAATGGTGATGAGGTGATGGGGGTGGTGGTGATGAGGTGATGGCGGTGGTGGTGATGAGGTGATGGCGGTGGTGGTGATGAGGTGATGGGGGTGGTGGTGATGAGGTGATGGGGGTCGTGGTGATGAGGTGATGGCGGTGGTGGTGATGAGGTGATGGTGATGTAATAGTCGTGATAGTGATGATGTGTTGGTGATGGTGATGCGATAATGGTTGTGATAGTGATGATGTAATGTTAGTGATGAAGGTAATGATGATGATGAAACGGTGATGAGGTGATGGTGGTGATGGTCGTGGTGATGATGATGTAATGGTTGTGATAGTGATGATGTAATGGTGGTAATGGTGATGATGGTGATGAGGTGATGGTGATGGTGATGTAATGGTCATGATAGTGATGATGTAATAGTAGTGATGAAGGTGATGATGATGATGATGTAATGGTGATGAGGTGATGGTGGTGATGGTCATGGTGATGATGATAACTAGCACCTACAAAGTGTTTATTAGGTGCCAGGGGCCTTTTCAGGCAGTTTTCTTTCATTAGCTTATTTAATCTTCCTGACAATCCCACAAGGAAGGTGCTAAAATCCCTCCTTCACAGATGAAGCTGGGGGCGCGGAGGCACTATGCCACATCCCAAAGGCCACACAACATAGAGTGTTGGGCCTTGCCTTTGCTTGCCCAGCTAGCCTGGGGATGGAGTCGGTGCACTGAATCATTGCAGAACTGTGCACCTCTCATTGATGGTGGCATTTGATATTTAACATGTTGGTTATTTAATCCCCCAGCTGTATTGTAAATTCTTGAACAAAAAGTAGTCACTCCTAATGACTTTTATATCTGCCCCTTGAACATTCTTAAGTATAGAAGAGGACGTTAACAAATACCTGTTGACATCATGCTTTTACAGTCAGTCACAGTGGAGGTGGCATTCAGTTATTCATTCATCAAACACATTCTCCACACAGCTTTGTGGCATGATAGTGTTAAGGGCGTTGGAATGAATGAACTAGACAAATGCCCTGCTCTCGGGAGACTTGGAGTCTAGGTCAGAGCCCAGATTACACCAGAACCACATAGAAGGCTTGAAAGACAGAGGGCTGGGCCCCTCCTCCAGTTTCTGATTCAGCAGGTCCTGGGTTTGGGCAGAGAATGTGCATTTCTTTCAGGGCCCTGGGTGATGCTGGTGGCGCTTTGAGAACCACTGGTCTAGATCAAGCGAAGGCAGTGTGGTAACAAATAAGATGTTATGGCTTAAGAAACCCACAACCATCTCTAAGCTGGCCAGCAGCTGGCAAATGCTTGTGCTCACCAGAGCCGCTCATGGTGCCATGCGTCATCCCTCTTGGGGGATGCATGCTTCCTGACTGCAGGTGGGCGGGCGTGGCAGGAAGAGCATGGGCTGGAATCACACACTATCTGCCTCTGCCACCTCTGGGCTGTGTGTTCTTAGGCAAACAGTCTGACTTCTCTGAGCTCCCACTTCTTCACCTTTGAAATGAAGGAAACAAGATTCATTCATTCAGGTGTGCAATACTAGTTTATTGAGGGTCCACTATGTACCAGGCACAGAAAATACAATAGTGAACAAAACAGATTAAAAAAAATCCCTGCCCCTGTGCCTTCTAGTGGGAGCAGAAAAGCCAGCAAAATAAATGAGTAAAGGCATCTGCTGTATTCAAAGGTAGGGAGTGCTATGGAGACAGCAGAGGAGGAGGGAGGGAGGTGGAGGGGTTTGTAATTTTAGTTGGATGTTTAGGGAAAGCTTCTCTGAAAGACCTTACGTGGGTGAGGAAGTGAGCCACGTGGGTATTCACGGAAGAGAGTGCCAGGCAGAGGGAGCAGCAGGTGCAAAGGTCCTGAGGTCGGTGGTGGTGGTGGTGGTGAAGTGAGAGTGACTGAGCCAGGGAGGGAGGAGAGGCCAGGTCATGCAGAGCCTTTCGGGCCTTTGGTTTAACTCTGAGATGGGAAGTCATTAAAAGGTGATATGCAAAATAATAGTGTGTGGCTTATTTTTTGGTGTTGTGACTTCTGGCCACCATGTTGACAGCTTACTAATGGGGAGTAAGAACAGACCAGGAGAAACCCATTGAGAGGCCATTCTCATAACCCGGCGAGGAATGGTGATGACTCAGGCCAGGCTTATAGCAGTAGCTGTGGAGAAAGTACTTACGTTCCGGGTATGTCCTGAAGTCAGAGTCCACAGGACAAAGAGAACAGAGGAAGGAAGGCGACAGGTCTGAGGCCTGAGCCGCGAGAGCCTGGAATTGCCACCTACTGGCACGGGAGGGCTGTGGGGTGGGGAGACTGGCAGGAAGGCCAGGAGCTCGGCTTCATTCTGGATGCTCTTATGATGCCTCTGAGACCTCCACTGGGACAGGCTGGGTGGGCAGTGGGGGTGAGCATGGACCTTGGAGGAGGGAGCTGGGATGGAGATGGAACTTTTGGAGTTTATGTAAAATCAACTCTTAAGACAGCAGTGATCTGAGAGTAAGGTTGGAAACCATTGCTGGAGCAGATGGGGCCCCTGTGTGGGCTTCAGCTCACCAGATCCACGCCCCCCACCCTGTTGTGTTTGAACCTGACTCCCGGCACACCCCTGTGTGACCTGGGACCACGGGGCATTTCAGTTGATGACCCAGAGGCTGCCACCCTTGAGCTAGTCTCTTTTGTATGTGACAAACACACTGCTCTGTCCAGGACCTGCCTGTCTTGGAAACCATCACCCCCAGTGCCTGGCCCATGAATATGAGCAGGTGAAGGGCAGGATGAGGGTGCGGCCACGAGGCCCCTGCCTCAGTGCACAGTGTGTGGGTGGCACTGAAAAAAGCTGGAGCCAAGATAGGAGATATTTTAATATATATCTATATATACATACACACACACACACAAACAAACACACACACACACACACACACCATTGCTGGGTCTCACTCTGTCTCCCGGGCTGTTTCTCGGCTCACTGCAACCTCCGCCCCCAGGGTTCAAGCGATTCTCCTGCCTCAGCCTCCCAAGTAGCTGGGATTACAGGTGCCCACCACCACGCCCAGCTAATTTTTGTATTTTTAGTAGAGATGGGGTTTCACCATGTTGGCCAGGCTGGTCTCAAACTTCTGACCCCAAGTGATCTGCCTGCCCCAGCCTCTCAAAGTGTTGAGATTACAGGCATGAGCCACTGCACCTGGTCTTAATGCAGTATTTAAAATATCAAAATTAATGTGCAGTCCCTGATGAACAAAATATCAAATTTTCAAATAAAGCCGATGTATTAGTCTGTTCTCACGCTGCTAATAAAGACATACCTGGGACTGAGTAACTTACAAAGGAAAGAGGTTTAATGGACTCACAGTTCCACATGGCTGTGGAGGCCTCACAATCATGGTGGAAAGTGAAGGGGAGGGAAGACACATCTTACGTGGCGGCAGCCAAGAGCACTTGTGCAGGGGAACTGCCCTTTCATAAAACCATGAGACCTCATGAGACTTATTCACCACCATGAGAACAGCATGGGGGAAACCACCCCCATGATTCAATCATCTCCACCTGGCCCCGCCCTTGACATGTGGGGATTGTTACAATTCAAGGTGAGATTTGGGTGGGGACACAGCCAAACCATATGGGGTCAATATTACTTTTTTTTTTTTTTTTAAATGGAGTCTTGCTCTGTCACCCAGGCTGGAAGGCAGTGGTGTGATCTTGGTTCACTGCAACCTCTGTCTCCCGGGTTCAAGTGATTCTCCTGCCTCAGCCTCCCAAGTAGCTGGGATTACAGGCACCTGCCACCATGCCCGGCTAATTTTTTTTTTTTTTTTTTTTGTATTTTTGGTAGAGACAGTGTTTTACCATGTTGGCCAGGCTGGTCTTGAACTCCTGACCTCAGGTGATCGCCTGCCTCGCCTTCCCAGACTGAATATTACTTATTTTGAATTTGGCCCCAGGCTGTGAGCCATACTGATCTGGTCTTTATTAAGTGATGGTTTTGCCTCCCTTGCCTCCCTCGAGCTCTGGTTCCTATATTGTGGCCAGGGAACTGTTGGACCCTTCACCATCGCTTCTGGTCTGATGGTGAACACGACCATTGCTGGGTCCACTCATCTAGTATTTATTGACCGGGCACGAGTGTGAGGCCTTAGTACACAGGACAGATAAGGTGCTTTTACTCAATGAGCTTGTGCTCAATGGGGGAGTGTGCTGGGGGTCCCTAAGACCACCTCCAGGTTTGCTGATTCTCTCAGGACTCACAGGACTCAGCCCACAGTCATACTCACAGCTATGAGGGTTTTACTCTGGCAAAAGTATTCAAGCAAACCAGCAAAACCAGCAAAGGGAAGAAGAGCATGGGGCCAGGTCCAGAGGCAACCAGACACACGCTCCCAAGAGCCGCTCCCAGTGGGGTCACACAGGACGTGCCTAACGAGTTGTGACAATAGGTGTGAAACGTCATCTACCAGGGAAGCTCATCAGAGAGTCAGGGCCCAGGGTTTTTACTGAGGACTGGTCACGTCGGCACCCTCTGCCCAGCATGTACCAAAATTCCAGGCTCTCATAAGGAAAGCAGACACCTAGTCCAAACCACATTGTTTCTAGAAAAGGCCAGCCACTGTGAACCCTCTTATTAGCCAGGGAATGGGATAAGCCCTCCTGATCCAAGATCGCACAACCAGCCGGGCTTGCAATCAGCCCTTCCTCAAAAGCGGGGCTCAGACGTGCCGTGTGAGCTCTTTTCTGCACCAGACCAAGAACAAACAACTGAAGCAACAGGCTACGATGCCCCACCCCTTCCTCACAACTCTGATATTCAAAAGGCCCTGAAAACCAAAAGATCCTGAGAAATAACTGATTTGTCCTTGAAATCTGAACCAATGGATGTGAGACAACTTCTCATCTTTTTTTAATCCCACTTGATTTGTATTTACATATTTCACCGCAGAACTATGAATATATTTAATAATGAAAGACGGTGTCAGACACCACTGGGAGCATTAGTTATGTTTGGTGCACATCTTATAAATCCAAGCCTTTCTGAATCTCTGCACATGTTCAGCCCTAGGGCTCCAGATGAGGACCTGCGACTTCAGATAGTGGAGCGTGCAGTGGAAGGCACAAGCCAAGTGTGGAGACGGGGCAGGGTGAGGGACTCGGTCGTTGGGTAGCGAGGGGAAGTCTCTGAGAAGGGGGCATTTGCGCTGAGAGCTGAATGTCAAGGAATGAGCTAACGTGAAGATCCAAGGGAAGCCTGTTCAGGCAGAGGGGCCCACAGTGCACAGGCCCCAAGGCTGGAGCAAGTTTGCTATGATCGAGAAACAGAACACAGGCATGTACGACTGGGGCCAGGAGAACAGGTCTGTGCATGGCTGAAGATGCAGCTGGAGAGTCAGGTCAAGGCGAGGTTGGACAGGTGAGGCAGGGGCAAAGCTGCAGAAGGTCTTGGATGTCAGGCAGGTTTGCACTTTGTACTGCTGGCAGCTGGGAGCCATGTTGGATTCTAGGGCAGAGCAGCAGCCATCCAGAATGATGCTTGAGAAAGATGATTCTGGAAACGGGGCAGAAGGCATTGGGTAGACCAGAGGCCAGTAGAGGCAGAGAACAGGAAGGTTCAGAAGTGGATGGATGGAATCCTCTGAGCTTCTGCCCCAGCTCAGGCCCTGACCCATGCCTCCTCATCAGCTTCCAAGCCTGCACTACCTTTACTTTCCTGGAATCTCTGAATCCTGTGAATAATTTGCCACAGTGTGCTACTGGGTGATAATGGCTTAATGTGAAACCATCCAGTTCACATCTGCCTTTCAGAGAAGATATTTTTTTCCCCAGCTTTGTTGAGGTATAATTGACAAGTAAAAACCGTAGCTATATAAGATGTATGGCAGGGTGTTTGATGATGTAGACATTGTGAAATGATTACCACTATCAAGCTAATCGGCATATAGTTACCTGTATACCACAAAGGTTACGTTACTATATAGCTATTGTTTCGCATAATTACCATTGTTTAAAGAGATGTTTCACATTAGCTCTGAGGGTTGGCGGGTGGGGAGGGATTGAATTTCAAATGAGATGGAGGGATGTCAGCTTCCCGTTTATTGCACCATAAAGGCATTTTTAATTATAATATTGACAATAACAATATAATGATGATAATAATAGCAATAACGTGGCTGATATAGTTTAGCTTTGTGTCCCTGCCTAAATCTCATCTTGAATTGTAATCCCCACGAGTCAAGGGAGGGACCTGGTGGGAGGCGACTGGATTATGGGGCAGTTTCCCCCATGCTGTTCTCGCGATAGTGAGGGAGTTCTCATGAGCTCTGGTGGTTTCAAACATGGCGGTTTCCTCTGCATGCTTGTGCTCTCTCCTGCTGCCTTGTAACATGTGCTTTGCTTCCCCTTGACCTGCTGTGACTGTAAGTTTCCTGAGGCCTCCCCAGCCATGTGGAACTGTGAGTCCCTTAAACCTCCTTTCTTTAAAAATTACCCAGTCTCAGGTAATATCTTTAAAGCAGTGTGAGAAGGGATGAATACAGTGGCAGTTATAATTATAGCTAGCGTTTATTAGGCACCATTTTCCACCCAGTGAGCCACATATGGTTCTAATCAAATCTGTCACCATAGCTGCCCTGTAAGTCAGGCACCGTTACCATCCCTGTTTTACAGATGAGAAGACAGGTGCAGAGAGCTTGAGGCACATGTACAAGGTCACACAGTGAATAGAGGGGACTGGATTTGAACCTGAGCCTCTGGTGTATGCTCAGAGTAACAGCGCTTAGTGGAGAAAGGGGTGAGTCATTCTACCAGACAAGAAAGGAGAAATCCTTCAACGCAGCCCATGGTGACCTTGCAAACCTCAGGCTGCAGCCGGGACATTTTGTCTCCTCTGTGAAGGTCTGGGCCATCCCCTTCGCTTCTCTTTGTCCCCATCTCTGTCCAGAAGTTCCTGTTCCACCCCGCGACTCCTGCCACACTGTCGGTCTCTTTCTACATGGAGATATTTGCTCCCAGGCACTGCGCCTGGACACGCGATGGAAACACGCCATCCTGCAATCTCCATCCTGGTGTGATTCGTTTAGGACTCGGAGCTTGTGTTTGTGGCATGTGGTGCGCACATATGCCTCTCGGCGCTCGGCGGGGCTCCTCCTCGCTGCTGCTGGCAGTTTGTGCTAAGGACTCCCTGCCGTCCTCCCTGTCCTGCCAGCTCGTGCTTCATCCTCATCTCTCCATTTTCCAGACCCAGGGAGGCTCGGGTTTACCAGCCACTTGGCTGGGAGGACTGAATAGTCTGGCTTGATTCTCTTTCCTGGGTGATTGCTTTGGTTCTGGGTATGAGCAAGTGCACATGCAGGGGCCATCTGCTTCCCGCGGGAGGAGATACTTAGCCCGCACAGCTTGGATGCCGGCATGCAGCTGGCCACCTGCCAGCTGCCCACGGGTAGTGTGTTTAGGGCTCTGAGGGTCATGCGCCAACCTGCTGAGGATCTAGAAGCACAGCTCACAGCGATTCTCAAAGCATGCAGGGCCATTGCTCTTGGAAGCAAATGCCCATGTCTATGGTCATGAAACTCTCCGTTCCTGTTTGTAGTTTTTGCTTTGGGCCTGTGGTTTTGGTTACACATTAAAAGATACAGAAAGGTAAAAAAGACGTCTTCTCATGCTCAGGATACAAAGCAAGGTTCCTACCGTGGCCTACAAGGTACGATCTGCAGCCCCCTCCTCCCCCTCACCTGTCCGCAGCCCCTTTGCCTAACGGTCCCCCCGCACCAGCCTCCCTGCAGAGTACACAGTTCCCACTGTGATGTCTCCACACTGGCAGTTGTTCTGTCCACCATGCTCCTCCTCACTGCAAAGAGCCACCCAGCTCACTCCCTCATTCTCCTCTGCTCTGAATTCAAATATCCGGGGGTGTCCTGTTAACCAGCTTTCCGGGGAAGTAAAGAAAAAGCCCAGAACATTTTGCTGTGCAGTTTGCCCATTCCCACAGTGTAAATATTTCCACCACGATTATTTTCAAGTTACCAGATGACTTCAACAGACACGACTTAGGAGGAGATCTTCCTGTGAGCCCATGTGAGCGGCTCCAGGGCAGCCACATCTGAGCAGCCTCTGCTGACCACTCTGTCTCCTTCATCCTCCATCCCCTTCATGGTGCTTTGTGTTTACAGTGCTTATCACTACTTAGCATGTTGCATCTATGTGCTAGGTAGCACGCTGCACGACGAGGAGAACAAAGCTTTGTGTGTTTCATGCACATTTGGATCCCCAGTGCCTAGAACAGGGCCCGACAGTTGCAGGCAGGAATGGGTCACGTAGTTATTATAGGTGAATGCATACACTGTAACGTTGGTGAAAGTAGAAAGAGATGTGTTCACTGATGGGGACTTGGCTTTACTTTGATGGAAATGTCACATGAATATTGCTTAAAAGGGTTGGAGGGGAAGAATTCTATTCCTATATCTGCCTGGAGAGTTTAACTCACACCATAGCAGCAAACAGCCCCCAACCTCTCAAGTGTGTTTCTTGCCTCTGCGGCATGTCCATTGGGTTGGTGGGAACTTCTGTTCACTGTTGTTCCTCAGGGACCCCAGCAACTCTAGTACTGTGAGCATTGTAGGCTACTGCCGGGGGTGGGGGTGGGGGGTGTGATTCTGGAGGACTTGGCACAGGGCATCTGGGGGTGGGGTTGGGGGGTGTGATTCTGGAGGACTTGGCACAGGGCGTCTGGGGGTGGGGGTGGGGGGTGTGATTCTGGAGGACTTGGCACAGGGCGTCTGGGGGTGGGGTTGGGGGATGTGATTCTGGAGGACTTGGCACAGGGCGTCTGGGGGTGGGGGTGGGGGGTGTGATTCTGGAGGACTTGGCACAGGGCGTCTGGGGGTGGGGGTGGCGGTGGGGGGTGTGATTCTGGAGGACTTGGCACAGGGCATCAGCACTCAGGTCTTCTGCTCACAACGCATGGGTGAGACCTGGCCGCATGGGCCTAGCTAATGAAGGGGTCTAGGAAGTTGTCTTCCCTGTGAGTGGACAGAGGGAACCAGGCTTGGCAAGCAGTGGGTGACGGCCACAGTGCCTAGAGCACAAGGAGGTGGTGGCAGAGGGGTTGTGAGCCCTGGGGTGGGCGGTGGGGCTGCTCAGGGCTTCCGATGCCCTCTCTGGAGTCCTTGAGAAAAGCCAGGGACCACTGTTCAGTCTTCCTGTGCTCCCAGCCGTTTGAACTTTGATGTGCTGCAGATGGCTGGAGCTTGTGAGACCTCAGACCAGAAAGGGGAAGCTGCCTGCGGCCTACCAGGTTCAGCGATGCATCTCCATGTCTCTCACACACACTGGGAGCTTTTATGTAAAAGATAAAATGATGGCAACCACAGACTTCTTTAAAAGGAAATAACTTGCCCCAGAATTCTCTCATGTCATTGGCAATAGAATGAGATGAGAATTTGACTCTGTTGTGGGGGGTTTTCTTAGGCTGACTGGAGAATAGGAGCTCCTTGAGGCTGAGTTCCTAGGGAAGGAGGTAGCTCGCCATGTGTGTGGTGTCCCCCTCGGTGATGAACATGGGGGTTGTGGATGTCACCGCCCACCGCCACCCCCCCAACAGGACAGCTGCTGCTGTTTCTCAAAATGCTGCATCTTGCATTTATTTAGCTCCAGCCAGAAACAAAATAGTGTTTATGACAAGGTTTTATTTTGATCTGTTTGATAATTTTTTCTCATTTAGATTTCCTTGTTTGCTAGTTATGTTTCACTCTAAATCCCTCTGAAGGGGGGAAAGTAAGCTTGACCTCCCCGCGTGCCATCCCTTAGCGTGGTGATAATCCCTCGATGTGAAAACCCACTCTAGGAGACAGACCCAGCTGCTTAGTTCTCTGCTTGCCATTTTCCTTCCCGTCAGAATTGGCAACTCTTTCCCTTCTTCACTTCTGAATTCCATGTGTGCCTGCAGGGATGTGGGTGGAGGCTGGAAAGTGAGCTGGAGGGGAGCATGTTGGGGGAACTTGCTGGGGATGGGATTTCTGTGTGGACAGCCATGCTCCAGGCCTGGATCAGCCTAGAGCGCTTTCAAAATGACCCACATCCCAAAGTTTGGCAGCTCGGCTGTGTCATGCTGACTTGGCTTCCTGCGTTTCTCCACTTGCACCCTCCTGCCCCACTCCTGCACCCATGTCCTTGGCTACCCCTGTCACTGAGGACCAGACACAGCCATCACCCCCCCAGGTGGGGGTCAGCCCACCCTGCCCTGTCCTAGAGTCACATCTCTGAACTTCAAAGACTGTTCAGACCCATCACCAATGTCTAATTAGACCCAGCTCAGAGAATCGCTAATACATTTATGCAGCTCACTTTCTGATCACGTCTATATCTCCAGTAAGCACACGCACCTCACACTTGCACACCCACATGCACCCACGCACGCACCCACGCACACACCCACGCACACACTCACACGCACACAGTCGCACACACACGCGCGAACACTTATCTGTCTTTAAAAGTATCATACTAACAGTAAAGAACATTTAAAAATATTGACCTCTGATCCTACTGCAATCCAACAGTTATTTTTGCAATCATCGTCTCTATGCTCCGAGTCTTTTACTTTGTTATTTACAATATATAAATATAAAAATATAATATACATGAAGTATGCAATAAATATAGAATAAGTATAGATACATAGAATAAATACATATATACCTTTTTTTGGGATGAAGCCATTGCTATAGGGGGCCTGCAGTGTTGCTTCACTGATTTCTCAAAGGCTGCCATGTCTGCTTTGTGGTCTGACCACGTTTTGGGGCAGGCGCTGGGCACTTGAACTGGATCTGCTTGGCTGCAGCCAGCAGTGGCTGTGGGAAGAAGGCTTCGTCACTCGCAGCTGCCGTGGACAGCTCTGTCCCCCCGGGGGGAAGGATGCCCTGTGGCGGAATCTGGGTCCCTCCTCACAGCTCCCACAGCCCTCCTGACCCTGCTCCTACCCTGGCTCCTGCCTCGCTCCACCTGTCCCCTGAGTTGGTGGGTGCATCCCTCTGGCCCCGTCCCGTGGTGACAGTGCATACAGGTCGTCCTGCTGCACACGCGCTGGCTGTGTGCCAGCGTTCCCCAGAGCAGTGCCCCTTCTCCACCGAGAAACCCTGTGAGTCCCTGCACAGCCTCTGGATTAATTAACTCGAATGAGCATAAGCTGCCTTCTTCTGTTTGCATCTCTTGTGTCTGTTTTGTAGCAGTGCTTTCTATAACAGCACATCATGCTGTGGAAATCGGTGTCACATCCCTGCCCCTGTCAGCTTTCTAGAATCATCCAGCAAGTTCACGCAGCCCAGTAAAACCTGCACACAGGGGAAAGGGATGGAAGAATCAGGTCGTCTCCAGCCGCCTTGTAAAGGATGAGTCCACCGTCAGGCCCAGGGAGCCGAGTGTCCAAGGAAGGTCCCTTCTATACCTGATGCTCATGCGAGCCGGGAAGAAGGAAAATCAATGGGTTTTTTGTGACTGCTGGTTGCGGGGGTGATTCCATGTTTGGGGTTACTGTGAGTGCATTTGGGACTCAGGAGCGCCTGGGTCTTCAAAGGCATCTTTTGCTGATGTGTCCAAGTAGCTGGGACCTCCGTGGTGCGTGCAGTGGGAGGCCCCTCCTCCTAACACGTCTGTGGGTTTTCCGGCCGCTTTGTCCCTGTCACCCGTGCTAAGTTTCCTTCATCCCCGGCCTTCCTCATAACTCCTGGCCATGCTGTTTCACGCACTGGGGGTGGAGCAGGGAACTGAAGTGAGTCTGCTCTCAGAGCACCTGCTAGCTGGGAGACAAACAGTAGATACACCAATGGCTAAGGCTGGCATGGATGCAGCTGTGCAGGAGCAGCGAAGGGGTAGAGGTGACCGAGGGCGCCGGGACAGGCCGACCATCTGAGTGCAGCCAGGGACGGTGCTCAGGGTGGAGGGGGCTCTAGGGGTGTCCAGGTGGGAAGGGGCAGCATGTACAGCCCCGAGGTGGGCTCCCTGGGTGTGTGAGGGGGCCACAGGGAGGCCAGTGTGGGGCAGCAGAGTGAGTGAAGGGGACACAGCAGATGGCAGGTCTGAGAGGCCATGGGGGCCAGATACAAACAGCCTTGGAGGCCACAGTGAGGTTCCCGTTTTGTCCCAAGTGGGGTGGGACGGCACAGGAGGGTCTTGAGTATGCAGGTGGTGCCAACTGTCTGAGCATTAAGAGGTTACTGTGGAGTTCGAGATCAGCCTGGCCAACATGGTAAAACCCCGTCTCTATTAAAAATATAAAAATTAGCTGGGCATGGTGGCGGGCGCCTGTAATTCCAGCTACCCGGGAGGCTAAGGCAGGAGAATCGCTTGAACCTGGGAGGCGGAGGTTGCAGTGAGCCGAGATTGTGCCATTGCACTCCAGCCTGGGCAAAAAAGTGAGACTCTGTCTCCAAAAAAAAAAAAAAAAAAAATGTTACTATGGGTAGCAGTAGCACACACGGCAGCTGAGTCTTGTGTGTGGCAGCGAACACGTGGTCAAAAACCACTAAACATCTAGTGTCAGGGAGTTGCAGTTCCTAGACCTGCCAGGGTGGTTCCCCTTGCGGGGACCCATGCATGGCTGTTTTCTGTCATGGCCTCCCACTTCCCCTCCCCTGGCTGAGCTACTTCTCTCCCCCCCATCTCTAGTAACCCCCCAGTCTTTCTCCCTTTATGATGCAGACCCAGTAAAGCCTATATCTCTCTTTCCTCCTCCTTCCGGAACTCAGCCCTCTTCCCGCCATGGATTAGCCCCTTCCCTCAAGTGCCAAAACAATGACCGCAGCACGTTTTTTCTCGTGACATTTTTTTCTCAGTTCCTGCCATAAATTCAGTTCTAAGCTCCATGAGGGCAGGGCCTTTGCCTGTTTCTTCCCCATCTTTGTGTTCCTGGCACCAGCGACATCCCCCAATGCGTAGCAGGCCTTCAGTAAGCACTTGTGGAGTTAATTTCTCCTTTATCCACCTGCTTAAAGAAAAGCACCTGCCCACTCTAATTGCTGCAGTTATTTTTATTCTGTGACCTTGTTGATTATTCCCAGTCATCATCATGTTCATGAAAGTGCATAAGAAGGAACTGATGTTGCGCTTAACACTGTTCTCATTGGGTCAGAGTCCTATATGACTGTGTGTGGTGGGAACTGCTAGAGTCACTGCTCCACAGAGGGTGGGGAGCAGGCAGACTAGACGACTCCTCCACAGTGCAGAGAGCAGGCAGTCTAGACGACTCGTCCACAGCCACACAGAGCAGGTGTCGCGCAGGCAGTCTAGCCAAGGTCTGTCCTCACCTCTTACCTGTCACCTTCTGTTGCTCCTGTTTTATGCTGTTCCTCAGGTGTTGACATATCAGTGTTTTCCTCCTTTCTGAAGTTTGTTCCCGTAAAGAGCTTAAAATTTCAGGGTTTTTGTTTGGTCTCTTTTTTTGAGACAGAGTCTAGCTCTGTTGCCCAGGCTGGAGTGCAGTGGTGTGATCTCAGCTCACTGCAACCTCCGCCTCCTGGGCTCAATCTATCCTCCCACCTCAGCCTCCCAACTAGCTGGGCCTTCGGGTGCAAGCCACCATACCCGGCTAATTTTTTTGTGTTTTTTATAGAGACGGGCCTTTACCATGTTGCGCAGGCTCATCTCAAACTCCTAGGCTCAAGTCATCCTCCTGCCTTGGCATCCTAAAGTGCTAGGATTACAGGTGTGAGTCACTATACCTGGCCTAAAATTCCAGGTTTTAATACATCACAGAGAGAGAGGAAAGAGAGTGGATCTTCCTGTCAAGCAGATCCGGGCTGTGCTTTGGTATTTCGGAAATAATCAAGGTGTGTGATTTTCATACAAACATGATGGCATTCCTTCCTCATAAAGGTGTGTGTGAAATGAGTGTGTGCAGAGTAAGGTAGGTTTCCAATGAGTTCATTATTTATATAAACCATTAAGTAGATGCCTTTTAAATGCAAATAATTGGCCGTGTCATGTTGTATCAGGCCATATACGTATTACTGTAAAGAAATACCTGAGACTGGGTAGTTTATAAAGAAAACAGGTTTAATGGGCTCATGGTTCTGCAGGGTGTACAGGAAGCATGGCTGGGGAGGCCTCAGGAAACGCTCAGTCATGGCGGAAGGTGAAGAGGGAACAGGCGTCTTGCACAGTGAGTGCAGGAGCGAGAGAGAAGAGGGAGGGGCTGCACGCTTTTAAATGGCCAGATCTCGTGAGAACCCACTATCAGGAGAATAGCTCCAAGGCTATGGTATAAACCATGATCCAATCACTTCCCACCAGGCTGCACCTGCAACCCTGGGGCTTGCAATTCAACATGAGATGTGGTGGGGACGCAGATCCAAACCATAGCGCATGTCAGTTTATGTAGACAGGTATTTGTTCCAGTTGGGGACAGCTGGTTTTAGGTTGCGTGGCTCAGCCCCAGCTTTCTCAAGGGTCACTGGAGTGCGGTGAGTTTTTGGAGAAGAACTGGGCGTGAGAAGAAGGAGCCTGGGATTCTGTTAGTGAGATGGCTGGAGGGGGACGCTTTGCTCTTTAAGCTAACAAGGCTTTCTCTTCTCTGGAAGCTGCCTCCTGATGTTTCTTCATGAGTCCGATGCCTGCCGTTCAGGTCGTGACCGAGGTCATGCTGTTCATGTGGTGACACGGTTCACTTAGAGCCGGATGAGGCTGTCCCAGGGCCCAGGGAGCTGACATGTCCTGGACTAGCAGTGTGTGGACTGTCTAGTAGGTGTTCCCAGTCTGCTTCATGTGATCCTATGAGAATAAGGTTTTATACACGGAACTGAAGACAGTCATAAAATACATGAGGATGTCCTGTCTGCTCCAGCTTCTCGGTGGGGGGTCTCCAAGGCAGTAGATGTCAGATAGGTGCCCTGTCACTAACACACAGCTCCAATAGTTACAATGGCTGTGTGAGGAGGGCACGTGGCATTTTAGAAATCAACTCTAGGAATTCGGGTTTTTTTCCATTGGATAATGCCCTGGGATCCAGAAATAGCTTTCCTACTCAGCAGATGCCCTCTTGGCACTCAAATAATTCTGCCCACCTCACAGGAGCTGGCTGGAAAAAAAGAGTTTGTGAAATAGCGTGTATCAAATCATTTACGTAAGAAACATGACTGTGGGATTGGGGACCTGGAAGTGTTTTCAACAGATGTCTCAAAGCAAAGCATTTAGCTCTGAGCACTTGGGAAGAAGCGCACAGATCAAGTTGGCAAAGGGGCTGTTCATCTGGCAGAGACTTTCATTGCCACTGGAGTCTCCTGAGCGGCAGAGCTTGTCTCTCCATTGCTTCTGGGTTTCCCAGAGGGGAGCACGTCATTGTCAACCCGAAATTAGAAGTCAGGATCAAAAGGCTGAATGTCTGCTCACGGCTCTCTGGGACTGGCCCCAGGGCCTGTGTGGATACCAGAGAACTCTGTCCATGCATAGGAGCTGACTTAGGGTTACCACTGATCCAGCCAGACTGTTAGATCTGGATTCCTGGGAACTTAATGCTTGCACAGGAGGCAGAGGAGTTAGTTGTCTGGGGAGCTGAAGCACATGAGAAACAGCCACAGAAGAGAAAGTTCTCAAACCCCCACACCCCCGTGCTGAGTCCCCTGAGATATCCTGGGTCTCCCCTCTTGCAAGGTTGGTTGGTTGAGCTTTGCTTTAGAAGTTATGAGAAACCCTGCCTTCTTCTATAAATTTACATCCTACCTTAAGACTGCCAAAGGCCGTTTCTGTTGCTGACAATGGAGAGAACCTTAACTAATCTGGAATGGAGGGACACCTGATGTTAGATTTCCAATCAGCAGGCTATCTTTTGGAGGAAACATCATATATAATGGTCCTGGGACCACGGGCCTTTTTTTTTAATTGGTGCATGGCAGGTGATGTTCGTGGGATGGCTCCAAGGCATAGGTAAGACAGGCCAAGGTGCACTGAAAGGCACAGGTGTATCAGGTGAGGCAGAGTCAGGAGACAGAGCCCATGCTAATTATTTCCACAGAGAGAATTCCCTATGAAGAACTGCAGGCTAGGTAATAGAGACCTAGAAAGGCGATGCCGAGTGGCTCCCCCTGCAAGGCTGGAGGACCAGGGGGAAGAGGTGGGATGATTAAGACTTAGAGGCAGGGTGGAGGGGACCCAGACCCCTGAAAGGGGTGTTGGCCGCTGTGGCTGCTATGCCCAGGGGGATATGTGATGCTGAGCCTGCAAATGTGGGAAAATGGCAAGTAGGAACCTGCTGCCCCTTCCCAGGGACGTGCCGATGCCCAGTTATGTGGGGGGCAACTGGACAAAGACCCTCAGGGACCCTCCCTCCTCCCTCTCCCCCGTTCTGTCTCCCTCTAGTGTCCCTTCAGGCAGAGTGGGGGATAGAAGGGTGGGTTCCAGAGGAGGCAAGACACGCTCCAGGCTGGAAAGTACATCAGAGTGCACATGAGCGCAATCCTAACATGGTGATGTCATGAACTCGCATTTTTCAGAACATATGCAAACTAATAAGCATCAGCCTTTCTAGTAATCAGTTTGTGGTGGGACAAGGGACTCTGCCTTCTTGTGGTGCATACGCCAGCTGCCAGACCATGCGGAAACCTGGGGCCTGCAAACATGTTCTGTGTCTTTAATCCACGGTTGCTTCTTCTGAATCCATAGATGATGATTATGTGAATACTTATAAAGATTTCACCCATCTGGACATCTCAAAAGCTTCCTTGCTTATAAAGAATTTTAATTTTCCCTGGCTGTATTTTGTATTTGACTTTCCCTGAGTTTGGTCTGGTCAGAGCTTTTTATACCAACTTCCTTCACCTCTTTCATCTTCGCTATGCCTTTCTTCTGACTCTGCCTTTGAAAGCATTTCCTACTCCCCTCTTTCCTGTGCATTTAAGCCCACCCTAACCATCGAAGCTGTAGGCACAGCTGCCCTCTGCCCATTAAAGGGAGCTGAAAAACATGAAGGCTGGAGTGATAATCCCTTAATGCAGCCCTAGGAGACATTGAGCAGCATGGTATTGCTTAGTTATTGTGTTGTATCAGTTATCAAGTGCTGTGTAACAAATTATCCCCAAACTTAGCAATTTTAAAAGAACAAACTCTGGTTATCTCACCATTTCTGAGGGTCAGGATCCTAGAAGCAGCCTGGCTGCCTGGTCTGGCTTCAGCTTCTCACGAGATGTGCAGTCAAGCTGTCGGCTGGGGCTGCAGAGTCCGGAGGCTCAGCTGAAGCTGGTGATGGATCACTTCCAACTTGTCTGGTGCGGTTGCTGGCAGGTTCAGCTCCTTGCTGGTCATTGGCTGGAGGCTTTGACCCTCAGCTCATGGACCTCTCCATAGGCTGTTCATAAAATGGTAGCTTGCTGCTTCTAGAACAACTCATGAGAGAGGGACCACTGTGTCTTTTATAACCTAACCTCAGAAGCGACGTATCACAGCTTCTCTATTCTGTTAGAAGTGAGCCACTAAGTTTAGCCCATAATCAAGTTAATCTCCGCCTCCTTAAAGATAGAGCATCAGGTAATTTGTGGACATATTTTTCAAGCCACCTTGCACCTCTTGTCTAGAGGGGCAATAGCAGCTCCACTTTCTCTATTATTGCCTTACAGGAAGTGGGGCCCAGAATTGCCCAAACACCTGCTATGTTTTAGAAGCTAGGACTGTTGAGTGAGTGTGTGTGTGTGTGTGTGTGTGTGCATGTGTGTATAAATTGGCAACAAATTTAAAAAGTTAAACACTATGCAGACTGAGCAAAATGAATTCAGCCTATGGGCTGGCAGATTACAGCCTTTGACCTTGGGCAGGCAGATTACAGATTTGACCCTCTTTATCAATGACAAGTTCCATCGCATAGTTCTCGTTAGGAACTGATACTTGACAAGCCTGCTAGGAAGAAAATGCATCATCTCTGATACAGGTTTTCACATTCTCACCATTCATTTTTGGGAGTAGAAACAATATTATTTTAAAGACAATGGAATATGGCAATAAATTGGCTCTTCCCTCTTCCATCTCCAGCAAAATTGGGATGCTGTGTGGCAACAGCCCTGAAATCACTGCTTTCTATTTATTTCGTTAACAGTGTTTTTCATATCACCCTTTGTGCTGCTGTGTGAACAAATGTGATGGTAATAAATAAAAAGATCTACAAAGAAAGACCCCAAACATGTTACTGAGCTACAAAATAATTTTAAAAAGAGGGGACAAGGAGTGGGCTTTGTAGTTGGGATACTAGCAGGAATCTCGGAGTTAAGGGAGCTCATGGTTATCCTAGAAATAGTGATAAAATGGGGAATGGCTTAGTTCTTTTCTGAGAATAAGGAAGCAACCACATGTGTATCCACTTAATTGACACATAGTTTGAGCCCACCTCTTTTCCAGGCACTACCGTAGGTGCTAGGATCCAGCATCAAATGAAACAACATCATTGATGCATGGAACTCATGATCCATTGGGGAGAGACAGCTGACAATGATATGATACCTAGTTTGAGAGTGGAAGTGCTGGGTCATAGCTGACTCTGTGTTTAAAATCCTCCATACCCTGTTTCCCATTTTACATCCCTACCAGCAAGGGTTGAGTTCCAATTTCTCCACATCCTTGACAACATTTGTAACTTTCCATTTTTTAAAAAAATTATTTTAAATAATAGGCATCTGAACTTGGGAGGTCAAGGCTGCAGTGAGCCATGATCACACCATGCACTCTAGCCTGGGTGACAGAGTTCTCAAAAAAATAAATAAAAATAAAATTATAGGCATCATAAAGGGCAGGAAGTAATATTTCATTGTGGTTTTGACTTACATTTCCTTCCCCCTGCTGCTTTATGGTGGTATAATTGGATACCAAAAACTGTACATAATTAATTTATACAGTTTGAGTTTGGACATATGTACACATTCATGTTATCACTGTGATCAAGGTAATAAACACACTCTTCACCTCCAAAAGTTTTCTTGGGTTTCCTTGTTGTTCTGTGTGTGTGTGGTAAGAACACTTAAATTGAGTCTACCCTCTTAACACAATTTAAGTGCAGAGTACCTTATTAACTGTAGGCTCAGGGTTGCAAAGCAGATCTCTGGAACTAATGCATCTTGTATATCAGTGAACTTGAACCCCATTGAACCACAACTCCCCACATCCCCCTCTTACATCCCCTGTTAACTGCCACTGTTTAGAGGCCTTATATAAAAGGAGTGTTACAGTATTTGTCCTTCTGCAACTGGCTTATTTCACTTAGCGTAATGTCTTTGAGGTCTATCCACGCTGTTGCAAGTGGTAGAATTCCCTTCCTTTTTTCAGGCTGAATAATATTCCATTGTATGTATATACCCTATTTCCTTTGCATCTCCCTGATGGCTAAGAATGCTGAATGCCCTTTCATGGGCTTTTTGGCCATTTGTTATACCATTGTTGCTGGCGAAATGTTAACTCTAAAATAGTTAATTGTATGTTATGTAAATCTCACCCCAATTTTTAAAATGTTAGAAAAAAGTAAAAGATTTGGCGCATCTAAATGAGAAATGCTTTGGGAAAAAAACACAGTGCTGAAAAGACTGGGGAAATAAAATAAGGAGGAAGGGGACATCTGAGAAGTTGTAAAAGGTGGTCAGGGTGGCGTCGGATGAAATATGGCCAAAGACCTGAAGGGTGGGGGAGTTAGCCACGTGGGCACCTGGGAGAAGAGGAAGAGGGCACAGAGAGAGGTGCAAGGGCCCTGGGACTGGGACTGCCTGACTTGTATAGGAACAGCAGGCCTGAAGGGTGGGGGAGTTAGCCACGTGGGCACCTGGGAGAAGAGGAAGAGGGGACAGAGAGAGGTGCAAGGGCCCTGGGACTGGGACTGCCTGACTTGTATAGGAACAGCAGGGAGGCTGGTGTGGTAGAGATGGAGTGAGCGAGGGGAAAATGTAGCAGCAGAGGAGGCTGGGAAGCCAGGTTATGTAGAGCCCAGCAGGTGTAGGAAGGTTTTTGGCTTTTGTATATAATTGAAACGGAAAACCACTGCAGGATTTTAGATGGAAGAATGATGCAAGCTGACTTACATTTCAAAAGGATCGCTCTAGCTGCTGGGTTGGTGGAGAGGGTGAGGTTATTACAGTAACACAGAGAAGAGATGAGAGTACCTGTGAACCCACTTCTAGTCAATGTACATTTGGGATGACTTGACTACTGGCTTGAAATGGCCAACCCGGCTCAAGATTTAAATAAGCATCACTGAAAAAATAATTGCACTTAAATAAAGCCCTGCTGCAGTAGGGCATATTTGTTTATCCCTTCAAAGGATGTTAGCATTAGAAATGAAAGCTCCCAGTATAGTCTCAATGATGAGTCACCGTTTTCATACTTGATTCCCTATGAAGTCTGACTGGGCCATTCCTTTGAACAGCTTAATAATTGTAGAAGAATCCTAAACCTTTTGCTATTAACCTTTGATCTAGAAATTCAACCCCATTGACTTTCAGGCAATCCTTTGATCTATTCTTCCATTTGGTATTTGAACCAATTTAGCCTTCTCATGCTCAGGTTAATCACTGGACTTCCAGCTGGAGATGCCACCAGGTGTCTTGTTGAGGAAGAGGCTTGGCAGGGCGTAAGAACGCGTTTCAAGTGTCTGGTAATTCATTTATTTGTGGAAGAAAAATGTAGAGTGGTCTAAGGGGCGATGGGAATATGAAATTGACAGGGTGGGTCCTTGTGTGTCACTTGCACTTAAGATTTTAAGATGCTTTTTGAAAAGCCCTCTGAGATTTAGAACCAAACTCAGGATAACAGTGTTTTAGCAGATACATTTTATGCAGCGTGAATGCGTTTTTAGCTTCTGGTTTAGTCCTCAGTTAGAAAGATAGATGAGATCAGTAAAGTCAAAAGCTGTCCACAGCCAGCCGTCCGTCATACCAAGCTACGCTGTCAGAGATTTCTGCTTAGATTTTATTAAATGCACAGTGAGTTACTCCCAGCTCAGTGATTTTCCCCTGCCTTTCAAATTCCCTTCACTCTTGAATGTGCCCAGTGGAATTCTGATGAGCTGTCAGATACAGACCACTCTTACAGAATTGAGAAGGCACTTGGTTGCTTGCTGACATCCATTTTTCATTTATTCCTGCCAAACAGAACTCCAGCTGCTGTTGTTTTTTCAGGTTTCCACTCCTTTTCCAAGGCCCCACCCTTGTAGCCAAGGCTAAGCTCCTTTGGCCTTAGAACCCCAGCCTTTATGAGGGGTTGGTCCTGGATAGGGGATGTGATCCAACTCTGGCCAATGAGAGAAGAGGAGAGGCTCATAGATGGCTACTAGAAAAGATTTTTCTTTCTTCTATGTGAGCTTCCAGAAGTACTCCTGTACTTCCTTCCCTTGGTTGCTGTCAAGCAAAGGTGACTGGTCCTGCTGAACCCATGTCACTTCAGCCTGACAGCAAGTTTGATATACAGAAAAGAGTAGAAGCCAGGCACTTGCCAGGTAGGGTCCCTGGATCAAGTCATTCCTGAAGGCTGATCTATGCCAGGACTTCCAGTTAGGTAAAGTCATAATTTTCCATTTCAATTAAGCTAGCTTAAATTGCTTTTTCTATTTCTAGCAGATAAAACTCCACTCTATTAAGAATTTTATGGAACTATTGTTCCTTGTGAATAAAGTATTCTAAGTTTCATGGAGGGTGGCTTTGAAGTAAGTTAATAAAATCCAATTTTAGATTACACACAAATGTTTCATTTGCTAAGTATTAGAAAAAGAATGCACTAAAAGAGTGATGGATATATATTTTAAAACTTAAACTTTAAAAATTGATGATATATCTCCCCTCCTTGTGTGTCTGATTTTATGCTTTATTTCACAGATCAAAGGTAATGTCATTTTTGCAGAGTTTGATAGTTTTCCCGTCATTTTTTCTGCACTTTTCTATATTTTAACATTTTTTGACAGTGAACATATATTACTATAACCATCAGAATAAATTATTAATAAAAGATAAATTCAGATAAATTTAAGACTCTTCCCAAACTCTGGAGAATGAAAAGATCTCATTCTAAAATCTGTTTAACAGATTTGTGCAGCAAAAGAGTTGTGTGGGTTAAAATTAAAGGAGAGTTTGAAAACTAAAGCCATCCTTGCTAGGATGGCTGCCTCTGCGTTCAGAAACCCCCTTTTATCATGTTTAGTGAATGTTCATCCCTTAATTTAAAAATGGGAGTTGAGATGCCTTTCAGAGCTACCGCAAATGACCACATGTGTTTAATGGCCAGTTGGGAGTTAAACATATCCGTATTCTGTATGTGATTCACCAGAAAAATCACACCGGATTACGCAAGAAGGACCCGTCCCTCTACCCAGGGTTCTCTGAATCAAGGAGAAAGAGGCTTACAAACTCCTGCAATTAAGAAGAAGGTGGAAATTGGGTTTGGGGTACCTTGCTCGTATCAGTCAGGTTCCCAAAGAACTATCTGACGCTCCTCTTTTAACCACACTGACCTGGGCCTAGCTTCCCTAAATATGTTGCCTCAACCCCTGGTTTGAGACATCAGGAAAATGAATGAAGACATAAAATATGTTGGACTTTGGGAAAATAAGTGTCTCTGTGTATTCATTTGCTAGTGCTGCCATGACAAAGGACCACAGACCACATGGCTGAAACGACAGACACTTATTCTCTCCCAGTTCTGGAGGCTGGAAATCCGAGATCAAGGTGTTGGCAGGGTTGGCTTTTTCTAAGGGGTGTGAGGGAGCCCCTGTTCTGGCCTCTCTCCTGTCTTCTGGTGATTTGGTGGCCATCTTTGGGGCTCCTTGGCGTGCAGAAGCATCACCCTGATCTCTGCTTTTATCTTCCCATGGCGTTCTCTTTGTATCTGTCTCTGTGTGCTCACATTTCCCTCTTTTGTAAGGACTGTAGTCATATTAAGTCAGGGGCCCACCCTGCTCCAGCATGGCCTTCCCCTGACTTACTACATCTGCAATGACTCTAGTCCCAAAGAACA
Source organism: Homo sapiens (assembly GCF_000001405.40). NCBI lineage: Eukaryota > Metazoa > Chordata > Mammalia > Primates > Hominidae > Homo > Homo sapiens. Next base: position 130,560,903 of record NC_000012.12, on the reverse strand, counting down.
TCATGTTCTGAGGTTCTGGGGGTTTTAGACCTTTAACAGATGAATTTGGATGTGAGGGCACAACTCAGCCCTTAATACTGGATTGCAAGAAAATTTCGACATGGGCTCTTGGGCATAGGGAGGGAGGCCACGATGAGATATTTTGGGTAGAGTCTAACAGGTTGATCTATGCCTGTTGAACGTTACTTTGAAAGTAGAGTTCCATTTGGTTAAGACACATGCGATTGAGGAGCTGCTCTCCTGACTCATGAACATGGGGCCATGGAAAGGCGCAGCTTGGCCACGCGAGGAGTCAGCGTTGCTGTGTTATGGGGAAAGCGTAACCCATGGTTTATGGTAGATTAGACTGGGGATCTCAAAGCGGATGGGAGTGGGAGCAGAGCACATACTGCCTCCCAGAGAACAATGTCTGGAGACATTTTGGGTGGTCACTACCGGTGGGGGGTCTAGTGGCATCCAGTGGGTGGAGGCCAGGGGTGTGGCTAAACGTCCTGCCCTGCACAAGACAGCCCCACAGCAAAGAATCTTCCAGACCAAGATGACCACCGGGCTGAGGTTGAGAAACCCTGGAACCGAGACCCCCGACTCTGCCCTCCCCCCAAATTAAATCTGCAGTGAAATTAAAAGGGAGATGAAGTTAAGCAGGTTTAATAAGAATGATAGCCTGGAATGGGAACTTAGGAAGTCTTTTACCACATTACCTGAATATGGTGGGGGAAATAGAAATTCTACCTGCAATAATACTTTGCCTTTAGAACACATTTTTGCCTCCGTCTGGGAGAGTTGTCATTCCCAGATCTCAGATTAAACAAACCCTGGACTTTGGCCGTGTGTTGTGATTGAGTGGCAGCTCTGCCGCTGACCAGCTGTCTGCCCTTAAGCAAATCACCCCCTGCTCCCATTCTCAGTTTCCCTCTCTGTAAACTGGGGGCAGAGTGAGTTATAAGAGCAAATGCCTCATGGGTGCAGAGCATGTCCTAAACAACCCTTCGAGGCAGGTGTTACCGTTGTTCATTTTATGGAAGAAAATTCGGAGGCCTTGAGCAGTCAAGTAGCTTGCTCGAGGTCATCTGGTTACAAAGTGCTAGATCTGGGATCTAAATACCTGCTAGCTCCCAGGTTGACACAGTCATGGTGTGGCTTCCAAGCCAGCACCCTTAGTCTCTACAGCATGTGGTCTCACGGAGCTCCAGGGAGTTAAAGAACTAATGTGAATTAGGTACGCCTGTCAGTGCCCTGCACGCAGTCCCAGCCCACCCTTAACAAATGGGAATCGTGTTTTTTAAGAGAGCATGAGGTTCCCCATCGCCAAGGTGTAGGATCAACCTAAGTGTCCCTCAGCGGATATAAGGATAAAGAAATGTGGTGTATATACACAGCGGAGTACTATTCAGCCATGAAAAGAAGGAAAGCCTGTCATCTGCCCTTACCTGGATAAACCTGGGAGACACTATGCTAAGTGAAATAAGCCAGGCATTGAAAGACAAACGGCACGTGATCTACTCATAGGCGAAATCCAAAAAAGTCGAACTCACGGGGGCAGAGAGGAGAATGATGGTTACCAGAGGTTGGGGCCAGGGCATGGGGTAGGGGGTGGGGAGCTGTTGTTGGAAGGATACAAAATATCTATTAGGTGGAATAAATTCTAAGAGAACTGCCTGTGCAACATGGTGCCTATAGGTAATAGCAATGTTTTGTATATTTGAAAATCACCAGGAGAGTCGATTTCAAATCTTCTCACCACAGAGAAATAAGGAGATTGACACATTAATAAGTAGGATTTAATTATTCCATAACATAAACATATATCAGAACATCACATTGTACCCCATAAATACATACACTTATTGTCTATTAAAAATAAAATCTAAAAAACAAGGTATTGGCATAAGAGAAGATAAAATCATCAGAAGTTGAGATTATGAAAATATAGACTAATAAGCTTTTAAAAAAGAGGGAGAATGTGAGTTTCTAACCTACTTGACAATTTCAATTTCATGACCAAGTCAATAAATTACTTGGAAGTATATAGTGTTTGTTAACAGCAAATGTCATTTAACATTTTAGCAAGGAAAAGTGTCCCCTTGGAAGCGGATTAGAAACACAGAATTGCAAGCTCCTCCCTGGACATAGCAGGTCATCATCACCCTTTTCACAGGGGATTCAGATGCCCTTGCAGGTCTTGGATGCGCTGCTGGGACCAGCCCTTCTCAAGGGGGCCGCCTGGCCTCTGACTGCACACCCAACCCTGTGAGTGACACCACAGGCTGGCTGCATTCTCGGTCTCTTCCCTTTGTCTCTGGGGCTCTCCCTGCTGACCTAACAGCGTGCCTCATTCTTTTTTGGGTCCCTGGAGTCGGACTGAGCTGCACGGCTGCTGACGTACCCTTAGCCTGACTTGAGTGGAAGTAGCCAGCAGCTGATTTCTGTCTGTCACCATCACTGTGAGGAAGAAAATTTGCTCTTTCAATCTCAGGAAGTGCAAAGCCCAGCCCCACCCCGGCAGCTGTGTGTGTTTGCAGAGAGAGGTGTGTCTGTTGGTGATCATAAAATATTATGATCCCATATGTCCAAAATGATCATAACTGTGGAAATGTTTATTTCCAGATTTATCTGCCTTCTAATTGTTAGGGTGTTATTAGCAAGCTCTTCTCCGTGAGACAATGAGGGGAGAACTTGAGTGGATGCTGTCAGCTAAAAAAACCGGCAAGAATGACCCCAGGAAAAGTCAGCCTGCCATTGCATTTTGTTGTTGTTTCATTCCTGGGTGAATAGAATCAAATCATGGTTGTCATAACCATAGTAATCATTACAGCTCATAATCACTGAGCATTGATTCTATGCCAGACGTGAGTCTGAACACTGTCTTAAGCACATATTTCCTCTTATTTGCTTGTTTATTTCCTTCTGCAACACAATGAGGTGGACACTATTATCGCCCGACTTTTCAGGTGAGGAACCGGGGTCGCAGGAGCCAGGAGTAAGTAACTTGCCGAAGCCACAGCTGCTCACTGGGAAGGGGCAGGAATTGGAGCAAGGCGCTTTGACCCCAGGGTCTGTGGTGGTGTCTCTAGATGAAGGCGGGGCATCGAACAAGGTGACACTCTTGTCTACAGATAAGTACAGGAAAAAAGAGGATTTTAAAATATGTTTTTAAAAATCAATCTCCGCAGGTAGCTGAATTTGTCATCTATAGCTGTGACCTATTTGTCACCGATTGCTGTGTAATAAATTACAGCAACTCGGTGGCTTCAAACAACACACATCTGCTGTCTTGTGGTTTCTCTGGGTCAAGAGTTCGGGCACAGCTCAGCCAAGACTTCTGCTCAGAGTCCGTGGTGAGTCTGCCTAGGCATCACCTGGGGCTGCGGGCTTTGGAAGGGGCTTCTGCTTCTGAGCCCGGGCAGGGGGTGTTCCACATCCCAGCTCACCCCACTAGGGTGGGACCCGCCTCCAAGGTCACTCGCATGGCTGAGGGCAGGCCTGACTGCATTTTCAGATGGCCTGATGGGACACGGATGAGTTTCTTGGGCTGCTGGAGCAACTGGCAGCTTAGATAGAAACGTGTGGCGTGACAGTTGGGGGCTGAAGCTTGAGCTCCAGGGGCCAGCAGGACTGGGTCCTCCTGAGGCTGTGGGGGGCTCCACTGCAGGCCTCTCCCTGTCTCTGTGGCTGCCAGCACCCTTGGTACTCCTCGGCCTGTAGGTGCTTTACCCTTCTTTGCCCATCTTCACCTGGCATTCTTCCCGTGTGCAGCTCTGTGTGCAAAGGTCTCCTTTTGATAAGGACACAGGCATATGAGACGAGGGTCTGCTCTACTCCAGTATGACCTCATCTTAACTCCTCACATCTGCTAAGACCCTATTTTCAAACAAGGGCACATTCTGAGGCACTGGGGGTTAGGACTTTACATATGAACTTGGGGTCATGGACATAATTTAACCCATAACAGGATATGACCATCTTGTTTAGATCAAGAAGCCGAGATGCAAGACGTCTCTGCACCTACGCCCTAAGGGTGCACAGTGCTGGCTCACTTGCTCACTGGCCCGGTGCTCTGACCTTCTCCACATCTCATCCTGACCCCCTTCCTGCTCCTCTCCACACTGTTCCTGGGGGCTGCACTGCATACTTGGGCTCTAGCTGTCTGCTTTCCATTTGGGCTTGGCCAATGGTGATGGCACCATCTTGAGTTGGGAGGGTAGCAGGCGAGAAGGTGGGGAGCCTCCCCCGTCTCCATTCCTTCCTGGTGGGGTGTTTCCAGCAGCTGCACCTCCCTGCAAGGCTCCAGCTCCCCTGGCCTGGGTCTCCCCATGTGGGGGTCACCAGCTTCTCACAGTTGCTTGGTTGTCCATCCTGAGTGCCCGAGCGTCCCTGGCTGGACTTTAATTCTGCCCATGCCCCTCTACATTGTTCCTTGTCTAACTTTTCAGAATCCCAGCTGGAGGTTCTATCTGTTTCCAGACAGCACCCTGATTGGTACCACTTCCCGAGTTCCAATCATTTATCTTAGACAAATGGTAAGATAAAAATTATGCAAACAGTGAGAATGAATCATCGGTCTCTAGGGCTTCATAGAAACCACCTTGATCCATTGGATATGAATTTATCCTATGCAGGCCACATGAGGGGAAGGTCTGGGCCACAGTGCTTCTTATCCTGCAGCCGGCTAATGAAGATCCGGGCAGACAGAGTGCACGTTGCCAGGGTGGGCCTGCTGTGGAGTGATAAACAAAACAGAACAACAAAACTCTGCATTGAAAACACGGGTTTGCTTGACACCAGGAACACAAGTGCAGCAAGCCTTGACTCCCCGGTCAGAATCTAGCACAGTGCTGCTCATCCTGTTCATTTCCTCTCCTCCTCCCCGAAGTACGAGGGGGCAGAGGCTCACCTGCCATGCCATGTGGTTGCCATGACAACCATGATGTTCCTGTCGGGTGCTGCCTCCTCTCCGTGCCTGGCGATGGGCCTGGCTCATTGAAATGTATTTCTGAGAGCCGGCCTGCACGGCTGCCTTTCATGATTATTGCTCAGAATGGAACCAGATGACGATTAACTTTTGCCAGGCATGGGGCATTATTTTCAAGGTCTCGGACAATCTCCCTCCTCTGGTACATGCAACTGGCTTTTGCACTAGCAGTTTCGTGTTTTAGCTGCTTTATCGAGAAATCCTTCTGAGGTCAAAGCCATAAAAACATCATAAAAATGCCTGCTATAAATCAGAGGTGAGGCGGTTGTTGAACAGCTTTCCTGTGCCCCGGATAGATCTTTTATTAGATTTTAAGACATTCAGATGGTTTTCTGGGAAACAAATGTATCTACACTTTTGTCACTTACCACTTCAATGTGTTTTTCTGTAATAATATAATCATATTTCTGTCTTCAAATGAGCCATGCTGTGTGTTCAGGCTTGCATTTATGGTGCTTGAGTTCATTAAGTGGAATAAAGTTCAGAGGCTAAAGTATAAATACTAAGGCCGTCTGTGTCCAGGACGGTGAGGGGTGCATCATGTGAGACCCACGCTGCTTCTCATTTTGACTAACTGCTGCCATAGCCAGGAGCCAACATGGGCTTTTGGAAAAGGCTTTTTATTATTATTATTTTTTAAATTTACCATTTTTTCCTGCGAGGGCTTTCTCCTGAATCTGATTGTTCAACATAAGCTGTTTTCCCGATTCATCTCAACAGAGGCAGAAGTTCACCACAGGGAGCTGATACAGGATAGTAGTTAAGCACCCAAACACTGGAGTCAGATCGCAGGGTTCAAGTCTTTTCTGTGTGACCTCAGTGAGTCTTTTAACTTGTCTTGGCTCTGTTTTTTCTCTCTAAGATGGGGATAATGATGGCACCTACTTCACAGAGTTATTCTGAGCTTTGAATAAATTAGTGTTTATAAAATGTTTAGAACAGCACATAAGTGAATTCAAATCTTTGCTAAATATTTAGGAATGCTGTTCAACGTTGCCTTTCCTGACAACTTCTCTTGTCTCTCTTTTCTCTCCATAAAATGGAAATAATGATGGCACCTGCTTCATAGTTCTTTAGAACTTTGAACAAATTAATGTTTATAAAATGTGTAGAACGGCACATAAGTGAATTCAAATATTTGTTAGATATTTAGGAATGCTGTTCAACAGTGCCTTCACTGACAACTTCTATTGTCTCTGTTTCCTCTCTCTAAAATGGGGATAATGATGACACCCACTGCATAGTTATTTTGAACTTTGAACAAATTAATGTTTATCAAATGTGTAGAGCAGCACGTAAGTGAATTCAAATATCTGTTAAATAAACATTTAGGAGTACTGTTCAACAGTGCCTTCACTGACAACTTCTGTTGTTTTTAGTCTGTATTCGTAAGCCTAAGTAACTGTCATTGAATTTGAGGGTGATGTTAGTAGGGTCACTTTATGAGGGCCGTATATTGTATCCATTTCATAACCACAAACATGAGGTTTCACACCTAGTTCAGATGCACTCTCTACCTGTTTGTGTTGGATCTCAGGAGAGTCATTAGGATGCTTGAATGAGGGGGCAGAATGCTAATCACTCCCTGGGCACTTCCTGTGTGCTAGGTACTTTAGCAAACGTTGAACTGAATTATGTCATTTAGGCCCCAGAAAAGCCCTCTGAGGTGCATAAGAATTGAGGAAACTGAAGCTCAGAGAAGTTGAGACTGGTCTAAGATCTCACACTTAGTGATGATGGGACAGGAAATTGAAGTCGGGATTCCTGTACCTGCTCCCAGAGTCCCTATTCTTTGCTATTACATATGCTTTCTCTCTCTTTTTTGTCTATAGTTAATTCACTGCTTCCCGAGATCAATGAGTTTACAGATGGTCACTCCTTGTGCTCCAAACTCGGAACACAGTTGGCTTGCAGTAAATGTTTGCTGGACCTAGGAATAAATATGTATTTCTTTCGTCCTTGGAATTTTTACTGTGATCCCATAAATCTAGAGTCCTTAATTCCAATACCTTCTCTATATTCTTTGAGGCCACCACCAACGAACTGAATTTAACTCTAGTTTCCTAACAGTTTCTCCATCTTTATGTAGAGTTTGGGGAGACAGAGATTTTAGTTCAAGTCCCAGAACTGCCACCTGGCAGCTCTATGTCTTTGGTCAAGTTATTTAATGAATCTATTAATTTTTTTCAAGACAAGGTTTCCCTCAGTTGTCCGGGCTGGAGTGCAGTGGCACAATCAGGACTCACTGTAGCCTTGAACTTCCAGGCTCAGGTGATCTTCCCAGCTCAGCCTCCCAAGTAGCTTGGAATACAAGCATGCACCACCACACTTGGCTAATTTTTGTATTTTCGGTAGAGACGGGTTTCTGCCATGTTGCCCAGGCTGTTCTTGAACTCCTGGGCTCAAGCAATCCACCTGCCTCGGCCTCCTAATTGTCAAGTTATTTAACACCTAGCATTCAAATTCTATATATTAAGATTGATATATTGACATATACATCTTGATATATTGATATATAAGGGATGATAATAATTATGCTCACATTATAGAGTTATTGTAAATGTTAAAGAGAAAATTTAGGGAAAGTGTTTAACACAGCAGCTGGCAGAAAGAGGCATTTGATAGGTGTTAATTGTTATAATAATAGTATGTGTTATTGTGTCCAGTGCTTCCTTGGTGTGGGGCTAGCCAGTCATATGTTGTCCTTCCCTTTCCTCCATGTTTTCCCTGAATCAGAGGTGATCTGTCCTATTTTCTTTTCTTTTCTTTTTTTTTTTTTGAGATGGAGTCTCGCTCTGTTGCCCAGGCTGGAGTGCAGTGGTGCGATCTCGGCTCACTGCAAGCTCTGCCTCCCAGGTTCACGCCATTCTCCTGCCTCAGCCTCCCAAGTAGCTGGGACTACAGGCACCTGCCACCACGCCTGGCTAATTTTTTGTATTTTTTAGTAGAGATGGGGTTTCACCATGTTAGCCAGGATAGTCTCGATCTCCTGACCTCGTGATCCGCCTGCCTCGGCCTCCCCAAGTGCTGGGATTATAGGTGTGAGCCACCACGCCCGGCGACCTGTCCTGTTTTCTCTGAGATAACTATTGCTGCAAAATGGAATGACCCTGGGTATCTCTTAATCAGCACCTTGGACAGTGCACAAGGCTCTGTCACCCTGGGATGTACACAATCTCACTTTTCTAATCAGTTTCTATGATCAATGCAGACAAAAGACTAACATGATCCTTTTTATCATGAATTTGTCTACTAATTTTTGTACTGAACTGGCAGAATGAACAAGCTGATTTGTTGTGAAAACATGACCTTGCTGCATGAATTTCTAGTGTCAGGACTAATGATGCTCATTTCCTGATCTGCTCACCAGCAGTTTTTAAGATGTCATATTTTAGTGGAGTACTATTTAGGGAAAGAACACTCTCATTATCATTTTAGCCATTATCTTGTCATTATTATTTCCTGTTATGTTTTAAACAAATCTTGTCCTAACTTATTGCAGTTATATAATTGTCTTGAAAAAGATATTAATGCACTAATTTTCTTTTATAAATTTATTTACTTTTCAAGTGACTTTTGGAAAGAAAACATGATTTGTCTTAAGGTAACTTTGCTTATGTGGTTATCACATGAAAAATATTTGGCTTCTTTTGACTGAGCCTGTATACACTGCCCACGGCCCTCTACCCCCTACTCTGGCTGACCAAAATTATTCCACAGAATGTGAATTTCATGATTTCTCCACTAAAACACATGAAGCAGTTGATATTCTTTCATTTATTAGAAGCTCTCTTATTGATTTTATGTCTGCCATGCCTTAGCATCATACTAGCGAATGCATCTTATAGATGTTAAAGCAGTTATGAGCCCAAGCAACCCATTATCTAATTTAATCCAATGCTGTGGAAACGACTTTAACATTGGTTTAACAATTCATGTAGTTAACATGGGATCTGAAATCACTGGATGCAGTTTTGTCAGTTTACACCTATTTTAAGCTCATAATTCATGATTTGCCACTAACATAATGTGAAACTGCAAGACTACATGGTGACTTGGGGATTTAATGTAGGAATCCACTTCTGTGGGATGACTGGAAGGCCCCTTTGTGGAAAAGAATTACCTCTAAGTGGAATTCTTCCTTGAGGCTTGCTCTGGGTCTTTGCAGCATTGGAGGGACCCACTGCAACATTACAGATGGAGTCCCTTCTCTTTCCTTGGGTTCCTATCTCACCTTGCTCTATCTGTGCATTTTCTTTTGTCAAGAATGCACAATTCTATAAATTGGACACAGGGAACTAATTATAGGCATGACAACACCCCTGTAATTCACTGTTGGACTAGCAGCCCTTGCCAAAGCAATAAGATAAGAAAAAAAAGAAATCTAAGAACAGGCAAAGAAGAAAATTATCATGATTTGCATTCTATATTTTTAAAAATAGCAAACTATGGGACATTTTTTTTAGATTAACATTTCTTTTTCATGCAACATCTGAGTGCCTATGGCCGTGTACCCATGAACACAGATAAGACAGATGAAGTGAGAAATATCTCACAAATCAAATCATGGGAAACAGTCTCTGGGTTTCTAGGGTGATAGCACAATTATATGAATTGTTTTCCTGCCATTTAAGCCCCTCTGATGCCAGCTTCTTTCCACCTTTCTCTACCATCATGACTGGCCAGGCTAGCTGGCAGAGATCCTGTTTTCCAGGTGTGGCTTGGACTTCCACATCTGGGGCTCTTGCTGGAGTCACCCTCCTTTTTGTAATTCCTGCTTCACTTGATTTAATCTTCTGAGAGTTAGGTCAAGTAGCATCTTTATTCACCTGTATCCAATCAATAATGAACATAGACCTGGTGATTATTGTGGGTCAGGTAATGTGGGATCAGCCATGAACAGCACATAGACACCAGCTTCTGGAAGGTGGTGCCACACATCATGTCACCACATTTTAGACACACAGGTGCTTGCTTTCCAGTTAATGTGCGGCACCCACTTTTCATCTCAGTAACTTCATGATTACTTATGTGCAGCTTCAAAAGTCACTTACAGTCCATAAATGTCATTTTAAAACTTTCTCTCTGTTTATGTCTCTGTTTTCCCAAGGAGACCATAAGCTCCCTGAGGACAGAGATTACCTTTTGTGTCTTTTAGAATCTCCCAGAGAACTTAATACATCACCTCAAGTGTAATAAGAAAACCAAATGTATCTGTTAAATCATGGATGAATTGGCAGAGGGCCATCCACATCATGTCTAATGACATGGCATTTTATAGTTTAATTTTTAACCTTTTTTCATTTTGCAGTACGTTTAGACTCACATAAACATTGCAAAAATAGGACATAGTTGTTCAGGAGTATACTCTTTACCCAGCTGACCCCAGTGGAAACATCATTCACCACCGTGGTACCATGACCACAGCCTGGACACCAACATTCACCCAATATAATTAAAGTACAGACGCCCTTCAGAATTACTTTCATTTGACTTTGAAGGTTTCAGCCTACTTTTGTCTTTGCTGTGTGATCATTTTTACCATTCAAATAAAAATGTTCCTGGGCTGTCTTTATGTTTTCAGGAGAAAGCTTTCTGAACATCATCACTTTTCTCTATGTGTATCTCTTAAATTGAAATATTTTGGGTGGAGCAAGTTGTAGGTCCCCTTTAGTCTGAGACAGAGAAATGGAACCTACATGAGCAGCATACAAAAGCCACAGTTGATGCAGTAGACATCCCTTCTCCCAGGACAAACACGCTCACTCATGGCCTTTCTCCTCCCATAGTTCCAATGTAGTCGATAACTACCCTTTGTTTTCAGAAGTACTTGAATTACATCAACAGCGTGTACTCAGTGAGATACAATCTCGCACCTGTCAGAATGGCTATTGTTAAAAAGCCAAAAAGTAACAGATGCTGGACAGATTGTGGAGAAAAGGGAACACTTGGACACTCTCAGTGGGAGTGTAGATTAGTTTAACATTGTAGAGAGCAGTATGGCGACTCCTCAAAGAGCTAAGAGCAGAAATACCATGGACCCAGCAATCCCATTACTGGATATATACCCAGAGGAATGTAAATCATTCTACCAAAAAGACACATGCGCATGAATGTTCATTGCAGCACTATTCACAGTAGCAAAGACATGGAATCAACCCAAGTACCCATCAGTGACAGACTGGATAAAGAAAATGTGGTACATGTACACCATGGAATACTATGCAGCCATAAAAGAGAATGAGATTATGCCTTTTGTGGAAACATGGAAGGAGCTGGAGGCCATTATCCTCAGCGAACTAACACAGGAAGAGAAAACCAAATACTGCATGTTCTCACTTGTAGGTGGGAGCTAAATGATGAGAACACGTGGACACAAAGGGGAACAGCAGACACTGGGGCCTACTGGAGGGTGGAGGGTGGGAGGAGCAGAAAAGACAACTATTGAGTACTGGGCTTAATTCCTGGGTGATGACATAATCTGTACGACAAGCCCCTGTGATATGAGTTTACCTGTGTAACAGATCTTCACTTGTACCCCAAGCCTAAAATACAAGTTAAGAAAAAACACTGGACTGTTTTATCTCTTGACAGTAGCCAAAGATCACCAAGTCATTTTCACCTTTATTTAAAAACTGTCGTCGTATCATTCCCCCGGGATGGGCATCAGATGCCAGCTTAGTCCATATGGTAGAGGCTGTTTTTATTTGGATTTGAGGATGCTCTTGGTTCAGTGCTGGAGAAAATGATGAAATATCCACCAGCCTAGAGTTACACGTTTGAATTAGGCAGTCCTCCCCAAATGAAATCACACTGAATAAAATCCCCTATGTCTGCATTTCTTACAAGTTTCCTAGGAGTATTTAATTAGGGGTAGAATAGAATTATTAGCACAGACGTAGAAGTTTTCACAGAGATACTTTTGCAGAATTATTGGCACAGAGTCAGTTTCACAAAAATCCTTTGAAAAATACCACAGGGCTGCTAATCAAGAGTGGTCATCTCAAGAAGGGTCTCACCCGATTAAAACAAAGTCCAAGAGGTAGGCTGGGCACGGCGGCTCATGCCTGTAATCCTAGGACTTTGGGAGGCTGAGGCCTCCCATGGGGACCCCATGGGACCATGGGGTCAGGAATTTGAGACCAGCCTGGTCAACATGGTGAAACCCCGTCTCTACTAAAAATACAAAAATTAGCCAGGCACGGTGGTGGGAGCCTGTAGTCCCAGCTACTTGGGAGGCTGAGGCAGAAGAATTGCTTGAACCCGGGAGGTGGAGGTTGCAGTGAGCCCAGATTATGCCACTGCACTCCAGCTTGGGTGACAGAGTGAGACTCTGTCTCAAAAACAAACAAGCAAAAAAACCCACAAAGTCCAAGAGGCAGCAAGGTTGTGATGAGCATGTCTCCTGGGAAAGATCAGAGATGGAATTTTAAGGGCAGTTTTGTGGGCATGATAGATCACGTGAAAACATTTTGTAGCCTGATAAGCTGGGGAGATCACAATCTTAGCTTTAGCTGTGAAAATGCAGTGGAAGGCATGGAAATAAAACATGAAACTCTTAAATTACCCATTGCCTTTTACCTACAGAGACTGAACTTGGAGACCATTCCAGAAATGGTGGCAAAGGGGAAGATGAGAAATTAGAGAGATACGGGGCTTCAGAACTCTGTGCCTCAGTTTGCTTTGTCTCTGTGTATTTTGGGCCTCAGAATCATGCCTGTCACCCTTGTTCACATTCTTAACTTCATGGCCCGAGTGGAACAAGCCGTGGGCTTCTTGTCTTCCGTCGTGGGCTTCTTGTCTTCCGTCACTCCTGTTCATGCTTTGAATGAGAGTACATTTTGGTCTTTGATGGTCTTTGGATCATGGTCAGTCACCAGAGGGTGACCAGGGCAGGCTTTTCTGCTGAAAGTGTCTACTACTTGACATACGATCATCCTTAGCCCCATACATGGAGGTCTGTGCATCATCAACAGCAGAATTACAAGACATTCAGTAGGCAGAAAGAGATGAAAGAGAGAGATTAGGCCTTTCTTGGTAGAAACCTCCTGCTTAGAAGCTTAAATGAGTATTTCTTAAATATAATAAGTTTCTCTAATCCGTCTTCACTGAGATGAAAAACAGAAGAATACTGGAGAGTGGGAACGAGCGTAGGCAGTTTTCTGTGATCGTGCTTTGCTCTGAGATCTCCCTGGCATCAGGAGAGTTACTGAAGAACCAGTTGGGAATCGCTAATGATGCAGCCGTGTCCTGATCTTCCCCATTTCGGGGCTGACGTGACAGAGTAGCTCAGGCATTTCATTTCCTTTTGCAGCAGGGATCGATGTAATCTCTGTACCCTGTTGCCAGGCCAGCATTGCTGCTTTGGGGTTTTATGATGTCTCAAGGCCTCAAAATGGAAACTGCTGGGAGACAATTTCTGTAGCTAGTGTTAGCATGAAAAGTAGACCTTTGATTAACATGGCAATAAGTCTAACAGATTATAAAATACGATAGTGAGAAAACAGGCTGCCTTCGGGCTCTGTGTTGCAGGTAATGTTTATATTAATCAGAGATGTATGTTTCTAAACAATCCGCACAACTGTGCCCAAAAGATATTTCCCCCCATTATTTGGGACAGGAAACCAACTACACTAAGTAATGCTAAAGAAACTCAAGGCTTGGAGAACTCTTTCTGTGTGAGCGTATGCACACTTAAAGATTTTTTTTTAGTTGTCTTCAATATTAAAAGAGCCCTAACTGTCTTGAGCTTTGCTGTATTAGGTGAAAACATACAGAAGCATTTTTGTTTAAAGAATAGAGAAGACACAGACATAAGAAACAGATTACCCAGTCTGCATTTTATTTTCACAGTCTCAGTGGAAGTAGGGGGACAGGGAAATATTTCCAGGATATGAGAACTACAACAGCAATGATAACAACTGTCCCTCCTCCTCCCCAGCACTGGGGAGATGATAGGGAGTGGGTGGGGGTTGTGGTGGGTCAGTGGAGGAGTCATCTCACAGGGCCAGCCTCTCATTCCATCAAGTGAAACTACAGGGAAATAGGCCAGGGTTGCCAGCGCTTCCAACTTAACAGAAGTCAGAAATCCAGACTTTCCATGTAAATTGTTTTGATTTTGAAATATTGGCAGATAACAAATTAAAAAACAAATGAGTCAGTTCTTGAAAATCACTGCGTTGACTAACACATCCACGCGCAGCCTGGTGGGCTGCCAGTTTACCGGCCTTCTTCTAGACATGGGAGATTTCGTTTTGCATGAAAAGAAGGTTGTCTCTGGAAAATAACAATATCATATTTTCTAATCTTTGAAGAACGTTGGCAGAAATAAGCAGTAGACTGGGCACGGTGGCTCAGCCTGTAATCCCAGCACTTCGGGAGGCTGAGGTGGGCAGATCACTTGAGGCCGGGAATTTGAGACCAGCCTGGCCAACACGGCAAAACCCCATCTCTACTAAAAATACAAAAATTGGGTGGATGTGGTGGCACACACCTGTAATCCCAGCTCCTCTGGAGGCTGAGGCAGGAGAATCACTTGATCCTGGGAGGCAGAGGTTGAAGTGATCCGAGATCACACCACTGCACTCCAGCCTGGGCGACAGAGCGAGATTCTGTCTCAAAAAGCTAACTAATTAACTAACTAACAAAAAACACAAAAAACTTAGCTGGGCGTGGTAGTGGACACCTGTAGTCCCAGCTACTCGGGTGGCTGAGGCAGGAGAATCACTTGAACCTGGGAGGCAGAGGTTGCAGTGAGCCAAGATTGCGCCACTGCACTCCAGCCTGGGCAACAGAGTGAGTGAGACTCCATCCCAAAAAAAAAAAAAAAAAAAAGAAGCAGTGATATTTGTAATTGCTCAATGAGATCCCAAAGGGGGACAGGACTCTCCCATGAGGGGCATATGTCACGCTAAAACCCACTGCTGTTTGTCTCTTAGTCATTTCTTTACCCAAGCTGTGTTAAGATTTTTTCCCTACTGCGCTGAGAATGAAACTAAGTCCTTTTTGATGAGCCCTAAATCCTGTGGCTTTGTTTTTCCACAATCCCATAAACTAGATAAGAACGGTATTGGCACAGAATATATTTTAAACATTTGTATGAAAAATGGGACCCACACGTTCTCACGTGCTTCTGGTGTAGAGGCAGCAGTGATGGCTGGCGGAGATGGAGATTTGACAGCTTTGAAGAAGATTCTGCGTAAGCCCCTTAGCACGGCGCTCCCCTCTCCTCCCCAGACGTGACACTCGACGGCGGCTCTGAACTGGGCTCGTTCCTCGGTCATGTTACCCCGGCTGGGGTCTAGAGGGACGCACCTGATAGAAATACAATGTCAGCCTTGAGTGTGAGGCACGAATGCAATTTTACATTTTTGAGCAGCCACGTTACAAGAAAGTAAAAAGAAAACAAGTGAAATGAACTTGAATAATGTATGTTCATTTAACCTAATAAACCTTAAATATTACTTCAAAAGGAAATCAATATAAATTAATTTAAATCAATATTTTATAATGTTATAATTTATCATAATACCTTATTTTACATTTTTTTGGCATTGAATCTTGAAAATCTGGTGTCTGCTTTACACGTAGGGCACACGTTGGTTGAGACAGCCACATTTCATGTGTTCGGTAGCTGCAGGTCACCAGCGGCCGCTGCCTGGGACAGCAATTACGCGTCTGATTCTAACATCTCCTGTGCTCGAGATGTACCAAGTACCAGGGAGTCCTGACGAGAAAGTTCTGCCCTTGAGGACCTTACAGTCTTGTTTTTAAAAAATTTTCCAAATGAAACACTTGAAAAACAATGATATATAGGTACAATTTAGTCCCCAGATAGATTTACCAGTAAACTGTTTTATAAGTGAATGTGAGATTTTGGTATTTTGTTCAATGGATGCCTAAAAAAACAAATGCTTGAATCCTGTCCTGCCACAGACACTTCCTTCAGAATATGTTCCCAAGGCAGATGCATATTCAAGAGCTAGAAGCTGATGCACTGTGCTACAGTTTCCACTCTCACCCGCACTCTCTCCATCTGTCTTAGTATGCAACCTGAAGTATAAAGGCCTCCAGTTCTTTGGGAGGTGGAGGCAGGCAGATCACCTGAGCTCAGGAATTGGAGACTAGCTTGGGTAACATGGTGAAACCCCATCTCTACTAAAAAAATAGCGGGGTGTGGTGGTACATGCCTGTAATCCCAGTTACTCGGGAGGCTGAGGCAGGAGAATCACTTCAACCTGGGAGACAAAGGTTGCAGTGAGCTGAAATCACGCCACTGCACTCCAGCCTGAGCAATGGAGTGAGACTCCATCTCAAAAAAAAAAAAAAAAAAAAAGGCCTCCAGTTACATCTGGATCTAAATCTTAGATTATAACACTCTGCTGCCTGCTATGGTATAGGCCTGTAAAACATGACCAGCGTGCTAAGATGCTAAAAGGAGTGAGAAGCAGGGAGAGGGAGAGAGGGAGGCGAGTGGTGTCTTCTCTACGGCAGTCTTGCTGGTTGTCCTGCTTACTGTATCTCAGCATCAATGAGTAGGATCAGGCTTAAAGGGGGACCCTGGACCAGCTGACCAATCCTGTCCCAGGAAGCAGCAGAGAGTGCTTCCCATGCAGCATGGCTTAAACACAGCTCTAGACAAAACAGATTAACAAAAGCACCTACTGGGGAGGAGAGCGATATTGCAGAGGCATCTCTTCCCCTTCCAGGACATTGAGAGGGTGGGGTGTGTGGCCAGGAAGTGAAAGGGGTCAGGACAGAAGAGGAAGGACATCAAAAAGCCTTACAGATAGGATATGGATAAATGGAGAGACAGGGGAAAGGCCAAACTGCCCTTAGATGTTTGAGACAAGAATGGTAGGTTCCAGGCTATGTAAGATTCTCCAAGGGATCTAATTAAAATGTCTCCCAGAAACCAAGATGAGTGATCATAAGGTGGTTTGCATAGGAAAACAAAAACAGGTTAAAACGGTGACAATCCTACCAAATACCTTCAAGAGAAACATTCTATTAAATCAACATCCTGAGTGCCTAGCAGGACAGGTTTCCAAAGCTCAAGAGGCATAAAATGACTTAAATTGCTGTTAAATTGGCAGTAAGGAAAACATTTAGCTGACTGGCAAGATGCAGCAGTGCCTGAAACTCTTATAGGTGAAAGAACTTTTTTTTTTTTTTCCACCTGGTGCACCCAACTTAATTTTCATGATGTGGCCAAATTCATGTGGTGTCATTGTGCTGTCTCGTTGGGTTCCTGTAGAACTGGGGGAATGGAAGAAATCTTCCTTTTAGCAAAAAGAGGTGGCCCTCATCACTCTCTACGGCCAATTCCTCGTGAGGCATCTTCATATTTCCCAATCTATAGGGCTCATCTTTGGAGAAGAGCTTTGAGTCCCCAAGCTCACTGCCTCTTCAGCCTGCTGGTCTACCTACCCTTTCTGTTTTCTGCTGGCCTGAGTTTTTCTGCAGCAATACGGTTGGTATGGGCTAGAATCTTTTCTGAACTAGAATGACAACTCCCATTTCCTTTTTCAAACAAGTAATTTAAACTTTTTAGAATGTGTTTTTCCCAGAACATGAGATAATGATTACCAAAGAAGTGGCCATATTTGGGGGCACATGGCTAATCAGTGTATGAAAAATGTCAAGGGCTACAAACCAATTCAAATAGTAAGATAATGGGGATTTTGCCTATAAAATCAATAGTTTAAAGAATGCTAATGCTGATGTTGACAAGGGTGTGAGGAAATGCCATTCAAGTACACTGTCCATGGAGAAGAAAGTTAGAGTCATCTTTCTGGAAAGGCGTTTAGCCTGACAGCCTCATTAGGGCAGAATATTGAAAGATAAATGTGGGAACTACAAGCACATACCTTCTCAGTTCATCATCCAACCCTGAGAGACGGGAAGGGCAAATGGAATCAGCCTCATTTGGAGAAATTATGTACCCACTAGTCAGCAACCCTCCAACCCCACAGATTTGTCCAGCAACCAACTCACAAGATCCACAGAAATGTTGTGTTAATGGATGAATGAGGAACAATGGAAATGTAGACCATGACTTTCTATTTTTTAAAGCATCCTCATAAACAAGTTGTGTTCCTATTTACAACAGAAAGAATGTTTTTCCCATTTGCCATGGAAAACTTGGGGTCCCACTGAATGGAATTCATTTTCCCGGAGGTTGAATTGTCTTGGTTAAGGCAGATTGCATCTAGAGTCACAAGGACACTGATGACTGTATGTGTCTTGTTGGGCTGCTGGCCTCTGTGTTCTCCTTCCTTGACTATGGATATTAGAATAGTATTGTCATGCAGAGCAAATCATTTTCGATAAGTACAAGATTATTCCTTTAATAGTTCTTCAAAACTGTGAAGTTCAGGAACTCTCCCTCATCTCCCACCCTCTTCTCAAATTTGATTGGCTGTTTCTTTTTTCTGCAGCAGGATTATGTGTGTTTTCAAAGGCAGAGGATGCAACAGATAATCTGTGATAAAAACTCATCTCAGATTCTAGGGGAAGGAGAGAACTGATAGTGCTGGTTTGAACTTAACAAGAGTATTGTAGACTAGATTTGATGTCCTATGGAAAATGTGCATATGTAGGGGTCCTCTCACCCATCTATCTTCCCTACAAGACTGCAGTCACTTCCTGCTGCTTCTCCAAAACCCCAAGCACTTGCTTTCCTTGGGGCCTTTGCATGCCCCAGCCCCTCTGCCATTCTTTCACATCATTAAGGCCTCTGCTCTAAAATTTCCTAGCCAGCATCCTTTCCCCTCTCTCTTTGTGCTTACTTCATCTTGTCTTCTTCATAGAACATATTTTTACCTGACATACCACATTTCCATCCACATTTTCCCAATAAGGATGTGAGTTCTATGATAGGGGTTTTGCCTTCTGTGGTTTTTGCTGTACCCCCAGTTCTGAGGCGATGCCTCCACTTAGAGCCCCTGAGTATGGTTGTGCCAAAAGTCACCTTGCCAACACTCAGCCCAATGGCTAGGTCTGCCAAGGGGGCATTAGCTTGCTCAGAAGAGAACCTCTGCTTAGTTTACATAAAGGCATCCCATGAGCTAGTACACCTAGAAAGTGTTCAACAAACATATATTAGATGAGTGGAATGAACACAACAATACAAATACAGTGTCTGCAGCATGGCTCGGCACCTGGAAGCTGTGACGTAAATGTTGCTTCTGGTGCTGTTCAGCTGTTGCTCCTGATAACAGTCTCAACTCCATGGCCAGATGATGCCTGCATTAGAACATTTCAAAGAAAACATTTCCAATTTCCCTTGGCAAAGAAATCATAGACTAAAAGGCTTTCATTGGCATGGCATTGAGATCACATTTTAAAATAAGCTGATGAGTAAACATCTATATTCAATGAGAGGAAGGAAGTCACTTTCTTAGGCCCAGTGAGTACAGCTGTGTTTTCAGCATTTGCAGTTAAATAATGAATCATTCCGTGATCTTCACTCAATATCATCCACAAGTTGCCTTCATTTATTTTGGTGTAAGAGGAAGAAACATTCCAAAATGCCTCAGCATCAGACTGGAGAGAAAGCAGTGACCTGTAGACACCACTAAGAATTACTATAAGGAAAGAATCCTAGAGGGATCCCTCTGTGATCACAGAAAGCAAGCGTCCATGTAGAGTGTAGCTAACCTGAAGAAAGATCTCTAATCTCAGAGTTTCAGGGCAGGGGAAGTGAGGGAAGAAGATGAGAGACAGGAGGATGCCTGCTCCATAGACAGAGATTGCCCAGGAGTGCAGTGTGCTCTGCTCATTTTCTTTTGATTTTAATGATGAGTGTGAACTCTGTGGCCCTGCAGTGGCCTCTTGCTCTGGATGGAGCAGGGCTATCACTCCTCCTCTTCCATCCTGTGATAGCCGATGTTAGCAAGCCAAGAGTGTTCATCTCAGCTCTTGGTAGCCCTCCAAGCCTCTCTGGTTCCATCTCTGTGGATTGTCAACACCACTGCACTTCTCAGAACAAAAACTTGGAACTCCTTCCTTGCTCTCACCCCCACATGAAACCCATCATCAAATCCCCTTGAAATACCCAGAAACTGTTACTGAAATGCCAGGGGCTTGGTCTAGGTCCTACTGCTCACCACGCAGAAAGCCACTCACTGAGACCGTCAGTATTGCCAGGGAAGAAGTGTTTAATCGGGTGCTGCAGCCAAGAAGATGGGAGATCAGTCTCAAGTCCATCTCCCTGACCAACTAATACTAGGGGTTTACATAACAGGAAGAAATTTAGCCATGTGTGGGGAAAACAGGAATTAGGCAGGGAGTTGGTCAGCAGGAAGCAGTTGGTCCCTTAGGCAGTCATGACGGGCGAAGGTTCTGGTGAGTCACTGTCCAGATGCGGTGACCTGGTGAGTTTCAGTTCCATGATGCTATCTGGGAGGTCTGATGGTCGGTTTCCTGAGAAAGAAACTCAGATAAGACAAATGCAACTTTCTCAAGTTTCAAGACTGGGAGGATCATTTTCTAAGTTTTTTCAAAGAATCCATAAACGTCAGTTCTACAGGACAACTGGGGTGATTTCAAAACTGGTCCCTGCTCACCTCCTTTCTTGTGTGCGATTCCTTAATTCACCTGCCTTTGTCTGTCTCAGCCAACCACACCAGCCTACCCATGAGTCTGCCCAGTGCCCTTCTCATCCACTGGCAACCCATCTTCCTATCCATCCTCTTCCCAAGGCCATCCTTTCAAAGCACACATTGGATGAAAGCTACTCTCTTGCTCTCAGCCCTGCACTGGTTTCCATCAACTTTTGATCAAAACCCAAGTTCCTGCCATAGCCTACACCTGGCCACCTCATCGACTGCATTTGCCATATCCTACACCTGGCCACCTCATCGACTGCATTTGCCATATCCTACACCTGGCCACCTCATCTACTGCATTTGCCATATCCTACACCTGGCCACCTCATCGACTGCATTTGCCATATCCTACACCTGGCCACCTCATCTACTGCATTTGCCATATCCTACACCTGGCCACCTCATCTACTGCATTTGCCATAGCCTACACCTCGCCACCTCATCTACTGCATTTGCCATATCCTACACCTGGCCACCTCATCGACTGCATTTGCCATATCCTACACCTGGCCACCTCATGGACTGCATTTGCCATATCCTACACCTGGCCACTTCATGGACTGCATTTGCCATATCCTACACCTGGCCACCTCATCGACTGCATTTGCCATAGCCTACACCTGGCCACCTCATCGACTGCATTTGCCATATCCTACACCTGGCCACCTCATCGACTGCATTTGCCATATCCTACACCTGGCCACCTCATCGACTGCATTTGCCATATCCTACACCTGGCCACCCCATCGACTGCATTTGCCATATCCTACACCTGGCCACCTCATCAACTGCATTTGCCATGATGCCCTCTCCCCAGCTTGCTCCACGTTACCATGTTTGTGGGTGCTGCTCCCTCTGCCTGGAGCTCCTCCCTCGAGGTGCCCACAGCACTCACACTCTTACTTCCTTCACATCTTTGCTCAGACATCACCTTCTTTGATCACATTTTCTAGAAATCTCTACATTTGTTTCCTCCTTCATATTCCTACATCCCATTCACTGACACTGTTCTTTACATGTTATATATATTATATAAACATAGTATATTTTATGTATGCATTCACTGACACTGTTATATAATACATGTATGTAGGGAAATAAGGAAACAAGTAATATAAACATTATACACAAATTGTAAAAATATATATGTATGTATATATTCTCCCCCAAAGCTCACTGATGATAGGGATTTTTGGAAATGAATGAATATGGGTGTGTTCCAATAAAACTTTATTTAAAAGGGGCAAGCTGGATGTGGCCTGCAGGCCATATTTTCTGAAGCGTGGTCTAGAAAGCCACTGAAGATCATCGACAGCCCCAGGAGCTCTGCAGAGCCGTGGACATGCCCTGCAGTTTTACCACCCTTAGCACCCTCAGGCCCACCCTGCCCAGCTCTCGACCACCCTGCTTCCTCCCACCTTGCCTGGTGCTAGAAATGCATGGAGATGGGCCACCACCCGATCCCCAGGCAATACGGGGAGGGAAGAGTGGGGGCAGGAAGCCACGTTTGTCACTGCCCATGACTCTCAAGCCTCTCTGGGAGAGCATGTGAAGTCGGTTGGGAAGCAGGCTGTATTTGGTTCTCTGCTGCCCAGGCCTGGCAGCAGCTCTGTAATGCTCGTGACTCGCTCTATTGATGCAAATGCTATAAAACCCATTTTGCCATTTCAGAAAACATACTTGCTTATTATAGCTCAGAGGTTCAAGAGCTGAAGTGTGCAGACTCTGGCATGCAGGGTGGCACGGGGAGGGAGGCTTTTCTTGACGGTGTGAATTAATGTAAATGCAGGGCCATTTGTATGCATAGGTGGGCGGGTGGCTGGGTGCTGGAGGAGTGTTGAGTGGATTCGGGGATTCTCTGTGTGATCTTTCTTAAATCATCTCACTTCACTGAATTGAGGTTTCTGAGGGATCCCAGAAATGAGTAAGGGCAGTGAGGACCAAGGACAAACATACGGACGTTTACGGCTAATTGTGACTGTGGAAATGCAGACCCAAGATCGCCAAATTTTCTGATTTTTTTTTCCACTGTGAAGAGCTTTTGGGAGAATATATAGAAAGAAGAATGCACTTTAAAATATTATTTATATTCTTTCATTTTTATATTAAATTTTCTATTTTTTAAATGTCCTAATGACACTATTCAGTAACTTGGGGCCCCGTAAAACATCTCCACGGTCAAATGCAGTCACGAGCTGCCATCTTGGATCATCTCCTTCCTGCCACACTGAGGACTGCATGAGGCCCTATTTGTTTTTTCCACACTGAGGGGTTCTACTGACCTGCATTTTGCTTTTGTCAGTTTTTGGAGTCTAGTGATCCTGTGTGAATAAAATGGAAACAGCAAATTTGTTGACAATTCTATCCTTCCATCTGGAGGGAGACAGCAAGAGCAAGTGTGCTTATAATTAGCAGTCATTTCACCCTGAGTCCAGCCAAAGGGGCAATTTCAAACATGATCTGAGCTTAGACCTGAGCGCTGACATAGCCTCTCTAATGACTTCTCCATGCTAGGCAGATAGGCAAACTCATTTCCTCCCATGAAAAGCAATCAGGATGTATTGCTGTGTTCTCTGGGGCTGATGAATTTATGATAGGACGAGAGTTTCCTTTGCAATTTGAGATGTACCGTATATGTACAACCTGGACTGAGAATTCTGCATGAGGTGAACAGAAACTCACTTTCGTTTTCCTTCTAATATGCACCCGGATCTTTCGCATAGGCTGGTTATTTTAACCTTCCCGATGACCCCACAGAGGTATGGGTCAGGATACTCACTTCTACAGGAGAGGGAAGTGAGACTTCAAAGAGGTTAAGTCGTTTGCTAATGGCAATATGGCAAACATGTGGGGGTTCTGGGAGGCCTCCAAGGTCCTGCCCTGCATCTGTTTGCCTTGTACCGTAGGGTGATGGAGCTATCTTCTTTCCCAGACCTCCTCCCTGTCTTACGCTGCCAGTGGCAAAATGGGTTTCATGAAAATAAATTTCAGTCTTATGAGCGTCAGCTACAGAGGCAGAAGGCAAAACTTTTGGCGTAAAGCCAATAAGCAAAACTATGGCCTCGTGTCTGCTTGAAATGCATTCTGTGGAACCAACCCTAGCATTTGCAGGTGCACAGCTGCAGTCGATGCTGTGTTTAGGAAGAGCTGGGGTGTAAGTGGCCCTGGTGGCATCATTGTTCTGCCCTGGAACCCCATCCAAGACACCACACTGCATCTGGCCCTCATGCCTCCTTAATGAGAGTTTTCTTACTAAGATTTGTGAGAGTTTCTCAGTCCCTCCTTGTTTATTGTACCTTGGTACTTTTTAACAGTACTGGCCAGATATGTTACAGAATATCTCCCAATTTGGGGTTGTCTTGTGTTTTCCTGTGATTAGAATGGGGTTCTAGGTTTTTGGAAAAAGTACCCCAGAGGAGAAGTGTCCTCCCCATCATGCCATATCAGGGGCTTCACGGTATCATTGTGACTTACTGCTGGTGCTGTCAACCACGGTCACCTGGTGAAGGTGGTATCTGCAAAGTTGCTGTTCCTCTCATCTCACTTTAGGAAGCAAGTCACCAAGTCCAGCCCACAGTTGAGAGAAGGAAATTAAGCTCTACATACTGGGATTTTATTTGACTTAAATTAAACTTAAAATTAAATAGCCAGACATGGCTGGTGGCCACCATATTGGACAGCAGGGACCTGCAACAACTTCTATACTCCAAGGTCCAGTTGGTTGGGGAATAGATTATTGCAGAAGTCGGCCAATCTGTAAGTGCCCAGGGGTTGACTATGGCGGAAGTAAGTGGAAGTCTAGATACTATCGTGCAGTTGGGGTATGACGGTGAAATTTTTTGATGCGAATAAAGGATTCTAAAGACCTTTTGGAAACCATTACCGGAGGGGGATTTGTAAAATCCAGCGAGAGCTTGGTCTTCATTCTTGAGGCTGGATTATTTTGGAATAAATTCAGCCAGTCAGTGTTAAGCACAGAGATTAACAGTGTCGACCTATTCTGGGGGTCATGGGCATTTCAGGAGGCCAGGGATAACCAGGGGATGATGTCTGTTAACCCAAAATTATATTTATGTTTATGGGTAAGAACCTGTCCCCCAGCTCCGCCTGCCTATCTGTCTCTGTTTCTCTCTCTCTCTCTCATTTTTGTACATACCACCCACACTATTACTTAAATGCCTTTTGTCTCCTTTTTTTTCCACCCATAAAATGGGGAATAAAAATAATGCTGCAACTGGGCGTGATGGCTCACGCCTGTAATGCCAGCACTTTGGGAAGCCGAGGCGGAGAGATTGCTTGAGCTCAGGAGTTCGAGCCCAGCCTGGGCAACTTGGTGAAACCCCGTCTCTACAAAAAATACAACAACAACAAAAAATCAGCGGATATGGTGGTGCATACCTGTAGTCCCAGCTACTTGGAGGGCCTGAGACAGGAGGATCACCTGAGCCCAGGAGGTTGAGGCTGTAGTGAGCTGAAATTGTACCACTGCACTCCAGCCTGAGTGACAGAGCAAGACCCTGGCTCAAAAAAATATGTGTATATATATATATATATATATATATATATATATATATATATATATGTATATATATGTATATATATGTATATGTATATGTGTATATATATGTATATGTGTATATATATGTGTATATATGTATATGTGTATATGTATGTATATCTATGTGTATATATATAGAGAGAGCTGTGTTTTACAGGCTTGTTGCAAGGATTAAATGAGTTAGTCTATGCAATGGTGCTTAGATTAGTACTTGTGCAGTGTTGTTATTAATATTATTATTTTTAGAGACAAAGTCTCATTCTGTTGCTTGCCCAGGCTGAAGTGCAGAGGCATGATCTTGGCTCACTGCAGCCTTGACCTCCTGGGCTCAAGCGATCCTCCTGCCTCAGCCTCTTGGGTACTGGGACTGCAGATGTGTGCCACCATGCCCTGCTAATTAAAAACAATTTTTTTTTTTAATTTTTTAGTTGAGACTGGGTTTTGCTATGTTGCCCAGCCTGGCCTCAAACTCCTGGCCTTATGTGATTCTCCCATCTCGGACTCCCAAAGCACTGGGATTAGGAGCGTGAGCCACTGCACCCAGCTGATTAAGGTTCTTTTTTCAAAGCATTATCATAAATTCATCAGCCCCAGAGAACAGAGCAGCAGCTGCTCACTAAGGGGGAAGCTGAAACACTCCGGAGCCCTTGCTGAGGGAGCCGGCCAGCGATCAGAGGTCAGCAAAGGTCTGACGTGAGCTTGCTAAAGGGCAGCCGGTGAACCTCAAGTGGGCTTCAGACAGGCTTTCCTTAGTCACCAGCATCGTCAGGTGGGGATGTTTTACATAAAAATATTGATTTGGTTTCACTTCAAAAATAATAGTGGCCCCAATAGTGGTGGCCCATGTTCCTCATGGACCACAGCTAGCTGGAGCTGAGTGATAGACCGTTTCCTAGACAGATAGACACTCTCCTCTTTGTGCCAATCCTAACCACCATGGATGATCTTCAGCCAGGCTGCTTTGCTTAGACGTAACTCCTAGAGGTGTCTGGGTTTGGACTCTCATGGAAGTGATACCTGCCGGAATCTCTGAAATCACCACCATGTGGCTTTTCAAGGACAGAATCTATGACATGGGTGAACTTAGCTATGTTCATGCCTCTGCAGGCACCACTGTGCCACACCAGGATGGCTTCCATAGAGAAGGATTGACAGCACCAAAGTTGGTGAAGATACAAAGCCATGGGGACTCTCACACTTCCCGCTACATTTGCATATATTTAAGGGGTACAAGTGCAGTTTTGCTACATGGATATATTGTGTAGTGAAGCCTGAGCTTCTAGCATAACCAGAATTTTTTTTTTTCTTGTTTTACTAGAGATGGAGTTTCACCATGTTGGTCAGGATGGTCTGGATCTCCTGACCTCGTGGTCCTCCCACCTCGGCCTCCCAAAGTGCTGGGATTACAGGCGTGAGCCACTGCACCCAGCCAACCATCACTAGAATATTATACATCATACCCATTAAGTAATTTTTCATCATCCACCCCTCCCACCCCCTTCCACTCCCCTCCCACCACCTCCCACTCCCTCCCACCACCCTTCTAAGGTTCCAGTGTCTATCATTCTACTCTCTCTCTCTTTTTTTTTTTTTTTTTAAGATGGAGTTTTGCTCTGTCATCCAGGCTGAAGTGCAGGGGTGTGATCTCTGCTCACTGCAACCTCTGCCTTCTGTGTTCAAGCGATTATCCTGCTTCAGCCTCCAGAGTAGCTGGGATTACAGATATGCACCACCATGCCTGGCTAATTTTTGTATTTTTAGCAGAGATGGGGTTTCACCATGTTGGCCAGGCTGGTCTCGAACTCCTAACCTCAAGTGATCTGCCTGCCTCAGCCTCCCAAAGTGCTGGGATTACAGGCATGAGCCACCGCACCCAGCCTATCATTCCACTTTCTGTGTCCACGTGGAGACACTGTTTAGCTCCTACTTGTGACTGAGAACATGCAGTATTTGACTTTCTGAGTTGTTTCACTTAAGATAATGGCCTCTAGTTTCATCCATGTTGCTGTAAAAGACATAATTTCATTCTTTTTATGGCTGGACAGTATTTCATGGTGTATGTATACCATATTTTCTTTATCCAATTATCCACTGATGGACATTTAGGTTGATTCTCTAGCTTTGCTATTGTGAATAGTGTTATGGTGAACACATGAGCGCAGGTGTCTTTTTGATACAATGATTTGTTTTCCTTTGGGTGGATACCAGTAGTGGAATTACTGGATGGAATGGTATTAATTGTTCTATTTTTTGTTCCTTGGGAAACATCCATAGTGTTTTCTGTAAAGGTTATACTAATTTATATTCCAAATCAGTGTGTAAGAGTTCCCTTTTGTCCATATCCTTGCCAGTATCTGTTATTTTTTGACTTTTTCATCATAGCCATTCTGACTGGGGTAAGAAGATATCTCATTGTGGTTTTAGTTTGCATTTCTCTGATTAGTGATGATGGGCATTTTTTCGTATACCTGCTGGCCATTTGTATGTCTTCTTTTGACACTCCCCACTTTTCTAAAAGCTATTTAGCAAAAGCTAAACACATGCATCTCATTAGACGTAACTCCTAGAGGCTAAACACACGCATCTCATTAGACGTAACTCCTAGAGGCTAAACACACGCATCTCATTAGACGTCCCTCCTAGAGGCTAAACACACGCATCTCATTAGATGTCCCTCCTAGAGGCTAAACATACGCATCTCATTAGATGTAACTCCTAGAGGCTACACACACGCATCTCATTAGACGTCCATCCTAGAGGCTAAACATACGCATCTCATTAGACGTAACTCCTAGAGGCTACACACACGCATCTCATTAGACGTCCCTCCTAGAGGCTAAACACACGCATCTCATTAGACGTAACTCCTAGAGGCTAAACATACGCATCTCATTAGACGTCCCTCCTAGAGGCTAAACACACGCATCTCATTAGACGTAACTCCTAGAGGCTACACACACGCATCTCATTAGACGTAACTCCTAGAGGCTGAACACACGCATCTCATTAGATGTAACTCCTAGAGGCTGAACACACACATCTCATTAGACGTAACTCCTAGAGGCTGAACACACGCATCTCATTAGACGTCCCTCCTAGAGGCTGAACACATGCATCTCATTAGACGTACCTCCTAGAGGCTAAGCATACGCATCTCATTAGACGTAACTCCTAGAGGCTAAACATACGCATCTCATTAGACGTAACTCCTAGAGGCTACACACACGCATCTCATTAGACGTAACTCCTAGAGGCTGAACACACGCATCTCATTAGACGTAACTCCTAGAGGCTGAACACACGCATCTCATTAGACGTCCCTCCTAGAGGCTGAACACACGCATCTCATTAGACGTAACTCCTAGAGGCTAAACACACGCATCTCATTAGACGTAACTCCTAGAGGCTACACACACGCATCTCATTAGACGTACCTCCTAGAGGCTAAACACACGCATCTCATTAGATGTACCTCCTAGAGGCTAAACATACGCATCTCATTAGACGTACCTCCTAGAGGCTAAACACACGCATCTCATTAGACGTAACTCCTAGAGGCTACACACACGCATCTCATTAGACGTACCTCCTAGAGGCTAAACACACGCATCTCATTAGACGTAACTCCTAGAGGCTACACACACGCATCTCATTAGACGTCCCTCCTAGAGGCTAAACATACGCATCTCATTAGACGTACCTCCTAGAGGCTAAACATACGCATCTCATTAGACGTCCCTCCTAGAGGCTAAACATACGCATCTCATTAGACGTACCTCCTAGAGGCTAAACATACGCATCTCATTAGACGTACCTCCTAGAGGCTAAACATACGCATCTCATTAGACGTAACTCCTAGAGGCTAAACATACGCATCTCATTAGACGTAACTCCTAGAGGCTAAACATACGCATCTCATTAGACGTAACTCCTAGAGGCATCTGGGTTTTGACTCTCATGGAAGGGACACCTACTAGAATCTCTGAAAGCACCACCATTTGGCTTTTAGAAGACAAAATCTATGACATGGGTGAACTTTGCTCTGTTCATACCTCTGCAGGCACCACTGTTCTATTCCTAGGTGAGTAATTATGAGAAACATGTACATGTGCCTCCAAGAAAACGTGCTCAAGAATGTTCTTTGCAGCATTATTTTTAATGGTCTCAAACTGGAATCATCCTAATGTTTAATAATAGTTGAACATAAATAGATAAATCTCAGATTATTTATACAAGAGGATACTACACAGTAATGAAGGGCTGCTATTTCACAGATGTGGGTGCGTCCTAGATAAAATGTTGAGATAAATATCCAGACATTAAAAATCTATATTTTATTACATTTACATAGAATAGAAAAACAGGCAAAACACATGCATGGGACTAGAAATCAGAACAGTGGTTACCTTTTGGGGACTCTCAGCTGGGAGGAGGCAGGGGAGAGGTTTTGAGGTGGCAGCGAATGTCCTACTTCTTCATCTGGGTCATGGTTATACAGGTATGTGTACTTTGTAAACGTTAATGGAGTTGTACACCTATGATTTGTGCATTTCATGTATGTTTTACCTCAATTTAACAAGTTAACAAAAATATCTGAAAAAATCCATCTGGAAAGGAATTTTGTCTGATTTCTATGGCCATAGATATATCACTTGATGAGCAGAAGATAGATTTGGATCTAAACTAAGGACACATTTTCTAATACTTGGAGGTCTCTGAGTCACCCTGTACATAAGGCAAATTCAATCGGTCATCAATCAAAGTGATCAGTCCTTGGGGAGAGAAGCATGGTCATCTTGAATGAGCAGGCAACATGAAGAGCTGCTCAATTTGTCCAAGTTCACAGCCTGAATCTGCACCATGGACCAGCTTGCAGAACCACCAGTTTCAGTTGCTCATATAACTGAATGTGGCCTTGCTCAAGAATTTGAAGTGTGGTGAAGAAAAACCCCTAGGTTGGAAGGAGAAGGTGAGAAGACAGAAGCTCTTTAGGGAGCAGTACCATATTG
Organism: Homo sapiens; assembly: GCF_000001405.40. Classification (NCBI taxonomy): domain Eukaryota; kingdom Metazoa; phylum Chordata; class Mammalia; order Primates; family Hominidae; genus Homo; species Homo sapiens. The sequence continues at coordinate 130,530,753 of NC_000012.12, read as the reverse complement.
CAGCAGTTCTCATAAATCAGCTCTTGAAAAAGCAAGTGATTTTTTAAAAAAAGGCAATCAAATATTTTTCATTGCTTTGTCATTTGTGGCAGAATCCTAGGAGGCACATCCTTCATGTTAATAAAGTTATAATTGATAGGTTTTCCCTCAGGCACTAGCAGCTGGCAAGCTCAGAGCATAAATGTAATGTTCAGTCAATAGGTAAAAACCCTTTTTATGTGATTTCCTGGTATAAGGTTTTCTATATATTGTCCCCTTTTTCTTTTAAAAATTGTTATTCTTAGCTGCCTTATTGTATAAATATTTTTAGTATAAGCATTCTTAAGTCATTTTTTGGGAGTTAGGGGAAAATAGCTTATAAATTACTATGCATTGTATAGTCTGAACAAGCATTTGGTAGAGTCACATTTTGTGCAGGGGTTTAGTTCTAAAGTCAACACATTATACCAAAATCACATATAGAAAAAAATTACCCTTGCAAATCCCTAGGGAAGGAGCCATATTGAACATATCAAGTCTCGGTAAGTTCCCCTGGCGAAGTTTTCCCTCTAGTATTGGCGCAGATTGTTGTTGATTGGTAGAGAACCAAATGCAGTGGCTGGTTGTGTTTAGAGGTTCCACTGTCCCAAGAATGGATGTCCTTACACACCAGAGTGGCACTCAGGTGAGATTCTTTCAACAGGAGACACCCAGGGAAACATACTGTTGGGATATAGGTTTGTCTCTTTTCCCTTATAGTGTGGGTCACCAACCCCTGGGCCATGGACCAGCACAGGTCTGTGGCCTGTTAGGAACTGGGCTGCACAGCAGGAGGTGAACAGCAGGCGAATAAGCATGATCGCTTGAGCTCTGCCTTCTATCAGATCAGCGGCGGCATAAGATTCTCATAGGAGAGTGAACTGCACATGTGAGGGATCTAGTTTGCACACTCCTTATGAGAACCTAATGCCTGATGATCTGAGATAGAAGTTTCATCCCAAAACCATTCCCCCCACCCCAGTCTGTGGAAAACTTGTCTTCCGTGAAGCTGGTCACTGGTGCCCAAAATGTTGGGGACTGATGCCTTATAGCCCTTCAGACTCTTTTGCTGGGAGGTTGGGTGGTATCTTTTAAAAAGAAATTGACGTAAAATTGACATAACATAAAATTAACCATTTATAGTGAACAATTCAGTGGCATTTAGTACATTTGCAACATTGTGTGGCCATCACCTCTATCTAGTTCCAAAACATCTTCATCATCCCAAAGGAAACCCTGTACCAGCCAGGTAGCCCCTCCTCTTTCCTTCCTCCTTCCAGCCCTGACAGCCACGAATCTGCTTTCTGTCTCTGCAGATTTGCCTATCTTGAATATCTCATGTATGTGGAATCATACATGTGAACATTTGTGTCTGGCTTTGTCTACCTAGTGTGATGTTTTTGAGGTTCATCCCTGTTGTAGCGTGAATCAGGATGTCATTCTGAGGTTCATCCCTGTTGTAGCGTGAATCAGCATGTCATTTTTTGAGGTTCATTCCTGTTGTGGCATGAATCAGCATGTCATTTTTTGAGGTTCATCCCTGTTGTGGCATGAATCAGCATGTCATTTTTTGAGGTTCATCCCTGTTGTGGTGTGAATCAGCACGTCATTCCTTCTGTAGGCTGAAGAATCTTCCACTTTATGGACAGACCACATTTGGCTTATCCATTCATCCATCAATCGACACTTGGGTTGTTTCTGAATTTTGGTTATTATGAATAATGCTGCCGTGACATTTGTATATAAGTATTTGAATACCTGTTTCCAATGCTCTGGGCATAAGCCTGGGAGTGAATTGCTGGGTAATGTAGTGAGTCTGTTGAACTTTTTAGGGAACCACTAAACTGTTTTCTGCAGTGGCTGCACCATTTTACATCTCCACTGGAAATATATGAGGGTTCCCATTTTTGACCTCCTCAGCTGTGTGGCATAATTGTTCTCTCCTAAGTTCAACCCCATTGTTTTGGTAGAAAAGAGTTCCCTTTGGGGCTGCCTGTGTTCTGATTATACTGACCAATATGAAGCAAATATAAATTTAACTATGTTTCTTTTCCACTTGGAAGTCAGAGTATGCATTGCAGATACATGTAAGTTGATGAAGTACAATTATTGAGAGACATTTTTATTTTAAGTTATGGGGTACATGTGCAGGACATGCAGGTTTGTTACATAGGTAAACATGTGCCATGGTGGTTTGCTGCACCTATCAACTCATCACCTAGGTATTAAGCCCAGCATGCATTAGCTATTTTTCCTGATTCTCTCCCTTCCCCTACCCTCAACCTCCAACAGGCCCCAGTGTGTGTTGTTCCCCTCCCTATGTCCATGTGTTCTCTTCTCATCATTCAGCTCCCACTTCTAAGTGAGAACATGTGGTGTTTAGTTTTTTGTTCCTGCATTAATTTACTGAAGATAATGGCTTCCAGCTCCATCCATGTCCCTGCAAAGGACATGATCTCATTCCTTTTTATGGCTGCATAGTATTCCATGGTGTATACGTACCATGTTTTCTTTATCAAGTCTATCACTGATGGGCATTTGGGTTGATTCCATGTCTTTGCTATTGTGAATGGTGCTGCAGTGAACATATGCTTGCATGTATCTTTATAATAGAATGATTTATATTTCTTTGGGTATATAACCAGTAATGAGATTGCTGGGTCAAATGATATTTCTGGTTCTAGGTCTTCAAGGAATCATCACACTGTCTTCCACAACAGTTGAACTAATTTACATCCCCATCAACAGTGTAAAAGTGTTTGTATTTCTCCACAGCCTTGCTAGCATCTGTTGTTTCTTGACTGACTTTTTAGTAATCGCCATTCTGACTGTTATGAGATGGTATCTCATTGTGGTTTTAATTTGCATTTCTGTAATGATCAGTGATGTTGAGCTTTTTTGCATATGTTTGTTGGCCACATAAATGTCTTCTTTTGAGAAGTTTCTGTTCATGTTCTTTGCCCACTTTTTAATGTTTTTTTTTTTTTCTCTTGTAAGTCTGTTTAAGTTCCTTGTAGATTCTGGATATCAGACTCGTGTCAAATGGATAGATTGCAAAAATTTCCTCCCATTCTGCAGGTTGTCTGTTTGCTCTGATGATAGTTTCTTTTGCTGTGCAGAAGCTGAGAGAAGCCTTATTTAAAAGGTGAATGTAAATGTCATAAACTCACCTGAGAATCTGCTTCATGTATTATATTTTTCCACTTGAGCTTGTCTCTAACTTGTGTTAGGAACACAGTTTTTAAATAGCACCATGTGCTTCCCTGCAATTGCATTATTGGCATATGTGCAATGCTGAAATATCAAACAGATCAGGAATAGCATGTATCAGTCATGGTTGAAGCAAATTTCTGAAAATAGAAGGGAACTGAGAAGTTTGGAGTTGCTCTCTCCAGCCTCCCCCAGAACCCTCCCCCGACACTGGGAAACCAGAAGCAATTGTTTTAGTGCCAGTCCCTTTATTAGCATAGTATTTCACATTCAAATTGTCCTTTACGACTTGAAGAATACATTTATATGAATTATCTCATTTAAATTGCCAAGAATACTTAGGCTTAATAATTTTCCCCAAATTACATCTGGTCAGTGTTAGGATAGGCTTCAAACCCAGGTCCTCCAAGTCCCAACGGTCCCTCCACACCCTGGGATGACTTAGCTGACTGCCCTCGGCCTTAACCTCAAGGGGCGGGCGGGAGTAGGGCTCAGTGACCATCAGGACCCTGGACAGCAGCAACCACTCGCCTTCCACCCTGTGGTTTCTCCTTCTCTCCTTAGTTCAGGCTCCCTCTCCAGGCTTCCCACCAGCGGCTTTTCTTCCCTTCCCTTCCTTCACTTTACTCTCCCACCCATGCCTTTAGGCTAGAACCACTTATGAAGCCTTTTCAGAAAGAAAAAATATTACCAAGCACACTCCAGTGTTGACTTAGATTATTTTTATTTTACGTTATTATAATTGATAATTACATCATTCTTATATAATATTATTCTACCAGACTTGTATATTATAACTATATAGTCTATGTTTGAGCATAATATGGTTATATATTTATAATTCATAATGTAATTACATGTGTCCAGAGATAAAACTGGTTATAAAATTTTTATGGCTTTTCTAAAACATAAGGCCAAAATGAATGAGCAGATCAAAGAGAAACAACTTTAAGACACCAATAAAATTCAAAACCCAAACTCGCTGTGACTTAATGTGTCATATGATATTTAACTTAAATCACATTTCCTCTTATAAGTAAAGTTAATGCCTTTGTACAGTTGGCTGGAAGTTGACTCAATTCCTACCACTGATCTCTTTCAAACTCTTGCAAGATCTTTGATGCCTGAGCCTGTAGAAGTCATCTGGCTTTCATCGAGCACAAAAGCACCATTGGAGTTACCTTTCATTGTCTTTCAGCATCTCAGGACAGTCAATACGGTGATTCTTCAGGCCGGCACAGGAGGGCCCACAAACCCAAATGTAGATGTTGGCTTTCGTCCTGAATAGGGTACAAAATTGTTCCTTTATATATTCTTTTAGATTTCATGGAACTAAAAATACCAGGAAATATTTTTGTAGGCCCCCAAGACTGTATCTGTAGTCTCTAGTGCAAGGGAAGATACCCCAGGCTTTCCAGAACCCCCCACCCCTGCCAACTGGAGGCATTTCTGAACCTTCCTCTGGGCCTTGGGACCAAGGGAGTGGCTGGATGATGCTCTTCCTCAGGAGAATAAGAGGCAAATTGGGGCAGGGAGGAGGGGGTCTCAAACCTGACAGCTGCACAGCCCGGGCTTGAGTCCCACCCCTCCACATGCTCGGGGGAGGCTGCTCGCTCAGTTACTTAACCTCCTTGAGCTTGAATTTCTTCCCTTGACAAGCAGGATAGCAAGAATGTCTGCCACATGGCAGTGCTGAGAGGACTGGATGAGATTTCACAAAGAAGAGGAGGAAAGCAAAGAGCTTATGTTGGTTCTTGGCCCAGCGTAGAAGCCCAGGGGATCAAAGCTGCTGCATCATCCAACATGAGCCCCTTGGGTCATCTCCCCCCATACGATCTCATCCCCAAGTGCCCCGTCCTTCTCTCTGCTGCCCTCATGCCTTCCCCATGTGTCCATCTGCACCTGCCAATGCCCCCATGAACGTTACCACCCTCAGCCTTGACTGGGCTTCCTGGAGGGCTGCTGTTCCCGGCAGCTACCCACATTCCACTCGCCTGTGGGAGGAAGGAGGAGTTACTGACTCTGTGACTGCCTCCAGGGCATTCTCTACCTTCCTTAGTCATCCATGCCCCTAGGAGGCTCTAAGCATGACCTTGTCTCTCTGCGCCTCTTCTCACCCAGCACTCTGCAAAAAAGCATCTCCTCCCTCTTCCTCTTTATCTCCCACCCATTGATGCTGCCCTCTGCTTATCCCATCACCAGAGCCTCTCCTGGAGGTCACGGAGATGCCCGCAATGCTGCTTGGCTTCTGGGCAGTAGCTGACCTGCCGGTCCCCACTCTCAAGGCTCTGGTCACTCAGCTCCTAGAAAAGCCTGGAGCTGGCTTCCCATTGCTTCTGCCCTGCACTCTACAGGAACGGCTCATGCCCATTTGTGATGCTTGGGCTTCTCCCAGCTCTGTCTCCTGCTCCTTAATCTTGCTGAGAGCTCCTCCCCTCCTGTGACTCAAAGTGGTGTCGGTATCAGTGCAACTTTCACATCTGGGTCTGGGTCAGGCTCTCCTTCCTGAGCTCTGGGCCATGTGGGGACCTGTCCCCTGAGCATTCCCACCGGGCCTCACGTGGGGTCTCACACTCACCAAGCCCCAGCGCAACCGAACGTGCCCCATCCCTTAAACCTGCACTTTCTCCCTCCTCCCTGCCTCTGCAGCCCCAAGCCAGAATGTGGCACCTTCTTTTCTCGTCACCAAGCCATGCTATTTCACTTGCTTTAATAACTCCTGTACCCGCCTTCCTCTTTCTGCTTTCTGCTGCCATAATCTCAATTCTGGCCACTGGCACTTGTCCCCTAAATGAGTGCAAATTGGTCTCTTTGACTCCAGCCTGACCCTTCTTCAATCCCCTTAACACCCAGGACAGTATTTCCCAAGTGCAGATATTATTTTTCTATTATTTCACTTAAACACCTTTGACAGCTTCTGCATTTCATTCTAAATAAAGTACAAACTCCTCAGTGAGGTTCATGAAGTCCTCGCCACCCAACCCTTCTTGCCTCTTCACGTCTGCTACCCCCAGTGCCTGTCCAGCCAGAGCCCAGCTGTCTGTAGCTCTCTGCATGTGGTGTGTCCTCTCCACTGTGGGTCTGTGCATGGGGCTGGTCACTCATGAGGTGTATCCCCTGCTCACTGCAGCCTGGCTGGGCTCTGCTTGAGGCCACCGGGAATCTGGCCTGGCTCGGCTCTGCTTGAGGCCACTGGGAATCTGGCCTGGCTCATGCCTCTGGAACCACAGGTAGAGGACAAAGAAGAGCAGAGAAGAAGCTTCTGTACTCTTGGGAGGTTGCATCTCATTTACACAAGAATTAATTGCATTCATGTGATCAGAAAGACGTGGTGGGTTAATTACCATGTCCACTCTCACTGAGGAGCTTCCCGTGTCCAAATCCTGCCCTACTCAGGAGCAGTGTCCATCTCCAGGGCTGGGAGCACCACCCCGGCATCTGGAGGCAACCTCTTTGAGGCCAGCAGAGCAGAGGCTGCGAGGAAGCATCTTGCTGGGGCCTGTCCAGTGTGGCCAGGAGATTGGATGTTCATGGTTTTGAATCCTGTAGCGTGGATACCAGATCCTGAGAGCCAGAGACCTTGCTGTGCCCTTACATGCCTTTGTTATGTATTTGTGCTGGGTGGACCCTCTTCCCCACCTCTGAGACCAGACCTGTATCAGGAGATACCGAGAATTCCTCTCACCTCTCCCCATAGCAACTGGCGTTCCTGACATCTCAACCCAGAATGCCCTGCGCTGTCTGCTGCACCCACAAGGCTGGGGGCAGAGGGTGCTCCTCACCCACTCACTCAGGGCCCCCTGCTGAGCCCGGTACTGACACATACACACTCAGTGGTGGTGGTGGAGGGATTATTGAAATGAATAAAATTGACAAGTTTATTGAAAGAACGTGCTTTTTCCTTTCTCTTGTCAGTTTCTCCCCCAGAGAAGCGGCCACCTTGTCCATTGAAATGGGGATTTAACTGGAGCTCCTGATGGGGAAGGGGGTGTCTTCAGAAGACCCAGTTTCTTCCTTGACGAGCCCTTGAGCTGCCTCGGGAGACACTGTGAAGGCTCCTGTCCATGTCTCGTTGCTTTAGCAGAGGCTATACACTAGCTCAGGCTGCCATAGCAGGATCCCACAGACCGGGCAGCTTAAATGACAGAGCTCTCCTCTCTCTCAGTCCTGGAGGCTGGAAGTCTAAGACCAAGGTGCTGGCTGATTCGGTTCCTGGTGCGAGCCGCTTCTTGACTTGCAGATGGCTGTTTTCTCACTGTGTCCTCACACGGCCAGGTAGTGGGTAGGGGACAGAGAGAGATGGAGGCAGAGAAACCCCCCCCAACACAGAGAAATAGAGACAGAGAGGCAGAGAAACAGAGACACAGACAGACATGGAGGCAGAGAGAGAGAGAGAGGCAGAGTGAGACTGGGAGAGACAGAAGAAGCAGAGAAACAGAGACGTGGAGACAGAGACAGAGAGGCAGAGAGACATAGAGACAGAGCCAGAAAAATGAACAGAGAGATAGACATAGAGGCAGAAAGAAAAACTAAAACCGAGGCAGAGTGAGACTGAGAGAGAGGGGGAAAGAGAGGCAGGCAGCGAGACCGAGATCGTCCTCCTCTTAGAAAGCCCCGGTCCCTGTTGGATTAGGATCTCATGACCTCATGTAACCTTCCTTACCTCCTAAGAGTCCCATCTCCAAATAGAGTCACCCTGGGGGCTAGGGCTTCAAAGTACGAATTTGGGGAGATGCAATTCAGTCCACAGCAGGCAGGGAGACAGCCTCAGGCACTGTGGGCCATCCTCCGTGGAAACCCACCTCCTCCTCCTCTCCCTGCGCACAGGAAGTCCGTGCCTCCCTGGGGCTCCCTGCACCTCCCCTCACCCCACCTGCACTTGGACTCTGCACAAGTCCAGCTGCTTTTACGCAGCGCCCCGCCTTGAAGTCGAATTCCGCCTGTAGATGTGTCTATTTTGGGAAGGAGCCCATGGTATGTGTGTTTTGAGTTAGTAGCCACCATATCCAAACAGGGATGTTTTGGATGGAAACCCAGTGTCCCAGCTCCTAAAGACACAGACAGCTGTCAGGGCCAGTTCCCGTCCCCACGTGGCACCCGCAGGAGGGACAGGGTCGCAGCTGCCCTCTAAGACTGGGGCCTGGGCTGGCCGGTTGCCATGTTCCCCGAACCTCTAGCACCTCTGGCCCTGTCCACTGAGTGTGTTACACGGCTCTCCCTGTGGGCAGTGGCGTTTGAAAGGCTTGCCTTGGCCCTTTTCCTTCCTCCCTCATCCTCATTAGAATTCACTTTTTGCCCATGATTTTGCAACACAGCAGCTAGAAAATCAAATAAGGCTATTCCTGTTTAATGTGTTAGTGGATATTAATGGATTAAAATATCTCCTTAACTGGCACGTTCTGTAGCTGCCCTGGGAGGGGGATTTCAGGGACATGTGGCCCTAGGAGTCCTCACATCCAATCCCAGAATGCTCTGATGGGCATAAGTGGAGGTAAGGAAGTGCCCTTCCTTTTTGTGGCTGCAGACAATTAAATTCCACAGACTGTGTGTTTTGATTCTTACAGGGTAGGCTCTGTCTCATGAGGGCATCCACTGGCTGGGAAACCCTAAACCCTCTTTTGTGTGGCTTTAACCTCAAAGGATTAGAGACTGAAACGATTCCATTGCAATGCTTACATGTCCTTCCCTGGAAAAAAAGCCATTACATTTCTGAAGAAGCAAGAAGATATCTGGAAGCTGGGTTTTCTCTTTTCACAATTGTTATTTCAGGTCACAAAGCTAAGACGGGGGTGGTGCCTACAGCTGGAGCTCAGAAAGTTCTCCCCGTCAGGGTCCCAGCAGTGTGGGAGTCATGGGCTTCCTGTCACTAGGCAGGGGGCATGAGGCATCACACTCGACCACTAGCACTCAGATGTGGTCAGTACTCAACAGCGTCAAAGCCCCACTATGGGGGAACCCAGCAAGTGTGTCAGTTACATTGTGGTGTGGGACCACGCGTGCGTTTGTGTGATCTGACTGACGTGCTGGTGCCTCCCCCTAGGCTGTAGAAAAGCTTGTTAATCAGAGTGTCAGATTATATTAGACCCCCCACACCCCCAATCCTCCTCTTCCTCCTCCTGGGAACTGTCACGGCTAGTGCCACTGGTGCCGGCTGCTGGGGGACTCTCGTTTTGTTGTGTTGCGATTCCAGGCCCACATTTGGAGGCCTTCTGATCTCAAGCGTGCAACCAGCACATAGGTGATCTGCATTTCTTGGTATTCCTGCAAAATTTCTTCAGTGGTGCTGATTGATTCAGAAAGGCTTGATTTGATTGGGGTAGTGTCCACCTCCCTGTGTGGACAGCTCTGGTAGCACACAGGGTCAGTTATGAGGCCTTCCAGGTTAAGCCATCTTGCCTTTCAGCATCTTCACAGGATCAGAAGGGTGAGAGGTAGGCATTTTCTGATTTCCCCCCCAAGGCCTGCAAACACATGCATGTCAGGGTGGTATCCATGCCTGCCACTGCAGGGGACAGTGGGGACCAATGCCGGCTTCCCTGCTGAGCTGCTTGTGGAACCACACGTCCCCATGCCCACCTCTGGGCTTCTTCAGGGTAAGCATGGACAACGTGGGATGCTCATAATCTGGCAAATAAAGTCTCATAGTATGAGAAGGCTCAAGCTGGTACCTTTGCTGTTTTCTTTGTGCCTTTACCTGGCTGTCTGTGTCACTGAATGGGTTTCCTTTACCATCATGGTAGGAAGGGCTTTGGCACTTGGCTAAGTTTTTTGTGATTCTTGAAGTGTGAGGTAGGGGGTCGTTAGTTTCAAGTAGATCTCCCTGTGACTGGCTTTTTTTTTTTTTTTTTTTTTTGAGATGGAGTTTCACTCTTGTTGCCCAGGCTGGAGTACAATGGCGTGATCTCAGCTCACTGCAACCTCTGCCTCCCGGGTTCAAGTGATTCTCCTGCCTCAGCCTCCTGAGTAGCTGGGATTACAGGTGCCCACCACCACGCCTGGCTAATTTTTGTGTGTGTGTGTGTTTTTAGTAGAGGCGGGGTTTCACCATGACCAGGCTGGTCTTGAACTCCTGACCTCAGGTGATCTGCCCTCCTTGGCTTTCCAGAGTGCTGGACTGGCTTTTTTAGGGTAGGGTGTGCCCAGTATAGTAAGTGGTATCTGAAGTGCCTGTTCACGCTTGGACCAATTTGGGAAGCTACATTGGAAAGAGACGAAGATGTTTCTCTCCCTTTGCATTGGGATATCATGGGTTGGTGTTTCCTGGACAGGATTTAGATCCTGAGCTTTTTTCCTGAAAAGACTGATTTCATTTCATCAGGATAAGCAACTGACCTTGAATCACTGAGATGGAATATAAATAAAATAAATAGATGTAAGCATTTCTATAACCACCAGAAAATTGGGTGAAAGACCAGCCTTGTTTATCTTCCCTGTGCTCCTTTCTTGCAATTCACTCTTCCTAAATGCGATGCAGAGAGAGGCGGATGGCATGAACCAGGTGGCTGTGTGGTGGCAGAACGTGGAAGAGGCAGGCAGTCATTGCAATGCCTTCAGGAGGGAAGGGGCCACTTGTTTGAGCCTTGACCCTGTGCAGTAAGATGTGCTCTGTGTTCCGTGAGATTGATGTCCTTGAATCCTCACAACATCTGCTAGGGTTGCAGCTTTTACCTCCTTAAGTCACAGAGAGTGCAGAGAGGCCAGGCAGCTTGTCCAAGGTCACATTTAAGGAGAGCTCCCATTTGTATTTAGGCAATTTGACCTCAGAACCCATAATCTAACCCCTATTTCAAATGTCTCTTGTTCTCAAATTCTCTGAGCTATTGCTGCCTTAGTTTACCTTGGGGCATGTTGGTCTCTGAGGTCAGCAGCCAGGTATTTTGATTAGTACACCCATCCCATCCCCTTAAGACCTCCAGGGATTCCCCCATGTGGGACATGCTGAAGAGGCTGCAGTTCTCTCAAGCAACCAGTGTGGGACTACATTATGATCTGCTTTACTTGAGAAAGGCAACAATAAATGTTATGCCATCCAGACCATCTCAGAAGACAGAAGGGAATTGCTCCATTATCAATCACTTTCCCTAAGGTTGGGTAATCATTGTTTCCCGGAACAAAGCACCACCGTCTTTTATGTTTGGGTTCCTTCGCTGTGTTTTATTGCTGTGAAAATGTAGCTACCACAGAGTAGCGGAGCTCATTATGACTGTGGCTAAGAAAAAAGGAAGGTTGACTGAAAAATGGAAGCTGAAAATGGCCAGGAGGAGCCTCTCTCCTAGTGGGAAGTGTTGAAACCACGTGATTTCTTGCTGCTTTTCTGATGTGTGAATGGAGCCTAGACTCTGAGCACTCGAAATATTGTAACAGAGATGAACCAGATCAATTCAAGATGTGGGTGTCCCACCAGTATTAATTTATTTAGGGTGTGAACAGAGAACAAACTTGAACAATTGGGAAAAAGAGAAGTTCTCAGCCTGACAGCTGGTAGCTGGTGTGGTTCCAGCTGCCTTCCACTGTGAGTCATTGATTATCCCTTCTGCTTCTCTTCCTTTTGGAATGGATGCCATTCCTTCTTTTAGGATTCTAAACTTATTGAAGTCCTTTTCAGGTTGCTTTATTATTTTTATTTCCTCTGGAGTAAATTTATCCTGATTATTAAGTTTATGAGATCTCTTTAGTAGGGTTAGTTCTCTTTATGTGTTCTGGAATTTCTCTTTTCAGACTCATCTTGAATGAGAGATTCTTAATCCCATCTCTGTGCTCACTCTCCCTGTCTTACTTATTTGTAGTTACTGTACCACACCCTAGGTGATCTCAGTCTTGAATTAGATTTTATTATTGGCAGCTCCGAGTTCCTGTGCCATGGTGATAGTAGAGAGTAAGACAAGTCCTAAAACTGAGCCTAAAAATGAGTTTTCTCCCTCTTGCCTCTCTAGGTGCATGACCCCATAAAAGCTCTGGCTCTAGGTGGAGGTGATGGATTATTTTCAGCTTTCTTTGGGGGCTTAACTGTTGCCTCAGGTCATGTGGTGACCTTAGTTCATGTCTCTTGTCTTATGTGGAATACATTGAATCTTGGATATCTTGAAAAAGCTGGACTCTTAATTCTCCCTGCCTATTTTTGGACTCTGAATCTAGAAGGTTCCAGAAGTTCCGCTCACCACATTGTGGTCTAGCCATTTAGTCCTTAGAATGCTTTATCTTATTTTTGAGTGGCTAAATATTTCTAAACTTTCTCTGTCTATTGTTTATTGTGGCTGTATGTTTGGAGCAGTGTTCACGGGAAAAAGGATGGGTCAAAGCTTATTAACAACTCCAATTGGCGAGAAGTTCCGTTGCTTTTTTAGGACACAGACACTAAGTGATTAATATGTATTATTGTATTATATTCTAATCATCGTATAATATAACATGATTGCCTTTTGTAGATTTGGAAACTTATGGTTTGGAAAAAAGAGAGAAATCAGTCCCAACTCATACACAGCTTATGGATTGCAGAATCAGTGCCCAACCTTGGGTCTCATTACCACATTGGAGCTCCTAACCACTGCACTCTACCAAGTCTCTAAACATGGGGGCACCATCTCACATGTCCTTTCCTTTTGTCCTAGGAAAATGAACTGAAGGATGCCACCCAGGGAGAGTATCTCCTGAGATCCCATCATGCAGGCCTTCCCACAAGGGCCCGGCAGCATGACAAGGTAGCTGATACCACTGTCCACAGACCATCTGGGGCCCTGGAGGGAGCGGGCTGGGCCAGGGAGGAACAACTGGGAAGGGGCAGGGAAGAATCACTGAACATCAGTGTGAAGGTGGCCTGAGAGGCTGAGCCAGGTCTCTCTCACTTCTTCACATGACCAGCACGTGAGGCACCCAGTGATGTCTCATCCACTATCTGCTGGTTATCTCTGCTTGGAAGTCTATTAGGCACCTGTATCTTTAACAGCAAGGCAGAACAAACCCATTGGTGCCCACTCTCCCAAACCACTTTCTCCCCAGTGAATGGTGTGGCCACTCCTGGTTGCCTGAGCCTCCATGATGGGGCCTCCTGGGCGCTGCTCTTTCTTCATCCGAATCTAACTCCCTGCTCAAGTCTGTTTTCTGTTGCTTATAACAGAATACCTGAAACTTGGTACTTTATAAAGAAAAGGAATCTATTTCTTAAGCTATGGAGGCTGAGAATCTAAGGTTGAGGGGCTGCATCTGGTGAGGACCTTCTTGCTGATGAGGACTCTGTAGGGTCCCAAGGTGGTATAGGGTGCCCCGCGGCAAGGGGACTGAGTGTGCTCACATACCAGCTCAGGGCTCTCTTCCTCTTCTTATTAAGCCAGCAGTTCCACTCCCCTGATAACCCACTGGTCCATTAACACATTGATCCATTAATCCATGAATGGACCTATCCATTCATGAGGGCAGAGTGCTCATGATTCAGTCACCTCTTAAAGGCCCCACCTCTCAGTACTGCCCTGTTGAGGATTAAGTTTCCCACACATGGAATTTGGGGGATGCATTCAAACCATGGAGCGCACCAACCACTCATCTCAGCACCAGACGTGCCCCAGCTCTCCTCCCCCTCCTCTCCACTGTGGTCATCTTCTCTTTCCCAGATGCCAAAGCCATTTCCTAACTGGCCTGTCTAGCTCCCTTGTCATCCTGTGGTCTTTTCCCTATGGCAACTGGAGTGATCTTGTGATGCCCTCTGGATCATGCAATCCTCTGACCCTTCCAATGCCTTCCATAAATAAAACTGAGGCTTCTCCCTGTGGCTGCCATCCTGTCCATCTTGCTACCTCTCGTCCACCTCTGACTTACTTTTGTTCCTTGGATCCCTAAGCTTGTCTCAGCATTTGATGGTTGTCTCTGCTTAGAACACTCCACTCCATCATCTTCAACAGCTGGGAGCTTCTTGCCTTTCAACCCTCAGGTTACGCGTCCCTCCTGGTAAGGATTCGTGGCTCTAACGTCCACTCTAACAGCCCTCCCTCCATCCCTTTTTTCTCTATGTGACAACACCTGTTTTCATGTTCTTTGTATCTTTTCTTGCTATCTTAGTCTATCACGGGTCTTCACTTATGTGTTTGTCTGTCTCCTACGAGAATGTGGGCTTGGGATTGCAGAGAGCTTTGCTGTTACATCCATGACTGTCTCTCCTGTACCTTCAAAGGATGCATAGCGGGTGCTCAGTCAACATCTATTGAATGATGGGTTGTTTTAAGCTGTTAATTTTGCAGCTTTGCCCATGCATATTTCAAGGAATAACTGAGCTCTAGTGATTAAATATAAAAATTAGAGTTGTCTTGATTTGACACTTATTTTCTTGCCTTCCTGTCTGGCCATTTTTTAAAGGTATGTTTTTTAGGAAATTACAAGTGTTGATGAGGATGTAGGGAAACTGGAATCCTGCACATTGTTGCTGGGAATGTAAAATGGTGCAACCACTATAGAAAACAGTATGGAATTTGCTCAAAAAATTAAAAATAAAATTGCATATGATCTAGCAATCCCAATCCTGGTATAAGAATTGAAAAGGCAGTCACGTGTGGTGGCTCACACCTGTAATCCCAGCCCTTTGAGAGGCTGAGGTGAGTGGATCACCTGAGGTCAGAAGTTGGAGACCAGCCTGGCTAACATGGCAAAACCCCATCTCTACTAAAAATACAAAAATTAGCTAGGTGTGGTGGTGCACGCCTGGAATCCCAGCTACTTGGGAGGCTGAGGCAGGAGAATCGCTTGAACCTGGGAGGTTGAGGTTGCAGTGAGCCGAGATCATGCCATTGCACTCCAGCCTGGGCAACAGAGCAAAACTCAGTCTCAAGAAAAAAAAAATTGAAAAGGAGGGTCTCAAATAGATATATGTACATGTTACAAATTTATAGTAGCCAAAAGGTGGAAATAACCCACATTTCCACTGATGGACGAGTGAATAAACAACATGTGACATATGTGTCCAATGGAATATTACTGACCCTTGAAAAGGAAGGAAACTCTGACACACGCTACTGCATGGATGAACCTTGGGGACATTTTGCTAAGTGAATAAGCCAGTCCCAAAGGGCAAACACTGTTTGATTCCACTTATATGAGGTTCCTAGAGTCATCAGAGCCATAGAGACAAACAGTAGAATGGAGGTGCCAGGGGCTGGGTAGAGGGGGGATAGGGAGATGCTGTTTAATGAAGACAGAGTTTCAGTTGGGGAAGAGGAAGAGAGTTCTAGAGATGGGTGGTAGTGACAGTTGTAAAACAGTGCGAATGTCCTTAATGCCACTGAAATACCTACATGTAAAATAGTTAAGATGGTAAATTTTATGTAATGTGTATTTTATCATAATTTTTCTTAAAAAGGTGTGTTTTAGGCTGGGCACAGTGACTCTCTCCTGTAATCCCAGCACTTTGGGAGGCCGAGGCGGGCGGATCACGAGGTCAGGAGATTGAGACCATCCTGGCTAACACGGTGAAACCCCGTCTCTACTAAAAATACAAAAAATTAGCCGGGCGTGGTGGCCGGTGCCTGTAGTCCCAGCTACTCTGGAGGCTGAGGCAGGAGAATGGCATGAACCCGGGAGGCAGAGCTTGCAGTGAGCGGAGATCACGCCACTGCACTCCAGCCTGGGCGACAGAGCAAGACTCTGTCTCAAAAAAAAAGTGTCTTAATATATCCTGACCCTCCAATTAGTATGCTTTCCCCATTTTTCCACCAGCCCCCACTTTCCAAACCTACACTTGCAGGAAAGGCTCTGCTAAACTCACTCACACTGAGGTCTGAATGCATCATAAGGCTTAGTGACTTTCTTAGGACAGGAGTATTTTTCTTCAAATAGGAGGAAAAATATAAAAAAGATGGGGGTGCTTCAGGCCTCCAGCGCAGGCTGACGACAGGGCTGGTGGGGAGCTGGGCACAGGGAGGTCGGATCCTGGGATGGCTTTCTTCCTACGACTAAAATAGCTGCATGTGTACACGTTCCACTCCTGAGCTGGGCTCCTGCACCTGGAGAGGCAATGCCAGCTGTGGGGGGATGGGGGTGCTGGAGCTGAGCCCTGCAGGCATTGACCAGGCCAGCAAGGGCCGGCGGAGGTGGGGGTCCCAGCGCTCAGCCCTCACAACAGAGGCAAAGGCCTCCTTTCCTGGATGGCTGGTAGTGCAGCTTGACATCCCTGCTCCCGCAGGATTCAAACCACTTTGTTTGTTTGCTTGAGGTTTGAATTTCTCCCCCTGCTGTCTTCTCAGCTTGGCCTTTTAAACAAGGCTGCAAGGCACAGGAAATGAGCTGGCCTTTGCTTCTGCTTCTTATGGGTGTCTGAGGGAGCCCAGCAGCTCACCCGGCATGGACAGGAATAGCAGTGCTTTGAGAGAGGCAGCAGGGGCACCCCAGATCTGTCCTGCAGCCTGCTTTGCGGAGCTTGGCTTTCCTTCCAAGTGCCTGGGCTGGCTACCTGCATGGGAGGCATTGAGGGAGTGGCAGTCCCCAGAGACTGTCTCTTGGGCTGAGCATCTTTGTGGTAGCTGGGGAGGCTGAAGGTGTGGGGGTGACTTTGTGCTGATGGAAGTATTCAACTGTCCCTCCAGACTCATGGGTAGGCTTGTCAATGCAAACCTGCAGAAACAACAGTGTCCTTCTGGATCCCTGGAGACACTTGGGGATCAGCAATTCCCCTATCTGATTCTTGCTTGGAATTGCAAAATGCTTTTCAGTAGCACTGATTAAGAGATGGAAATTAATTCTCAGAGCTCTTAATTATGAATGCAAAGAGACTGCAGTGTCAGCATTTTTCCCTGTGCGGAAATGATTGGTTCTTAGGTGCAAACTGTGATGTTGGGCTGTCTGGAGTGTTGAATTGGATTCTCTTAGGCAGGCAGCCTTGTGGGAGGAAACCGATGAGCTGGGATCCAAGACATAGTGCAAAGAATATGCTTGATGCCTTTGAAGCTGCAAAACTAACCTTTTGTTGATTTCAGAAAAATAATTCAAATTTCTTCTCTGTTTGGGTTAGGAGGTGCCTGTTAAAGCTCCCTCCTCCCCGCACTGGGCCACTGTTCCTGTAGCAGGTCTGAGGTTCAAGGTTTTCGTCACATTGAGTAGCTGATGCCAAATATTCCAAGCTTCTCTTCCACCTGGTGCCACCGTTGCTGCCACAAGAATCTATTTTGAAACAGAAATGAGTCCAGTGTCTGGATCTAAGTGAAGAACAGTTCACTCTTATGAGATTTTTTTAGAGAATAAAATCCAGTCCAGTGTCTGGATCTGATGCCCAGGGTTGCTAATGTGCTGTTGTGTTTGTGTGTGGTGAGCAGGTCTTGGAGAATCACTCAAACCCTGTTAGTACCTGACATTCTGGAGCTGGGCACTAGTAGGTCATTAAGTTCATGACCCATGAGCACATGCTGTAGCATGGGTCAGAATTTCCTACAACCTAGGGAATCCTCTTACCTGCTGGCCAGAAACCCAAAAGGTTGTAGAAGTATAGGCACAGCTAGGAAACACTGGTATGAGATGGCAACCATGCAACTTACTAGCAATTTCCCTCTTTAAACATTTTTTTTCCTAGTAAAAAAATTATGAAAGTTTAAAAGGATGACACACATAGACATTTGGGATTCGTGAGGCTTAGTTTTTGACTGAAAGGTGAGTGTCCAGCCCAGGGTTGCAGCTGAATATTATTCTCTAAAAAAAATCGCATAAGAGGGAACTGTTGTTCATCTTGCATTTCATCAGGACAAAGGAAGAATCGTCTGGGCTCCTAACCTGGAACATCTGGGATGTTTTTTCTTTGGTTGTGTGTCTTAGTGAAAATCTCTGAGTCATCTTTGTCACTCTGAGTCCACTTTCTCCTTTAGTAGGAGACTGATTTGGCCCTTGAGAACATCCAGGAGACTGTTCTAGTCCAGGAGCAATGGGACAGGGACCCAGGCCGGGTGCGGTGGCTCACGCCTGTAATCCCAGCACTTTGGGAGGCCAAGGCGGGTGGATCACCTGAGGTCAGGAGTTTGGCACCAGCCTGGCCAACATGGAGAAACCCTGTCTCTACTAAAAATACAAAAATTGGCTGGGCATGGTGGAGTGCACCTGTAATCCCAGCTACTTGGGAGGCTAAGGCATAATCATCACTTGAACCCAGGAGGTGAAGGTTGCAGTGAGCCAAGATCATGCCACTGCACTCCAGCCTGGGCGACAGAGTGAGGCTCTCTCAAGAAAAAAAAAAGAAAGCAATGGACTTTGAGGCAGAGACCTTGATGCAGCGGGGATCCCAGCACCCCTATATTGTGCTCAGCCAGAGGCCAGGGCATTTGTCAACCAAGGACCCATCCACCAAGACTCCCTGGCACGAGCTGGGCTGCAAAGCCCAACCAGGCAGAGAAGAAACTGCCAGGCTGTCTTCTGGGCTACCGGCCCCAGGCGCCAGCATTTGAGTGGCCCGTGGGAGCCAATATTTATCGTGTTTTAATTTAGTGGCATCAGTCCTCTATCCAGGTGGGATCAGCGGCTGCTGAATTAGAGAACGCCCCCTTCTCCAGGTTTATCAGCTGGGGTTATTTCCAGCTGCCCCTCACAGAAGCCTGAGCTTGGTGGGTTTCATACGAAGGGCACTGTTGTGCTCAGGAAGCCCAGAGGTGGTGACCCTGGCCAGAGGCAGCTGCCTGGAGAAGGAGCCAGGGCCCAGGGGCTCCTGTCCAGCAGAGACGTGTGTGGAGGGTGGCTTCCTTGACACCGAGACAGGTGGTATTCCATCTCGAAGGGTCGCATCCCCACTGTGGTGGGAGGAAGAGGGGCTGAAGCTTTTCTCACGAAGCTCTGTTTCATGAAAGGTCATTGTCCTCTAGAGATTTCTGCTCCAGGCTCATCAGAACCGTGTCACAGACGGTCTCAGTCTGGTCCCAGCAGGAGAGAGATGGCGCATACTCCAAAAGCAATTGAGGGTTGCTAAGCATTCTTAAGGAGGTGCAGGCAGGGTTAGGGGAGCCACTGGGGTGACTGAAGCCCTGGGGGCTGTACCAGTAGAGGAAGTGACAAACCTTGACTTGGGGGAATAGGGAGGGGTGGGACCCAGCTCACTGGGGCTTAGGGCTTTCCAGGGACAGATGCCAGTTGTTGGTGTAGAGTGACAATTCGACGCGTGCTCGCGGTAACGAGGACTGCTGTTTAGCTGATTTCCGCATCAGTTGCCTATTGCTGCTGTGACAAATTCCTACAAGCACACACACCACCGTGTCTCACCGCTCTGGAGGTCTTCAGTCCTAAAGTCAAGATGTCAGCAGGCCGGTGTGCTTTCCTGAGGCTCTGGGGGACAGTCTCTCCTCTTGCCTTTTTTTGGCTTCCTTCCCTGATCTTCAAAGCTGGCAGCAGAGCATCACCTAAGCTCTCTCTTTTTTGTCTCTGACTCTGCTTTTCCTGATAAGGGCTCTGTGACTACGTAGAGCCCATCTGGATAACCCCGGTGCTCTCCCACTCTCAGGATGCTCCATGCAATCCCATCTTCAGGGTCCGTTCTGCCACAAAAAGTGATATATTCACAGACTTTAGGAATTTGGATGTGGACATCTTTGTGTGGGGCCGTTATTCAGCCATTATACATCCAGGAAATCAGTCTTTTCGGTTCTCCCTCCCCCTCCTTGTCCACACACCCTCTCCTCCTTGTTGCGAACCAGAGCCATGGCCTTCATCATTCTGGTAAACAAAAAGATGACACTATGGGGAATTTTAAGTCAAAGAAATGCAAAACCATAATTGTGGCATGAGACGAGGTCCATGAAAGAGTAAATATCAGCCGGGTGAGGTGGTTCACATCTGTAATTCCAGCACTTCGGGAGGCCGAAGTGGGCAGATCACTTGAGGTCAGGAGTTCAAGACCAGCCTGGCCAACATGACAAAACCTTGTCTCTCCTTAAAATGCAAAAATTAGCCAGGCATGGTGGTGTGCACCTGTAACCCCAGCTACTTGGGAGGCTGAGGCATGAGAATCCCTTGAACTCAGGAGGTGGAGGTTGCAGTGAGCCGAGATTGCATCACTGCACTCCAGCCTGGGTGACAGAGCGAGACTCCATCTCAAAAAAAAAGAAAGAGTAAATGTCATTGGCTTGCCCCGAGGTCCTCCATGGACTCTGTCTGGACTCTTCACCTTCCTCCAAGATCTTTCCTTTTACTTTGCTTATGAGCATCACCTCGAGGTCAACACACCCATTCGTTCCCCCAACATTATTGCCTTAAGTCACTGCAATTGCCACCATATTGTCCACTGCAGAAACACAGTGTTTCCACTCTACCGTATTAAATTTAGCTCCCTTCTAGCTCTACTGTGGGACAAATAGGATTTAGGGGCCAGCTGGACTCTAGCTTCTGGCGCCGTTTGTAACACACCTGTGGGAGAATGCGTTCCGGTGCCCGGTGATTTCTTTCCAGGTTCACACTGGAACGGCAGCCTGTCCGCAGGTTGGAGGTTGTCTGTTCTTGACCAAAGCACTGGATGCTGACCCTTAGAAGGCAATTCCTGACTGTCCAGTGCTCTTATAAAAAGCTGGATAATAAATGCATCTTCATGCTGGGTTCTGCACATGGAGCCTGAAACCCAAGTTGGCTTCTCTGTGAAACACGAATCTGAATCGATTCCTCCCCAAACTAGAAACTCCTTATGTAGGGAGCCTCTGAGCCATCATGGTGCTTCTGGGCTGCTAATGTTTTTTCCTTTGGAGATTTTACCCATCAGGGTCACAATAGCAAATACACAGCACTTGCAAACTGGAGGATGGAGCAGAGTTTAGAAAAGAAAGTACTAACAAAGGTGTGGGTGCTGTTGCCGGGGCGGGGGGGCAGAGGGCATGGGCAGGACACCTGCAAAGGAGGTTGGGAGTCTGAGACCAGCAGAGGCCGGGGGCCATGGCCACCTGCTATGGGTACAGGGAGAAGGGTGTGGGAGAGGCCCTCCCTGTAGAAGGACACTGTTGGGGGTTACCCCAGTTCCACCACCCAGTGGGAGGACTCGCAGGGCTCAGTGTGCAGCTGCCCTTAGGGCTGTGACTTATTACAGCAAAAGGACACATAGCACAGGTGGCAAAGGGAGAGGCACACAGAATGAAGCCGGGGTAGACCAGGTACAGGCTCTCCAGGTCGTCTCCCAAGAGGATTCCCAAGAATCACACAGGATGCTTAGAGGACCTGCAGCTGCAAGCTGTGATGTGTGTGAAATGTCATCTGTCAGGGAAGCCCATTAAAGCCTCAGCAGCCAGAGTTTTTATGGGGACCTGGTGGCATGGGCACTCTCTGTCCGGCACATACTGAAATTCCGACTCCCAGAAGGAAAGGTGTTCAGCATAAACTGTCCTGTTCAAGTGGCCTAGATGTGGTAAGCCGCCCTAATCAATTAGGGAAGGTAGGAATTCTCCCCAAATCCTGCTTCCCAGGCCTCCAGCCAAGGGCCAGGCTCGCCAGCAGCCTTTCTAAGGGGAGCAGCTCAGGGTAATCCCTGCAGGCTGGTGGGGAGGGCCGGGGGCCGGGGGTCATGCTGATCCATCATTTCTTGATCATGTCTTCCACTGGGCAAGCCTGATTAGAAGCCGGATGGTACGGGGGGTGCAGGCCATGAGGATGAGCCTCTCAGGACACAAAGGGGGATTGATGACAGTGGGGCCTGTGTCTGGGAGGGCTGACAGCAATAGTCCACCCAGGAGCCAGGGCCACCTTTCCACTCTTGGAAATTTCCTCAACACCATTCCATTCAGTACAAAAATCTTGCTCGACCACTGACTCCCTGCCAGGCGGTCCTCTGGGCGCTGATGATGGGAAATTGCAAGGCAGAAGAAAACTTCTGTCTGGTGACACTTCTGTTCCAATGAGGAGCAGCCACAGGAAGAAGGCAAACAGCCGCAGAGGACAGTGCTGAGCACACGTGGACACCAAAGCATGGTGGTGTGGGAGGGAGGGGCATGGAGGCAGGGGGTGAAGGCAAGGGTTTCGTCACCTTGCAAGGGTTGGGAAGGCCTGTCTGAGGTGACACCTAATGAGAAGGAGCCAGACCTGAGCAGACTGGGGCAGGGCCGGGTAGAGATCTGCAGGCAATGGAATCAGCAGGTGCAGGGGCCCCGGGGTGGGAAGAAGCTTGACCTGTTTAAGGGACAGAAGGAGGCCAGGGTGTCCCCAGCATAGTGGCAACAGGGTAGCAGGTGGGTAGGACTTTTAGACCACCAAGGAGTTTGGATTTTATTCTAATTTCTGTGGAAACCACAGAAGGTTTCAAGCAGGGAGAGGCAAGATCTGGCAGGTATTTCAGAAAGATGGTGCTGGTCACCGTGTGAGACTGAATTTAGGGGCATTCAAGCATGACCCCCAAGTCCTAATGTTCTTGAACAGCTAGGATGCAAGAAGTGATGCTTTCTGCAAACCTGCACCCCAGGGTATTGAGGTTCAGAAGTGAGGGTGGTTTAATTCAAATAGGTCGTGACATTTTCTCCGGGGGCATTTGGATTATTTCTCTAAGTTCGTTGCCTGATAACATCACGTTGCAGCAAAATGGCATTAAAATATTCCTTCGAATGAGACCTCTCTACGACCTCTTAATAACAGCTTTCCTGTAACCCTGTTCCCATTTGGGAATGCCAAGTGGGTGCCTCCCTTTCTTTTGGTGCCCCAGAAGTTGTCAGGTTAAACTAACACTCAGTACAGAATGTATTTGAAATAGAAAGGACTTCTGCAGCTGAAAAGCGTGACATTATGTTAGTCTGTTATTGAAGCCATAATTCACATCATAACACTTGAGGAGGAGGAAAAGAAATTACAAGGCTGCCGTTGGGTTAAAACATGTTGCCTCCACAATGAAAATGAATGGGAAAGGAACCATGGTGACTTCTTTCGTTGACAGCATCCCCTTACTTGTTTCGAAGAGGAGAGAGACTGAACATGGCGCTTGCCTTCCCAATAAGCTTGTAGCTTGGCCCTGGGGGTTGTGGCCTGAGAATGGAATTTATGTGGTTTTTGGGTTTATTGGGGGAATGCATTCTAGTTCATGTGGAATTTCATTGGCATTTTTATTCACTTTTAAGATGAGATAAAATTTTTAGACAAGAATAAATATGCTTAGACAGTGGGAAAACACTTGTATCTGTTAGGGCTCTCATAGTTACAGGGGACAGACGATTCAAATTGGTGTAAGCAAACAAGGAGAATCTATTGGTCCAAGTGACTGAAAAGGAAAAGACAATTAGCTTCAGGCTCAGCTTGATTTGGGTGCTCAAATGATGCCATGGGGATCCTGCTTTTCCCTCTGCATCTCTCTGTGTTTATCTCATTGGCTCTGTTCTCAGATGGGTTCTTCCCTCGTGATGGCAAAGGCCACAGTAGTTCCAGCTGTTTGTCTTTAACTTTCCGAGTCCAGTGGGCAAAAGGGAGAGTTCTTCCGGGTTCCTATACAAGTGCAAGATCTCATTCCCCCAGAATGCAACTGGGTCATGTGACTTCCCCAACCAATCACCACATCCAGGGGATGAGATTACACTGATTGGCCAGACCTGTGACACATTTGCAACCCTGAACCAATCACTGAGGCTGTGGTGGAGGTGGGAGGGAGGAAGATGGAGGTCGTCTGCTGATTGGCCAGCCCTTGGTCATGTGTAGTGACCCCTAGTAGGAGTGGACCCAGTCCATGATGGAGAAGGAGGGAGGGAAGGATTCTCTAGGAGGAAATTGAAGATTTTGCTCCTAAAGAGGAAGCAACGGATACCAACTCTTAGGCATGTTGTGATAACCTCCTTGTCTCCATCCCTTCCGCTTGCAGGTGAAGGCAGAGTATGTGCATCTCAACCATCCGCTCACCCTCGTGACCAGAGAGCGCGATTTGGCCGTGAAGGAGAAACACCAGCTCCAAGCCAAGCTGGAGAACCTAGAACAGGTCCTGAAGGTAAGCTGGCTTTCTGCATTTGGGACCGCTTCTGCTCTTTGTGAGGTCGGTGTGAGGAAGGAGGGGCTGCAGGACCCCGAGCAGAAGGTATGTAAAGCTCCTTTGGAAGCCATCATCCACATTCAGAGATGTTGGGGCTGTTTTTCCCCTTTTTGTGGTATAAAAAGCAATAAATAACAAAATTCCAGTGTTTCTGGAAGCAATCCCGTAAAGCCAATTATGCATTTCCATTTTTTAGGATGTTAAACACAGCTGAGCTGTGCAGTGGCAGGCACACCGCTCCTGAATGGAAATGGAGTCTGCCTACGTTAAAGACCAGAGGTGGCTACAGTGGGTTTCAAACTTCAGGAATTTTAAGCTGCTCCTCAGACGTTTAATGACCTTTGTTATAAAGAGGATAGCTAAACCAGAACCTTGCTCTATCAGGGGGTACAGGTAACTGGATGTTCCTCATGCATTCCTGATGAGCTGAGCTCTCCTTCAATATTTAGCCAGTGGGTTGATTTGCTATTGATGCCACTGAGTTAAGCTGAATGAATTTTTTCACCAAGTGTTAAAATTTGATTGGATTATCATTCTGGAAAACATTTTTTTACAAAAATAAAAAAATAATCATCTCCAGTTCTATGATCCAGTACATATATTACCAGGGTCATTTGCATTTCACAATTGCAGAAAACAGGATTAGGCTGCATCCGCAAATACTCTTTAAATCAAGAAGTGATTTTACCTCCATCTGTAGCCTCTTTGGGGAAGCGTTTGGAGCTCTGAGGGGAGCCTCTGGATAGTTGCCAGGGATGATGGGGGGGTGCTGGGGGTGGGGGGTGGGGATGAGGAGTGACCCCTCCAGGGATGGTGGTGGGGGGAGTGGAGGGGGTGGGGGGTGGGGATGAGGAGTGACCCCTCCAGGGATAGTGGTGGGGGGAGCGGAGTGGGTGGGGGATGGGGGCGAGGAGTGACCCCTCCAGGGATAGTGGGAGGGGAGTGGAGGGGGTGGGGGATGGGGATGAGTGACCCCTCCAGGGATGATGGTGGGGAGTGGAGGGAGTGGGGGTTGGGGATGAGGAGTGACCCCTCCAGGGATAGTGGTGGGGGGAGTGGAGGGGGTGGGGGGTGGGGATGAGGAGTGACCCCTCCAGGGATGGTGGTGGGGGGAGTGGAGGGGGTGGGGGATGGGGGGGATGGGGATGAGGAGTGACCACTAAGGGGTATGAGGTTCTTTTTGGAGTGATGAAAATGTTCTTGAGTTAGATGGTAATGATGGCTGCAGAACTTTGTGAAAGTGCCAAAACCATGGGGCACTGCACACTAAAATGGTGACCTTCATGGCATGTGGATTCCATCTCAATTAGAAAAGAATGATGCCATCTCGATTAGCAAAGAAAGATGCCCTATTCTCTGACTACCGGCCCTGAATGTGAACCAAGCTGGTCCTGCGGTTCTCAGCAAGCTCACCATCCTGCTTCTCACTGTGTGCTCTAAGTTTTCAGGATGTAACCCTCAAGAGAGGAGGTGCTACCACATAATTCTTTAAGCAGCTGCCTCGATGACTGTGAGTTTTCTGAGGGCACACACCGTGACTTATCCAACCCTCTGCCTTTAGTGCCTGGGACACAGGTTCAGGGCTTAGTGAATTTAATGGAGGGTGTGCCGTGAATCCCTGGGAGGAAGGAGCTTAGCGGAGAGTCTGTTGGATTAAAAAGCCATGAAAGATGGTTCTCAGTGAGGCCAACTTGCCCTCCAGGGGATATTTGGCAATGTCTGAGGACACGTTTGATTGATATGACTGGGGAAGGGGAGGCCAGGGATGTAAAACCCTCTCCCACGCGCAGATCCGTGCAGATCAGTCTCCTACAGCAGATTATCACCTGGTCCCACGTGTCAGTGGTACTGAGCTCAGAAACCGTGTGTCTGTTTCTTATCGCTGCTGTAGCAAGTGATCCCACAGTGTCTCGGTGGCTTAAAGCGACGTAGTCATATTCTCTTACAGTTCTGGGGGTCAGAAGTCTGAGATGAGCCTCACAGGGCTACGATCTGGTGTTGGCAGGACTGCGTGCCTTTCTGAGCTTTGGGGAGAATTCATTCCTTGCCTTTCCAGCTGCAAGGGCTGCTCAGGGCCTCGCGCTCCACCTTCAAAGCCGGCGATGCAGCATCTTCCCTCCTTTCTGACCTCACACCCTTTGAGTTGGTGGCATTTTTTCTTTTGTTGTCAGTGATGTGAGTGGAATTGGAACCTCAACAGAGTTTCAATCAACCTGATTTGCTGAGAGCTGAAGAGGATTCTACTGGGATCAGAGACCCATCCTGGGAGGAGTCAGGGGGTGCAGGATTCCCAGCTAAGTGTGCCTGAGGGCCGGCTCACAGCCCCTCCCCTTTGCCTGCACAGAACAAAGACACTGAAGTGCCAGCCTGGTGAAGAGCCTGGTGACCGGGCCACCAAATCACACCCACCACTGGGTTTTACTGAATTGTGAACGGGATGTAGTTTTCCTTCCAAATATAAAAGCTTTCAGTGAAATAGAAAAGACTGAAATTGGGGCTGAATGTTTCCTAAAACAATCATGGGAGAACAATACTGAAACTGACTAGACACCCCCCCCTGCTCCCAGCATGGATCACACAGTGATATTTAACCTGATTTGAGTCCCTCCTGATTTTCTTACTTAAAAAATGATAATTGATGACTTCATTATCTGTGAATGTGTTTTTATTATGCTTCTTTCCAAGCATATGGCCTAATTACCAAAATCATTAAATATAATGAAGTGATATGAAGGAAGTGGAATGTTTGCATAAAGAGAAGAAAGAACTAAGATATACCACCTCAGAGGCTGAACATAGTTACTCCAAGATTCTCATTTGGCTCCGAGTTTCCAGGGAGGCTGGACAGAAAAGAAAATATGAACAATTGCATAATTCTCACTCCTTCGGGGAAGGGAGCTCACTGCTTCCCCAGCAAAACAAAGCATGGCGTGCTGGACATGGTTTTCTTACTCGGAATGTTATGTTAGAGGATGCAGAAAAATACAGAAGAAATGGTTGTCAGGAACATTTTCATAGCAATGGAGGAGCAATTTTTCCAAGTCTCTTCCTTTGGAGAAGAAGAGCCTAATGGCATATGGAGTTTTCAAGCCTTTTTTGCATCGTTAGCAAGGAGGATTGGGGAGGAACGCTAAGGCTGGATTGCCCCATATATGGGAAGAACTCAAGAAGAGTTCTTTGGTGTTTTTTTTGTTTTTTGTTTTTTCTTTTTAGATGGAGTCTTACTCTGTCACCCAGGCTGGAGTGGAGTGGCATGATCTCAACTCACTGCAACCTCCACTTCCCGGGTTCAAGAGATTCTCCTGCCTTAGCCTCCCGAGTAGCTGGGATTACAGACACACACCACCACACCCGGATAATATTTTTTTTTTTTGTATTTTTAGTGGAGACAGGGTTTTGCGATGTTGGCTGGTTTTGAACTCCTGACTTTAAGTGATCCATTCACCTTGGCCTCCCAAAGTGCTAGGATTACAGGCATGAGCCACCATGCCCAGCTGTGTTCTTTTTGATGGGACTTGTACAAGAGAAAATGTAGTATTCTGGAGCCCTTCATTCCTGGTCTATGGAATTTAAAATACCAAGAGATGGAAAAGCACTGGAGTCTGAACCAAGTGGGGTGGTCTAACTAGACTCCGCCTGCAAGTCCACCCTGTCTTTTGGGGAATTTCCCTGTCCCCTCCATCCCTACCAAGGGAAAGGGGTACATCGGTGCACCTAAACAGGGATCTATATAGTGAGACACACGTGGCATCCCTGGGCCATGAGCTGCTTATTGCATGACTGTTCATTCATTCACAAGGATTGATTGAGCACTATGTACCAGGCACTGTTGCAGGCACCAGGGGTATAGCAGTTAGCAAAATAGACCTCAACATTCAACTGCCCGATGAAGAAAAAGTCAAATGCGTGTGATACACTGTCAGGCAGTGATAAGTGCTTTGCAGAAAAATAAATTGGGTAAACGAGGAGGAAATCAGTTCCTGCTGATGGTGGCACTTTAAAAGAGTGGTCCAGGAGGCTTCCCTAGACCTACATGTTGAGCAGAGGGAGGAAGCAGCCCTGTCAGTGTTCAGGGAGGAGCATTCCAGGCAGGGGGAGTGCAGAGGGCCTGGGATGTATGGATGCTTGACATGTCCAAGGAGAAGAAAGTGGGCCGGACAGTGAATGGGGAGGGGCAGGGAAGTAAAAAATGAAACCCGGATTGGGAATAAATTGGCCAGAGTCTTACAGGCCAAGGTAGAATTCCAAGAACTGTAGAACTGTATGTATTACCCCCGTCCCAATAAGACTGCATAACAAACCGTCCCGAAGCCTGGGGCTTGAAGCGGTCACAGTCCATCATTGCTCCCAAACCTCTGATTGGCTGCATGGAGCTTCTCAGCTTGACCGGACTGGACTGAACAGCTCCTCCGGTCCAGCCGGGGCTTCATGCACCTGGGTGGCCACTGGAGGGTCTTGGTTGGTTGGGCTGGGGTGACTGCCTTGCTCCTTGCTCTCCCCTCCTCCATCAGGCAAGACAGGGCTTCTGGCCAGGGTACAGTTGGGCCGTGAATGAGGCAGAGGCATGGAAGACCTCATAAGGCCCAGGCTTGAATGGGGCAAGGCACTTCTCGAATTCCGTTGGCCAAAGCAAGGCTCAGAGTCTGCCTGGTTTGAGGGGATGGGGAAGCTGACTCTGTCTCCAGCTATGAGGAGCCAAGAAATTACGTCAGCAAGAATGTAGATGTGGTGCGGGGCAGGGAGCCCCCAAATCAGGGCTTAGGATGGGAGGGTTCTTGGCTTTGCCCAGGGAAGAATTCAAGGGCAAGCTGGTGGGGTTAGCTGCTTTTACTGAAGTGTCTGTGCATAGCAGCAGCAGAGGTCCTGCTCCTTGCAGAGCAAGGCTACCTCACAGGCTGTGCGCCTAGAGTTGTGGCTCAAAGGCAGCTCCGAAGTCGTATTTAAACCAGGTTTTAATTACATGCAAATTAAGGGGCAGGTTATGCAGAAAATTATTGGAAAATGGTGGTAACTTCTGGATGGCTGGGTCACTGACATGGAAAGGGGCGATAACTTCTGGACGTTGCCATGGCAATGGTAAACTGACATGGCACTGCGGTGCGTCTCATGGGAAGGTGCTTCTACCTGGGACCTAATTTAGCTAGTGCTGTGTGGTCCAGAGTCCAACCCCCATCTCTTACCCTCCTACCTCAGATGCAGGGAGTGACTGTGGCATAGTTTTCAATCAGTTTATGTCAGATGCCACTGGAATTGAGAGAGGAGGTGCATCTGGCTTTGGTTTGTAGAGGGTCACTCCAGTGGCCGCACAGAAAAAAAACAGGAGTGGAAGCAGGGACCCCACTGGGAGCCATGTCCTGATGCGAGATGATGGGGGCTTCCAGCAAGGCAGGGTGGGGAGAAGTGCACAGGCTCGGGGTGTGTCTTCAAGGTGGAATCAACAGGGTTTGCTGATAGACTGGACGTGGAGTGTGAGAGGCAGGAAGGAGTCAGGACGTTAATTTCTGGGGCAGCAATGGTGTCATCTGCTGTGACAGGGAAGCCTGGGGATGTGCGGTTCAGGGTCAGGGCGTCACCACGTGTGGGAGATGGAGTGTGTCGTGACCCCTGGATGCTCGGGTGGGAGAGCTCCGGGTTCCCACTCTACGGACCTCCCTGCTGATCCTCAAGAAACCCATGTTGTTCCATTATTAGATGACGCGTGTGGTAGAGTGATAGAAGCGGCTCACTTGGGTTAAAGCATGAAGCTCAGGCAGCCATCACCACGGCCTTTGTTCCCAAATCCTGTGGCCACCGTTCTCATCTAGCACCTGACGCGTCTTGTGTCTTCCATGTCCTAAAGTGACTGAGGGGTAAGAGGGGACATGCGGCCTGTGAATTAAGACTGCCCGTCCTGTGTTAACGGGGGTAGTTACAGCTGTGGAGCTGTGCCAATGTGCATTCAGGGCCTGTCTGAACTGAAAATTAGCCCACTGGTCACATTCATATGCTGGCTTTTTTGTTTCCAAATATCACTGATGTGCCGCCTGTCTTAATAGTGATCATTCAATTTAGCTAAAGACAACGTGCCCTGCTTCCCTGCAGCCTGTGATTGGTTATGCACAGCAACACATGGCTTATTTATTTATTTTTTGTTGTTTGTTTTTTCTTTGAGAAGGAGTCTCGCTCAGTCACCCAGGCTGGAGTGCAGTGGCGTGATCTGGGCTCACTGCAACCTCCGCCTGCCAGGTTCAAGCGATACTCCTGCCTCAGCTTCCTGAGTAGCTGGGATTACAGGGGCCTGCCACCACGCCCAGCTAATTTTTGTATTTTTAGTAGAGATGGGGTTTCCCCGTGTTGGTCAGGCTGGTCTCGAACTCCTGACCTTGTGATCTGCCTGTCTTAGCCTCCCAAAGTGCTGGGATTACAAGTATGAGCCACTGCATCCAGCCCACATGGTTCTTTACAGAGCCCTTTTTGACCGTATTATGGGGGCTGCCAAGTAATTTTCACTTGAAGAGTCAGAAGAGTATGTCCAGATATACAGATTTTAAAGGGAAATGGATTTGTTTACCTCAGGCACTGGCTTCCTGAAGAATTTCAAAGCCTACAGTCCTTGCCCTGATTAAAACCTATATAACAAACTTGCACATGTGCCCCTGAACCTAAAATAAAAGTTAAAAATAAAGAAATCTAATTGAACCCACACCTAAAGATATATTCATTCAAAAATATTGAGCAACCACTTTGCATCAAACGCTTTCTAGTTTCTGGAAAAAGTGATCTAAATCCATGCCCTTGGTTCTGGTAGAGAGTTGATAAATTAATGTGCAGGTCAGGTGGGGAAGTGAAAAGAGGCGAAGAGTGATAGTCATGGAAGAGCTGGTTTACATTTAGTGGTTGGGGAGACCTCACTGTGGGTGAGTCCTTTGAAAAGAGACCTGGATGAAGCCAGGGAGGGAGCTGTGCAGAGGTGCAAAGGTCCTGGGGCAGAGGGTGAATGCCTGCTGTGTCTGAGAAGTGTGTGGAAGCCCGAGGTGCAGGAGTAGAATGAACACGGGGAAATAGTTAGAAGATGAGGTCAGATGAGGGAGATGACTTGGAGCAGATCACTTAAAGCTTTTGAAGGCCAAGATAAGGACTTTGGCTCTTTCCTTCCTGAGCGAGATGGGAAGCCATTAGAGGGTTTTCAACAGTAGAATGATGTGATCTAACCTGAATTTTTAAGGAATTATATCTGCAACTCTGTAGAGACGTAGTACGCAAGAGGAGATGCAGGGAGACCGCACAGAGGTATACAAGTTAGCTATTGCTGTATCACAAAGCACCCTGATATGGTTTGGCTCTATGTCCCCACCCAAATCTCATGTTGAATTGTAGTTCTCAATGTTGGGGAAGAGACCTGGTGGGAGATGATTGGATCATGGGGGCAGATTTCTCCCTTGCTGTTGTGATGGTGAGTGAGTTCTCACAAGATCTGTTGGTTTAAAAGTGTGTAGCCCCTCCTGCTTCATGCTCTTTCCTGTTGCCATGTGAAGATGTGCCTGCGTTTCCTTTGCCTTCCACTGTAATTGTAAGTTTCCTGAGGTTTCCCCAGCCATGCCTCCTGTACAGCTTGAGGAACTGTGAGTCAGTTAAACCTCTTTTCTTCACAAATTACTCAGTTTTAGGTATGTCTTTATAGCAGTGTGAGAATGGACTAATGCAACCCCAAAATTGAGTGGCTGAGATTAGTGATTTGTGTTGATGTCTCATGGCTGTGTGGGTTGACTGGGCAGCTACATGGTTCTCACGTGGGGCCTCCACTTGGGTAGTTACGCTCAGATGGCAACTGAAGTTGCAATCATCTGCAGCCTTGGCTGGCTCTTTGCCTGCATGTTGTCCTCTCCTGGGATGGCTGGAAGAGAGGGGGCAGGCCAGACATTTCTCTCCTCATGTGGCCTCTCCACAGGCTAGCTCGGATTTCCTGCACTGAGTGTTTTTTTTTTTTTTTTTTGAATGCTGTTTCCCTCAGCACTTTGTATTTCTGATTCCTGGCTTATTGGGTCTCAGTTTCATGTTGCTTTCGTGGCCACCTGGTCTAAAGGACCAGAGGCCCCCTTGCTGGTCACTTGCACATCACTGGGTTCCATTTCTTCAGCGCACTCATCTTGTCTGCTTTAACTGTCTGCCTGTGTATTTGTCTTCCCTACCAAAATGTAACATCCTCAAGACAGCCTTTGTTCTAGTGCCCAGCACAAAATCTGGCATATAGTAGACACTCGATAAATACTGATTGATTGATGAATTAGTAACGGAGCAAGTGCACGCATGAATGAGTGAGGGGTTGACAGATTGCCTCGCTGAACCGACCGGCACTGCAGACACTTGCTGCCTTCATGGAGAATGACTAAGCAGCCAGAGGCCTGGAGTCAGTGCTGCCTTCATGGAGAATGACTGGGCAGCCGGAGGCCTGGAGTCAGTGCTGCCTTCATGGAGAATGACGGGGCAGCCGGAGGCCTGGAGTCAGTGCTGCCTTCATGGAGAATGACCGAGCAGCAGGAGGCCTGGAGTCAGGGTGCTTCTCTGCAGAGGTGCTTCTCTGGGGCTCACAGGTGACTGTATAAAGTCACATCTACAGATCAATCTGCAGTTCCTTTCTGGAATAGACAGAGACTCTCCAAGGGGAATAAACACAGGAGAGTTGGTGATTTCCGGCATCTCCTCAGCCCAGGCTGGTGTCAGACAAGGATCTCCCCACCGCGCACTCCTTGTTGCATTTAACCCAGAGTCAGTCCTCCTCTTAGGTCCTGGCACAGGAGTCTGATCAAAACACCCAGCACTCCTCTGAAGCAGGGTGCCTGTCAGAAGTGAGTGCATTGTGATAAAATAAACAAAATGCTTTTTATTCTCCAGCTTCTCAGATTCAAATAAAAAACGCATTGGGCTTTTTTACTCACTGCAAAAAAACAAAACAAAAAAAGCCTCATGTGTTTTTCATGTGAGTTTCTACTGCCTGATACACAAGACATTCTGGGTCCTCAGCCTCTCCCCAGCTCCTGGGTAAAGGGACTGCAACCGGTGGTGCTTCGCTCACAGCCACGGCCAGAACGCATCTCTCCAGCCCCTTCTCCCATGGCCCGTGAGACAGTTCTGTTCGTCGGATGCGGTAGAGCGACAGCTGCTTTTATTTTAGAG
This sequence comes from Homo sapiens, assembly GCF_000001405.40. Taxonomy (NCBI): domain Eukaryota; kingdom Metazoa; phylum Chordata; class Mammalia; order Primates; family Hominidae; genus Homo; species Homo sapiens. The sequence continues at coordinate 130,497,452 of NC_000012.12, read as the reverse complement.
TCCTGGCAGGGAAGGACGGTTTAACTTCACACTCACAAGGTTTCTAGATTCAGAGAGCTCAATCTAGAAGCAGTTAGAGGCAGGGACTGGTGGACCCACCAGAGGCTGTGAGCAGAATCAGTGATTACGGAGCCCAGGGAGCAGAAGGCAGGTGAGAAGCTTCTGGACAGAGGGGTAGATTCAATCAGCCTCCCCACAGTCATGTCCACCCAGAACTGGGGCGCGGGGCCTAATTTGGAAATAGTGTGTTTGGAGATGTAACTAGGTGAAGGTGCGGTCGCACATCAGGGAGGGCCCTCGTTCAGTGACAGGCTTTGGAAAGAAAGGAGAGGGGAGTTTGGATAGAGACACAGACGCTCAGGGAGGAAGCCACGTGTGGATGGAGGCAGAGATCAGAGCCATGGAGCGCCCAGGAGCCTGGCAAGATGGGGAAGAGCCTGCCCTGGAGCTTTCGGAGGGTACATGGCCCTGTCCACACCTCGACTGAAGACTTCCGGCCTCCAGGGCATGAGAGGATGGGTTGCTGTTGTTTTAAGCCCCCAGTGTATACACATCCCAGTCTCTCTGTACTCTGCTCAGTGACATCGGGGCAGTCATGGTCTGATGGCCTGGGCAGAACAACTTGAGGGTCCCACTCCTCAGGGAGAGGACAGCAGTCCCAGTGTGCAGAGAAGTGTGCGGTCCTCCTTGGCTCCTCTGGGTGGCCTGCAGGTGAGAGAAAGGTGTGCCTGAAGGAGGCCATCACAGGCAGGAAACCATCATGTGGTCACTTTCTGGGGAGCGGGCCTGCCCAGCGCCATAGCTGCTGGGGGCCCGACATAGAAGGGGGCTCAGGGTGATGGGAACGTGGCCTTTCATGAGGTATCACTGTGTGCTGGTCTCCCGTGGACAGAAGCATCCCTCCTGCAGGAAGTGGATGGAGCCTCACCCCTCGCAGCCTCCTCTACCCCAGAGCTGCTCAGCAGGGCTGCTGAGACCGGAGTGAGGACAGTGAGATGGTGGTTTAGTCCTTTTTCATGCTGCTAATAAAGACATACTCGAGACTGGGTAATTTATACAGGAAAGAGGTTTAATGGACTCACCATTCTATGTGGCTGGGGAGGCCTCACAATCATGGTGGTAGGTGAAAGTCATGTGTCACGTGGGAGCAGGCAAGAGAAGAGAAGGGAATGAGAATCAAGAGAAAGGGGTTTCCACTGATAAAACCTTCAGATCTTGTGAGATTTATTAACTACCACAGAACAGTGTGGGGGACACCGCCCCCATGATCCAATTATCTCCCACCAGGTCCCTCCCACAAGACATGGGAATTACTGGAGTTACTATTCAAGATGAGATTTGGGTGGGGCACAGCCAAACCGTATCACATGGCTACAGGCACGGACGTACTCTCTGCCGTGGTCCACAATGCTTTACAGTTTAGGTCCAATGAGTCAGCGGCAGAATCATCACCCACCCTAGGGGGACGTTCCCGTTGATCTCAGTAGCATGACCTAATTCAAAGACTTTGGGCTTTTAGTTAGACCAGTCTGAGTTCAAATTTGAATTTGATGATTAACTAGTTGTTTACGTGTGATCAAGCTAACTAATTTCTGAGAACCGGGGTGTTCTCTCATCTTTAAAGTGGCCATAAAGTACCTTTCTAGATGTAAGGGTTCAAAGCATAGAATGTGCCCAGTGATCTAACATAGTGGCTGGTGCTGGAGAGGTTAGTGATCAAGAATTGCTAATACCGTGAGCAATTTCATTGATATACACCCTCAAAGGAATCTACTAGAATAGACAGAAGGATAGCCAGGTACCATGCCAGATGCTTGGAGTAAAACGAGGAGCAAGTCCAAGGTTATTTTTGTTTTCATGAAACTTACCTTCTACTGGGGTGGGAGGAGCTCAGAAAAAAAATCAGGTCATCCAGCAAATAGATAAGAATTTCAGAGACGGAGGAAGACGGTGATGAGCCAGGGTGACCTGGAGGGAGAGGGGAGCGCAGGGCACCCTGCACATGTCTGTTAGGGGGTGACACTTCAGCTGAGGCCCACGTGATGACAGTGGCCTGACCAAGCAACATCCCTGGGGAAATCTCACAGGGGCAAGAGGAGACAACGGGCAGCACTGAGGCGGGAGCCACTAGGGCATGTACCAGCGTGGCTGATGGCTTGGTCTGGGGCAGGTGTCCAGAGGCATGAATCCAGGCAGATGGGGAGCAAGTGAAGCAGCCCCCCTCATCATTTCAGGGCATGTAGAGGGCCAGCTGTGTTCCCCCAAATGACGCCCAAGTCCTAAATCTATGTATCTGTGAATATGACCTTATTTGAAAATGAGTCTGTCCAGATGTCATTAATATAAGGTCATCTTGGAGTAGGGCAGGCCCTAAACCCAAGGACTGTTGTCCTTATAAGAAGAAGAGGCACAGAGACACCCAAGGGGATGGGAGTGAGGTGTCTTCTGGTCAAAGATCACCAAGCATCGTGGCCACGCCAGCAGCTGGAGCGGGGCATGGGGCGGCTTCTCCCTCAGAGGTTCCACGAGAGGATCCGGCCCTGCCGACACCTGGATTTCAGCCTTCTGTGCTCCAGGGCTGTGAGAGGACACTTTCCATTGTCTTAAGCAGAAGTGCCAGTTGTGGTACTTTGTGACCCAGCGGTCACAAATGCATCCTTTTCCCACATAAGGCCAAGTGCTCTGGACAGCAGGGAAGAGGGTGTGTCCTGAGTAACCAGCACACAGGGCTGGAGTGCAGGGTCCTGGAGGCCTCCGTGGGTTACCTGACTCCTACTTTGCTCTTTCTTTTCTTTTCTTTCTTTTTTTTTTTTTGAGACAGGGTTTCACTCTGTTGCCCAGGCTGGAGTGCAGTGGGGCAATCTCAGTTCACTGCAAACTCTGCCTCCTGGGTTCAAGCGATTCTCCCTCTTCAGCTTCCTGAGTAGCTGGGATTACAGGTGCCTGCCACCATGCCTGGCTAATTTTTGTATTTTGAGTAGAGACGGGGTTTCAGCATGTTGGCCAGGCTGGTCTCGAACTCTTGACCTCGGGTGATCTGCCTGCCTTGGCCTCCTAAAGTGCTGGGATTACAGGTATGAGCCACTGTGCTTTGCATCTTTCAAAGCACGTTTGCATCCACCATCTTACCGTGAGACTGTGGAGGCGGGGGCAGAGCAGTGCAGGGAGAACCGTGGTGGCGGGGAGGTGCCAACTTCTAGGCCTGATGCTTGCTGGGGTGTGGAGTGGGCTCCAGGAGGGCCAGGGCGGGGTCTGTCCTTCTGAACCGCTCTGTCCCTGTCCCCAGCGCAGTGATACAGAATGAGCGCTCTGTCCCAGAGTGTGGGATGTACTCACAAGGGGCTGAGTCATCTCCGTGAGCCTCAGTTTACCCATGCATCACAAGCTTGCATTTTTATATCCTCACCCGATCAACGCTTGTCTTTCCCACTGGGATGTCAGCCCCACACAAGCCAGGGCCTCTCAGCTTTGTGTCCACTGTGTCTCCAGTGCCTGTCGGGCCACCTGGACGTAGTTGGTGCTCAGGAAACACTGGACAGAGGAGAGAAACAGAAAGGGCGGATATCCGGGTAAATGTAACAGGCTAGACCAGGCTGTTTTTCTCCTGGTAGACTCTTTCATGTACATAAATGACACTTCAACGAAAATGTAGAACACTGTGATGGGGTTTCAGGTATATAGATGGAGCATGTAAGAATTCCACTTGGAATGGCAAGTTTTAATTCTGAGTAGATTGTTTAAATTTAAATATGTATATTGAGTTCCCTGGGGCAACCACTAGGAGTGACATAAAAACATACAGAACAGCACTCCATGGAGACATTAAAATTGAAAACCAGGCTGGGCATGGTGGCTCCCGCCTGGAATCCCAGCACTTTGGGAGGTTGAGGCAGGCAGATCACCTGAGGTCAGGAGTTTGAGACCAGCCTGGCCAACATGCTGAAACCCCGTCTCTACTAAAAATACAAAAATTAACCAGGCGTGGTGGTACACGCCTGTAATCCCAGCTACTCAGGAAGCTGAAGCATGAGAATTGCTTGAACTCAGGAGGTGGAGGTTGCAGTGAGCCGAGATCACGCCATTGCACTCCAGCCTGGGCAACAGAGCGAGATTCCATCTCAAAAACAAAACAAAACGAACAAAAAGAAACAACAAAAAACAAAAAGAAGGCAGGAAAGGGGAGATCAAATAATGAAAATGGGAGGGAACTAACAGAAGCCAAATCGAGTGGCAGACCTAAATAAAACTTAGTGATATTTACATGAAACTTAATTCCTGTGCAGGTCACTTTGTTTTTTTGTTTTGTTTTGGTTTTTTGAGCTACGATCTCACTCTCTCACCCAGGCTGGAGTGCAGTGCGTTATCTAGGCTCACTGCAGCCTCCGCCTCCTGCGCCCAAGCCATCCTCCTGCCTGAGCCCCAGTCCCCTGAATAGCTGGGACTACAGGTGTTTGCCACCACATTTGGCTAATTTTTTGTATTTTTAGCAGATATGGGGTTTTGCCATATTGCCTAGGCTGGTCTCAAACTTCTGGACTCAAGCAATCCACCCGCCTCGGCCTCCCAAAGTGCTGGGATTACAGGCGTGAGCTGCCGCACCTGGTTCTGTGCAGATCCCTTTGAATCTAACATTTAATCTCATTCTTGCGACAACCTAGGAAGGACGGTATTTTTTGTTGCCATTCAATAAACGTGGAACCTGAGGTTCAGAGAGGTACCTAACTCACCCCAGGGCACACAGCCTGTACGTGTTGGAAATGGCATTGAACACAGGTCCAGCTGATAAGATCCCCTCTACTTGGCTGGCCAAAATCCCGGGCTCACAGCCGGGAGCCACTGGGGCAGGACAGAAACTGTGTGTGAGAAAAATAACCCTCCCAAAGCAGCATGGATGAATGTTGCCACCCCTGCATCTCTAGGATTCATCAGGGCCAGAGGAGAAGGAAGGAGGCTTTAGGATCAAAGACCAATCAACACTCAGGAAAATCTTTCTCTCTCTCTCTCTCTTTTTTTTTCCCCCAAAGGAACTCCTAAGGATCCATTTTTTTTCCCAGTTTGAGAAACTAAAATACTTGGGCTGAAATAGACCTCACTGAATTCACATGAATGTTTTTCACACACATTCTCATTCTTAATGAGTGTGACTTCTGTGACTAGGACAGACAGTCGTGATGCCATGAAAACAAACAGCTTTAAAGACCTTGTCTTTCTTGCTTTTGAAGACGTGGGTTCTGTGAGTGCTTGCATTCCTTCTGCCAGGTGCTGGGTGAAAGCAAATCGTGTGTACATAAATGCTTCATTATTTCTACCACGCGTAGCAGATCCCACTAATGTGACATTCAAAGTGTCACCGTTAGCTCCTATTTGGGGAAATTGGTTTTTCCTTAATTTCTTCGCTCAGGCAAGGCAGCATCCAAGCACAGGACAAGTCCACGTTTGATCTGACGTTGAGGAGATAATTCAGTTTGCTTCAGGTTCGTTCGTTCCGTGTCACATCCGAGCTTTTCCCTGGGATAGCGGCACCCTGACATTTGTAGGCAGCTTAAGTGCTGGCGTGAATGTCGACAGTCAGCTATAAATATCGCTGCTTTAAAAATAAATCCTGCCACAGGCAGAGCGTTTCAGACAGGCAGTTTTGGCCGTGGCGCATAATCCTGAGTACTTTTCAGATGTGAAGCCTTCCCATGAATGACAGCACGTGCCCTGGGAAGGTCTCTGCGCGGGGAGGCGGAAGCCCGGTGTCAGGGTGTGGTGGGATTCTGTCTCTGGGCGAAACCCGAGGTTTTCAGACTCCCTTTGGGAATCCTTGGGCCCCTTGCACTCCCAGGAACCGAGAGACTCCTAGCTGCTTGTGGAAGTTGTGAGAAGGAAAGTGCGATTGCCCCCCAGAAGTGCAGATGGCTCTGTGACAGAGGCACGAACAGTGTGCGTGGTGGCCTGAGAACTCTGGAAGGAAGGAGGCGGAGTGACTTCAGGGCACTGCAGAAAAGGTTCTCATGTGTACTGCCTTGAAGAGAGTCCCAGCAAACATCAGCACATCCCGCAAATATGAGAGAGGTCCTGGAGGAGGCCTCTTAGACAGCAGAGAGCAGAGACAGTGGAGGGAGAGTGAGCTGGGCTCGCTAGGTGCAAATCCTGGCTTGAGCCTGGCCTAGCTGGGCAAACTTGAACACGTTGCTTAACCGCTCTGGGCCTTGGTTTCCTTCTCTGTAAATGGGAATAAAAATATCACCTGCTTCAAGCGTTGTTGTGCCGATTAAATGGGTGATGTGTGTTCAGTACTTAGCATAACAGTACTTCTAGAACTTAGTAATCCTCAGATGTGTTTAGGTGAGCATGTGGAGGCTGATGTCTGGAGCTGGGCTGGGTCTCAGGCAGGTTCTCTGGGAAAACTGTGCCAGCAATGTGCATACCGGAATAAGAACACCATTTTCCCACCATTTGTAGGTGGTGATCTGTGATAAACACTAACGTGGGTTTTGATTGTTGCTACACACAGGGGGCTCGGGAGCTGCTGTGTAGACCGCTTCCCACTTCGCTCCCCACCCTCCCACTGAACTCTGACCACATCTCCCTCTTTTATGGTGTGGCTGAGTTCCGGGGTGAGTTGGCATTTGGCCTCTCTTTTAGTCCTGTGGACTGGCCGGTAAGCCGAGGGGTTTACTGCAGCCCCCACTTGGCCGATTCTGTTGCTGAACTCACAGGTCTCAGCCTTCACACCACAGGTGCCCTGCAGACGAGATTATTTTCCTTGAATAAGGTTGTTTATGGCCAGTGACTTTTATCTTAAGATGTTGTTTCCTGGCCCTTGGAGAGAAATGGCAGCTGGAACTTACCGAACCTGCCTTTGCCCCGTGATGTTATAACTCTTGAGGTAAACCAAGCACCTCTATCTTCACCCCCATCTCCCTGTACCCCGATTTATACTTCTGCTGCTGATTCATTAAAGTAGCTATCAGCCCGGGATTGTCTGACAGCTGGGACCAGAACAAGCTTTCCTAGTTGGGAAGAAGCATCAAAACCATTTATTTTTTAATAGGAAAATTTCAAGCAAACTAAGGGATAGTAAAAAATCCAAGCTAAATTGTAGATAAGTAAACAAAAACATTATCAGATTGTACATTTTCCTGGACAGATTTATTTTCTGCTTTGTAGGTGGTCAGCAAAATCAACATTTCCGTGAGTTTTTTTTTTAACTTAGAATTGTCACAGTAAGTCTGTGAAGCAGGTTTGAGTCCAGTTGCAACAACTCAAGTGAAAGAAACAGAACAACCCCCTCAACATTACTTAATTCACTTTTCTTTTTTATCTTTTTTTTTTTTTTTTTTTGAGACAGAGTCTCGCTCTGTCACCCAGGCTGGAGTGCAGTGGTGCAGTCTCGGCTCACTGCAACCTCCGCCTCCCGGGTTCAAGCGATTCTCTTGCCTCAGCCTCCCGAATAGCTGGAACTACAGGTGCCTGCCACCATGCCTGGCTAATTTTTTGTATTTTAGTAGAGACGGGGTTTCACCATGTTGGCCAGGATGGTCTCGATCTCCTGACCTTGTGATCCACCCTCCTTGGCCTCCCAAAGTGCTTAATTCACTTTTAAGACACGCATTTTGAAAGAGTGATAGAAATGTGTCATCAATTTGGAGTTGGCTTCATCCTTTTCCTTCAGTCTACCGGTCAGACTTCAGTCAAAAAGCAGGAGCCAGCCAAGGTATTTCAAATGGAGGGACATTAATACAGGGGATTGTGACACACAGGGTGGAAGAACTAAGAAGCCAGATGGCTGCATTGTGAACCTGGCATCACCTCTAAGGCTGAAGGGACAGTGGGGGTGATGATGATCTCAGAGTCAGGAGCAGAGACCGTGGGTTAGAGACAGGAGATGGAGCCTCTACAGGAGACGGAGCCTCTACAGGAGACAGCTCGAGAGGCAGAGAGAGGGGTAGAAATCCCTGGCTTCCCTCCCGCCGATGCTGCCTGTTGACTGACCACCCAGAAGCAGAGGGCGAGGGCGTCTGGGAAGTGTAGCTCTTTCTGATACAGAGCAAAACAAGAGAAGGAGAGAGAGTAGATCTGAGAGACCTGAGGCAGTTGATTGGCACACCAAGGTGAGATCTAGGCTGGGGTGCAGGGTGACCCAAAGCCAAGATGTTGTGGGATTCCATCCTGCCCTCATCCAGGCGTACACACACAGATTCCCACCATTCTATCCGATGCGTATTGCTTATATGTAGGCTGTAAAAGTAGACAAGCCACCGTCTACCAGTTGTTTCCATTATTTCAGAGACAAGGGTAAAAGTTACTTGAAGACATTGTAAAATATAAGACATGAAAGAATTTAATTGTTTAGTTGTATGCATTCACGTGGGCTCTTAGCTATCCCAGGGTCGTTCAGAAATCCCTGCCAGGCTGTTTAAGCTCCATTTTCTCAACTCCCCATGCTAGCCGTGAATTCTGTAGGAGTCAGCTCTCTGGAACTTTCCAGAAAGCAGAGCCAAGAGCCCATCCACCAGTGTCTATACATGCATCGGTTCTTCTCAGCTAATTTGTCTGCCTCTGGTGAAGCAATATATTTCTGCAGATTAGAAGGGAAATCTAGTCTCAGTTTCTCACAGTAACCCCTCTGTATGCTGTCTTCTTGATTCCCCTTATCTCTGCAGACCAAAGCCCAGGGGAGTCCCCAGTTTCTGCTCTTCCCTGACCCATCTCTCATCCTCCCTGAGGCAGTGAGCATGGAATGGAGCCCTCAGGATGGGAAGTGGGAGGGGAATGGAGGAGAAATAGAGGGTTAGTGATAGAAAGAAACATTGATTAATATCTCAGCCTTGCAACACTGATTTTTCTATAGATGTTTCAACAGAGACATGCACACTGGCTACATTTAGAAAAGTAACGCTGTGCAGAATGAATCAGTATGTCCTCATGCCAGGATGGATGGATATATTTAGCATGTCCGTGTGTTTGTGAGCCTTGTCCATTTCTCTTTTTTTTGGCTGGTTCGTAGACCTCACTAATATTAAACTTACGGCCCCCACCACCCCCTGACTGAGCTATCTTTTCCCCTACCATCCACCTAACACCACGAATTTCAGCCTTTGCAGCCAATATCTCTCCTATTTTTGGCTTAAACTTTTTTTTCGCCATCCACTTCACTCTACCCTCATCAGTCTCAAAGCCCATCTCCGAGAGATGTTTTATTATAGCTGCGTGACTAACTCCGCCAGTGTGATGGCCTCCAGGAGAACCAGCTTATGTCTCTGGTTCACAGTTTTGACTGTGGGTTTGGTGAAATGTGGAATCTTTGGTAGTGAGGATCCAATCTTCTCTAGGCTCCTCAAGTGTTAAAGTCTAGTTTCTAGACAGCCACAGGATGAATCCTCCACTCAAAATCATTGCTTTAATTCCACTTAGAAAATGTTAATTAGACTCCTGTTGCCTGTGGAGTGCACACACGGAAATGGAGCCATTTCTAGTCCAGTTGAGAAAGTGAGAATTACATGGAATTAGAACGGTACCAAGCAGGTTACAGCATTGCTGCAGAGTCATGTGGGAGGCTGTGAGGGATGGAGAGGGGAGTGTGGGCTGGGGGCGTGGGACAGATGTTTTAGGCGAGAGGCCTCACCTTTGCTGTCATTGATTCTGCCTCACCATGTGTCAGAGACTGTTCTGGGCCGGGGGTGCACCAGTAGACAGGGAAACAAGTCCTGTGATCCTGTGGTTCTCATGGACAAGGGTAGGGAGTGGGATGGAAAGGATGACATAGAATAAACACGTAAATAAAATAATCTCTGGTCACTGGTCAGGACACTTGCCATGTCTTTGTCCGTTTTGTGTTGTTATAAAGAAATACCTGAGACTGGGTATTTTGTAAAGAAAAGAAGCGAATTTATCTCACAGTTCTGCAGGCTGTACAAGCATGGCACCAGCATCTGCTCAGCTTCTGGTGAGGCCTCAGGAAGCTTCCAAACATGGCAGAAGGCAAAGTGGGAGCAGGTGCATCACATGGTGAGAAAGGTAGCAAGAGACAGGGAGGAGGAGCCAGGCTCCCTTAAACAACCAGCTCTCGAGTGAACTCAGAGCAAGAACTCACTTATCGCTATGGGGAGGGCACCAAGCTATTCATGAGGGCTATGCCCCCGTGACCCAGACACCTCCCACCAGGCCCCACCTCCAACACAGGGGTCACATTTCAACCTGAGGTTTGGAGGGAACACATCCTAAACCCCATCACGCCGTGAAGGGCTGGCCACGTGGTGATGCAGGGACAAGCATGTCGGACAGCAGGAATGGCACTCGCTAAGACCTGGAGTTGGGGATGACCTTGACGTGATCATGGAACTGAGCGAAGCCAGTGTGGCAAAAGCACAGTGAGGAAGGGGCAGAGGTGAGAGGTGAGGGCAGAGAAGAGGCTGGATCACAGAGGAGCCTGTTGGCTGCAGCCAGGAGTCTGGATTTTGTTCCCGGTGCAGTTGGCAGCCTTTGTGCTCTTGAAGGAGAATGGCTGTGGGGCAATCTCTGGTGCAGCCAGTGGCTCTGGAGGAGCTGTCTCGGGGCAGAAAGGGCTCTGAGGAGCTGGTTATGGTCCAGGGGAGAGGAGGAGCTGTCTCGGGGCAGAAAGGGCTCTTCTGCCGTAGTCTACCATAGTCTAGGGGAGAGATGAGGTGGCAGCGTTGGACACAGGAGAGAACGGCAGACATGGGTGGGGGGAGTTTGGGTGCACATTTTTTTAAATTGGGAGGTTTTTTTTTTTCTCAAAGATCTGGATGTTGAACAAGGCGGGAAAGGGGGCAGGAAGTCAAGAATGACTGTCAGCTTTGCATCTGGAGGAGCTGAGGGGATGATGGTGTCCTTGGCCGAGATGGCACAGCTTGGGGAGGGAACTTGTTTGAGGAAGAAAATCAAGAATTCTATTTCGGACAGGCTAAATTTGAGCTTCCTCCTGTACATCCATGTGGGGATAATGAGTAGGCAGTTGGGTATGAGTGGCGGGGGGGCGGGGGACGGGGATGAAGGGTTCATTTGGAATTATGTGGCAATTAAAACCTCAAAGCTGGCTAAGATCACCTAAGGAATGGTATAAATAGAGCCGTGGCCCCTCCAGGATTTAGAGATCAGCGGGAGGTCATTGCAGAGGTCAGGGGGAGAGACCAGGTCAGCGCGCCCCACGGGGGCCAGAGTCCAGGGCATGTCCAGGAGGAGCAGCCCTGGTGTCGGGTGCTGCTGAGGGATTTGGTCCAGTCAGGGCACGAAAGTGGCCATGGGTTCGGGCTGCAGGGACTCCTCGGCTGCCTTAGTGGGAGAATCTCAGCCGAGTGACAGGAGGGAGGCTGACTGGAAGGGCTGGAAGAGCGTGTGAGATGGGAGGCAGATACATGGGCAGTGGCTGGAGGGGGATGAGGGCTTTGCAGAAACAGGTAAGATTTGGAGAGATAGATGCTGAAGCCAAAACAAGCCCCAGCAAACCTTGTCCTCCCAGCCATGGCATCTGTGATGAAACTGAGGCTGTCTTCGAGGGCCGAGTGCTTCTCCCGCTCACGCCTTTCTGACAGCTGCTTTGTACGGACTTGGTTCATTAACCGTAGAAATGCAAAGACTTCTTCCCTGTACTTGTTTCCATCCATCTGATCTATAAACCCTCATCTCACTGGCACCCCGAAGCAAGAGCCCAGCATAGCATCCGCCACCCCTTTATCCTCAGTGACTCTGAGGCCGCAGGACCACGCCCGGAGCTGTTTCGGTGCCTGGTGAATCTACCTAGCGAGTCCTGGTAGGGAAGGTGGCACCCTCCTCTCGCTAACAACTTCCTTCCCAGAACTAAATAAAGATGATACAGTCTGCCTTTGGCAGTGCCCCCTTCCAAAATAAAGAGAAGCACAAAATTAGCCAGAATTAAGCCAAAATGGCAGAATTAAGCAGCTGCACAATCGGCCACCCAGGCCAGGTGGGCCGCGAGGAAGTCGAAAGCTGCTTCTCTGCCCTGGCCCCCGTAGTGCTCCAAGATGGCAGTGGCTGGTGTAAGTCATCTCAACCCAGAAGTGGGGCAGTGGCCGGGAGCAGACTGGCTGTGAGTTCTGACATTCTCATCGGCCATGTTCCAGCTGTGGCTTTTAGCCCTTGCTCAGCTTCCCTGAGTCTGTTGCTCTGCTGGGATGCAGTGACCACAGCACCCAACCCTCAGCCTCAAATGACACAGTGCCTGGGCAAGCATAGTGCCCTGCATATAGTAGGTGCTTAATAAATGACAGCAGCCACATTCCGATTTCTCACCGTCATTTTACCAATGCGGCGGTAGCTGTCCATCATCCTGTTGGTGCAGCCCTGGTTGCCTCATGAGTCCCTCCCTCCCACCCTGTACCTGGTGTTTAAGTGACATCACACAGGGCTACACACGTCCAGTGGGAAAGGGTTTTCTCCTCTTGGGACTAAAACATAACACAGAGAACTTAATAGATGCCAAGGAAAATTCAAAACACCTCTATGAAGTGGGTGTTAATTAATAATCAACATTAGTTATTTCACTAATCACTAACCAATTGAAAAAGAATAGTGTTGAAAAATTAATCCAAAAGAAGAACATGGAGAACAGAGAGGTTAAGTAACTACTCTAAGACCACACAGCGGGCCAGTATCAGAGCTGGGATTTGAGCCCAGGTGTTCAGGCTCTTTAATGGCTTTTGCTGGCCTGAAATGCTGGAAGCACTTTTCCCCCAACCTTCCCTGCCAGCCCCTGATGTGGGCAGCGTGGAGAGCTCCAGGGGCTGGGAGGAGGCCCATGTGGCTGGAGAAGGGGGTGGTGGGGACAGCAGTGGGACTGAGCTCCAAGAGGCCATGAAGGCGGCAGTTTGATTATTTGGCATCTGTGCCGAGTGACCCATTGTGGGGACAGGGACACAGTGGGGCAAGGTGCCTGCTCATGTTCCAGGGGAAGGAGCAGATAGCAGGCAAGGGAGCCGGCCAGTGCACTGGGGATGAGGATGCTCAGGAGGAAAATAAGGCAGGTGGAGAACATGGTGTATCCAGGAGGGGCCGGGCGGCCACCAGGCTTCAGTGCGAAGTGGCATCTGGGCAAAGGCTGGAACGTGAGAGTCAGGCTAGCAGGGAGAGCAACACGTGTGAAGGTCCAGAGGCGGGCACTGGTCTGCTCTTTAGAAACAGCGCGAAAGCCAGGGTGTTACAGCAGGGCATGAGAGGCAGGCAGATGGTGGTGGCAGCGGCATCAGGAGGCAAGAGGCAGTCAGGTGGCCCTGTGACAGCATGCCGCTTTACTCCCCACCGAGGGGCTTTCAGCTGGGATGCGACATGGGGCCAGGGGTCCACTTCGGGGGGCATCGGGCTCCTTCCGGCCAAGGACACCTAAGTGACAGTCGCCGGCAGACTCTGGAGAGATGTTTCGCCTCCAGTCTATCCTTCCCATGGGACATTGTCCATGCCAGCAAGCCAGTGCCTGGGGGAACTTCTGGGGCCTTTCCAGGAGCCGCGGAAGCCCTCGCAGCCCCTGTTAGTGGCATGGCTCAGGGACACATCTAGGCGGGGACAGGGGCTCCGGGCACCGTGTCTAGGTGGGGACGGGGGCTCCGGGCACTGTGTGTAGGTGAGGGTGGGGGCTCCGGGCACCGTGTGTAGGTGAGGGTCGGGGCTCCGGGCACCGTATCTAGGTGGGGACGGGGGCTCCGGGCACTGTGTGTAGGTGAGGGATGGGGGCTCCGGGCACTGTGTCTAGGTGGGGACGGGGGCTCTGGGCACTGTGTGTAGGTGAGGGATGGGGGCTCCGGGCACTGTGTCTAGGTGGGGACGGGGGCTCTGGGCACTGTGTGTAGGTGAGGGTGGGGGCTCTGGGCACTGTGTATCCCGCCTTCCACCCACAGCCGCGTGGGGCTCTGTCTCTGGTGTGAGCCTTTGTTTAGCACCATCTTGGTGGGGGGCTTCCTTGGCCTTCTCAGCCGACAGGCCAGCCCCCAGCAGGACTGCAGCTCCCATCCCCTTTGTTTATAAAAAGTAAAAGTATATTTTTAGCAGTTTATTTTTTCTGTTTCTCCCCTTTTATTTATTTATTTTTAATTTTTTACAATTTTTGTGGCTGCATAGTAGGTGCGTGCATTTGTGGACTTAGGACCGCCTGACCCCATGGTGCTTAGGACTGCTGACCCGTGTACACACACAATCGGCGTATTTGGATGAGGTCTGCCCCCTCCCCTGCAGAATCTGACACATGTACACACACAGTGGGTGTATTTGGATGAGGTCTGCCCCCTCCCCTGCAGAATCTGACACATGTACACACACAGTGGGTGTATTTGGATGAGGTCTGCCCCCTCCCCTGCAGAATCTGACACATGTACACACACAATGGGTGTATTTGGATGAGGTGTGCCCCCTCCCCTGCAGAATCTGACACATGTACACACACAGTGGGTGTATTTGGATGAGGTCTGCCCCCTCCCCTGCAGAATCTGACACATGTACACACACAATGGGTGTAATTGGATGAGGTCTGCCCCCTCCCCTGCAGAATCTGACACATGTACACACACAATGGGTGTATTTGGATGAGGTGTGCCCCCTCCCCTGCAGAATCTGACACATGTACACACACAATGGGTGTATTTGGATGAGGTCTGCCCCCTCCCCTGCAGAATCTGACACATGTACACACACAATGGGTGTATTGGGATGAGGTCTGCCCCCTCCCCTGCAGAATCTGACACATGTACACACACAATGGGTGTATTGGGATGAGGTGTGCCCCCTCCCCTGCAGAATGTGAGCTCCAAGAGAGCTGGTTTTGTTTTGCTTTGTTTTGCGTTGCTGTAGCCTTCAGAAGCCAGCAGGGTGCCTGGCACAAAACAAGTGCTTGGGTAAGTATTTGTTGAGTGAGTTGAGTGAGCGAGTTCTCCTGGTGGAATCTGGCTGAAATCTCCTCCTCGTATCAGATTGAGGCTGGTGTTAGGATGTAGGAAATGGCCACTCCTGAAGTCCAGGACCACAGATGTCATTTAGGTGCCTCCATCCTGCTCCGTGCCACACTCGGGCCCTTCTCGTTTCATCGATCTGCCTTCACACTGTGCCCCCACTCTGGGGTGTTCTCTCATGAAGACACGTTTGTCCTGTTCTGTGTCCCCAGCTTCTTGGCACCTAGTAGGTGCTCAATAAATCCAGTCCGATGAACCAATATCCAGAAGAAGCAATGAATGAATAAATGGAGTAGAAATAGTCCTCTCTGGAGCTGGAAGCCCCACACGGAGGGCCTCATGAGGGTCTGCAGAGACTGTCCGTCCTGAGGACCTCTGGGACCCTCATGGGGAAACCTGACACCAGAGCAAAGCCACACCGCACTGAGGTGGCAGCCAGGGTTTGGAGAAGAGTTCCCAAAGCGTCTCAGGAGCTCGGGGAATCCCCTGCATCCCCCAGGGCTCTGTCAGTTTGTCTTGGTGGCTTGTCCCCGTCCTCCTAAAAATGCCCTGCAATGTATGCAGCTGGTTTGCACTCACAGTGAACTGGTGGTGGGCGGTGGGTGGTGGTGGTGGTGGCGGCTTGGGGGGTCGGGGGGAAACTGAGGCTCTTGGAAAGAGACCGTTAGAAATGGCGAGGCCCAAATGGGCTGACAGCCCAGCGGGGCGGGGGGAGCAGTGTGTCAGGGCGGATCTCGGGAGGGCTGTGCAGCAAATACCCAGGGCTTCTTCCCAGGAGGGCCAGGCCTGCCCAGGCTCAGAGCTGGAGTAAACGTGGGAAGATACAAGCATGGTGTTTCCCTGGGGCCCATCTGGCCCCAGAGTGAACTGGCGAGGGCCACTGACCGCGACACCCGTGTTTCATGGGGTTTTGTTCATGTTTTGGGGAACTCCATTTTCTCCGGATCCCGGGTTCTTGTGAGAGTTCCCATAGCAACAGTGAAACCCCCAGATGTCTGTGGGGGTGCAGGGTAATTCCAGCTTCTGAGTTCACTGGGAGCCTCTTCTGGAGACAGCAGAGAGGATGCCGAGTTTATTCAGCTTAAAAATGTAGATGAACCAGCACGTGAGGTTGCCGTGCCTGAAACACGGGCCGGGAGGAAGACTTCACTTTTTAAACACAAACAAAATATCCCACCAACCACAGCGCTTTGCAGAATGAAAAGTGGAGGCTTTCCCCACCCTCAGTTAAAGTGGTTCTGTTTCAAGATCTTTCCCAGAAGAAAGGAGCTTTCAGAGGCAGCAAAAAAGGTAGCAGTAGGGCTACCTTTGGAAAACTGGCAAGAAGAATGTAATCAGCCTGTCTGCCTCCTCCTGCGGGGCCACACCCCTCCCCCTGAGCCTGGGTGCCCCCGCCCTCACCACCTGCCTCCTCCCGAGGGGCCACACCCCTCCCCCTGAGCCTGGGTGCCCCCCGCCCTCACAGCTTGCCAGTCTCAGCAGGGACTCCCTCGCCTCCCCCCTGCCAGGCTCCTCTTTCCAGCTCAGGCTGAGTTGGCAGCGGCCTCAGGAAACCACGTTAACCTTCTCTTGGACGCGTGTGTCCGACCTCATGACTTGCGAAGGCTACAGGCCTTTAAGACTCCAAAACTAAATAAAAATGAGTAAAAGGTGGTCGGGCGCGGTGGCTCACGCCTGTAATCCCAGCACTTTGGGAGGCCGAGGCAGGCGGATCGCCTGAGGTCAGGAGTTCCAGACCAGCCTGGCCAACATGGCAAAACCCTGTATCTACTAAAAATACAAAAATTAGCCCAGCATGGTGGTGGGCACCTGTAATCCCAGCTACTAGGGAGGCTGAAGCACGAGAGTAGCTTGAACCCAGGAGGTGGAGGCTGCAGTGAGCCAAGATCCTGCCACTGTACTCCAGCCTGGGTGACAGAGCAAGACTCCATCTCAAAAAAATAAAAATAAATAAAAATGAGTAAAAGGCTAAAAATCAATGGAATTGTAAAATAATAAAATAATAAAAAATAAATGACCAACCAGTTCCAGCCCAGGAGGAAGGCGTGTGGGTCCCCCATGGCTCGCTGGGGCCAAGACACCCACTTGCTTTAGGACCTGGGTCATCTGTGTGGCCCTCGGATGTCAGGGGACATGGGGGGCAGGCCCGTGGGGCCGCAGACATCGGGGGTATATGCCATCGGAAGGGGCAGCTCCCACTCCCTTCTCAGTCCTTTCCTGGAGGCATGCGTGGCCAACTCTTCCCATTTTTGAAGGAATCTGGTCTTTTATATAAAAGACCCAGATTTTAAAATGTTGACCACGAAGTTACCACAGGTGTGTGTGTGTGTGTGTGTGTGTGTGTGTGTGTGTGTATGAAAGGAAATGACAATGAAATTCTAGCATTTTGCAGCTGGTTTTCCAAGCCCCCAGGAGTGGCTTGGGGACCCCAGGAAATGTTTTCTGTGACTGTTCCCAGTGTGACTACCCACCCGCCCGCTGTGGCCATTTCTACCCAATGTCATTTCCCATGTGTTTCCTCCTGCAGGCTGCCAGGGTTCGTGGCTGGTCACTGCTGTGAGCTTCATGGGTCTGGGGGCCTGGTCCTCACTGTCAGGGTCCCAGTGGTGACTCTGGGCTCGTGAGACCCGTCAGAGGGGAGGGAAGGGCCCGCAGAGGGCAAATAGGTGAGAGTTAAACCCTGAGCACTGGGGATTAAGCACCGCCCCTCCAAGCAGGACAGACGGATTGTCAGGGGGAGAGGACAGAGCCAGGAACCCGGCTCTGTCCTCTCTGCTGCAGAAAATGGGCCTGGCTGATGGGGGCCACCTTGCGACTTTCCCAGAGGGGTAAGTGAAGGAATTTGGACTCCTGGGTCTGAGTGCGCTGGTTCACTGGAGTCGGCAGTCAGGACCAGAGCCCGAGGTCGGGAAGCTCCCGGGAGGGTGCGGACTCGGCCCGAGGCCGGGAAGCTCCCGGGAGGGTGCGGACTCTGGGTTTGCATTCTGAACAGGCGTCCACTTCCCAGCTGCCCGATGGGCAAGGATGACATCCTGTGCCTCAGTTTCCCTCTCTGTAGAATGAGGCTACTTCTAGAACCTACCTCCTAGGCTTATGATGGGGATGATATGACTTAAATGCAGATAAAACCCTGAACCAGTGCTGGGCACACAGGGCAGCATCAATAAGCCTTTGCTGTTATATACAAAGGACCTGGGCAAAAAAGGCACAGGAGGGAGATTCACTTTTTCAAAACAAGCAAAAAGACGAAAGTCACATTTGCATGAGGACAGAGTTCTGCTCAAATGCTCGCTGCATTTGGAACCTGCAGAGGAGAAGTGGCAGGTGGGGGGCTTGTTTATGTCATAGCTCCCGCATTGGGAGTGCCGCCTCTGGAGGAGCCCTGTTGGCAGCACGGAGGTGGGTGCCCTGTGGGGCGGTGAGGGGCTGCTCTGGAGTGACCGGGCTGAGTCAGAGCCAGCTTGGTGCAGGGTATAGGATGCACGCCCATGGGCACAGGCTGCCCTGCTCAGCCAGGCCTCTCTCTGTCCCCACAGCATATGCGAGAGGCGGCTGAACGGCGGCAGCAGCTGCAGTTGGAGCATGACCAGGCCCTGGCTGTTCTCAGTGCCAAGCAGCAGGAAATTGACCTTCTGCAGAAGGTAAGCGGCGGGCAGCCGGGCGCGGCGTGCGAGGCAGGGAGTCCACGGGTGGGCCGGGGATCCCTGGTGTGGTGGAGCGGCCGACCTGCGGCCTTGGCTCCCAGGCCGCTCCCTCTCTCTGCTTGCACAGAAGAATTCAGAGTCATTTCTGCTTTCCTGCTGTGGTGTTTCTTAAGTAGACCTGTGTTCATGTTTTATAACGCGAAAGCAGATGCAAAGCTCTAACCTCTGATGCTGGTGAGGTTGTCGGGAAAAACACATGCGTAGAGATGGCTGGCAGGGTGTGAATTGCTTCCGCTTCTGGAAAAAGCAGTGTGCAGCATCCGTTTAAACTAAAAGGGCACACAGAAGGTGACCCTGCCACCCCCATCCTGGACGATGCCCTGCAAGGAGTACAGGAACCAGTTCAAAAGGAGTTTTGTTTTCTTGCAGTGCTGCTGTGTGGCAGTGGGGACAGGGACTGGACCCAATTGATGCCCACCTAAGGGTGATGGCTGTGTGCACCATGGTCCATCCACACCAGGCGCCGTGTGATGTCAGCGAAAAGGATCATGGTGGTTTGATTCTGCTGTCTTGAGGCTGTTGCATGATGTGTTATCAAGTGAGAAAACTGAGTTGCAGAGCAATATTTATAGCCGGATCCCAGTAAGAAAGGAAAAAGGCAAGATGAGTAAGACAGAAAGGAAAAGAAATCAGGAGAGAAAGGAGAGAGGCACCAGGGAAGGAGGGAAGGAAGGACTGAGTGATTTGGGATTTTTACCTCCTGGGCACCTGTGATGGGTCTGGGGACTGAGAAAGGTAACCTCACCCCACTCCAGTCCTCAGCCACGGTCCTGCTGTCTCTCTCCAGATAGGTAGGAGGGTGGTGCTCCCGGAGCCTATGGGCTTGGGGTGCCCCCAGGAAGAAATCAGAAGGTGGGGACCTGTGAACAGGTCTCATCTCATTTCCTTCCAGAGCCCAGTGTCCCCACCCAGCCCTGCCCTCTCCTCCTCCTGGCAGGGCAGCCACCCCTGTGGCCAGAGTGCAGCTGGCTGGTCTGCAGCCTCCCGCCCGGTGCTGGCTGGGATGGGCCACTCCTCTGCCCTAGGTGGCCCCTCGATCCATCCGACAGCTTATCCAGGTCTTGGATCTCAAAATAAAGGGCTCACAGTCATTCACCCAGCCTGGGGGGCGATAGGAATCTGCCGGAGCAGCGTTTCTCCTCCAGAGTTTATTAGCAGAGCTTGTGGAAACAGGTAGATAAGTTCTGATGCCATTTCTCTAAGCATTTAGCATGAGATCGTATTAAGGATAGATTTCATTAAGCCAGCGCTGATGGGAACTTCACAGCCCTTATTACCTGTCATAATAAGGTGGCAGGCACCCGGAGCAGCAATATTTCATTAGATGTTATCCGCAAGGGATATTGCTGGGACACGGGCAGGAATATTACTCTTATGTTCTCCTGCCATGTCTCAAGGACCTTTCCCGTGGCCGGGTGACGCCTGATGGCACCTGCACTTATTCGTCACACTCCAGAAGCCACGTCCCCAGGCGGGGACCGTCTGAGACAGATATAAGTCTGTAGAAACACAGAGACTGTCCAGGAAGGGGAAAGGATGTCTCCTCTCAACAGAACATTCTCTAGAAGCCTGGAGTTAGATTTACTAAGCATTTGATGCCAAGGAGAATGACCTGGAACTGACTCTGTTATTCCGCGTCCACGATCTCTTCTGTGTGCTGTCCAGTTCTCTTGGCGTTCTTTATCCCCCCGCACTCACCATTGTCTCTGTTTTGGACACACTGATGCTTCACTAGTGGGGCGAGGGGCAGAGGGAGAGAAACTGGATGAAATATGAATGGGCCAATTTTGTAATTTCTAGAGGCTTTGATGTAGTTTTTAAGCATGAGAAGAGGAAGTCTGACTCTTGAGTGGAATGAGATCCGGGACTTCTTTCCAGAGCTCATCTTTGCATTCAGTTTCCACGTGGGTGGTCGTTGCACTGCACTTGTGACCAGCTCCGTCGTACCGTCATTCAGCAGGGGTCGGCCGTCTGCCCCTCCAAGCAGCCACTCAGCTGCTGTTCCAGAAGCAGGAACACAGCTGCGAGTGGGACACGGCTCTGCCCTCCCAGGCTAAAAAAGGAAGACGAACAAGTCAGTGAAAAAGCGAGTAAGCCCAGATGATGGCAAGGGGTGAAGGGAGTTGAGAGGCTTGAGTGGCGGATTGACGGGGCCGTGACTTTAGATACAGGTGACAGTTCAAGGAGCAGATGACACCCACCACGCCGAGGGCTGGGGCAGGAGTGTGCAAGGGTTAGGGAGCAGCACACACAGGCCCCCTTGGGAACCAGCCCAGCGCATCCAGGGAAGAGGAAGAAGGCCGGGTAGCTGGGGTGCAGCCAGGGAGGGAACAGGGGTTGAATTTGGGCCTGAGGCACAGAGCTGGAGTGCTTACCCCACCAGGCAGTGGTGCCTGCACCATGAGGCACGGATTAGCTGAAGACTGGCCCTCATCCCCCTACCAAGATAGAAGTCACCAGTCGTCTTTGGACTCTCCAAGGCCCAAAGGTGATTCTGATGAGAGGGCTGTGGAGCCATCTCAAAGGAGTGACCCTCTTCTCTCTTTCTGCAACCCCAGCTCTTTCTTGAACTTGCCGTCACGGGACCCCACCCCCAACAAGTGGCTTTTGTTAGTGTCACCCATGCATGAGCTTACGGTCCAGTGGGTAGTTCTCTGTCCTCGTTTTCTTTGACCCGGAGGCCCAGTTTGAGCTTATGGCCTCCAAGGATACCACCCTCTCCTGGTTTCCTTCTCCACACCAGCCCCTCTACACATCACAGGTGACTCTAAGACTCAGTCCTGAAGTCACATCCCTTCTCAGTCTATACTCACTGTCTCATGACCTCACATAGATGCATGGGTTTCAGCACCACCTCTGCGTGGTAACTCCCGGGTTTAGACCCGGAAGCCAGACGATGCCACTGTGCCCCAATTCCTTTACTCACCCTCTGCTTGACACCACTGCTTGGGGGGCCTCGGACGCCACGTCCCACACAGAACTCCCCTCTGTCCTCACCAACACCTGCACTTCTGCTGAACTCCTTGAGCTCCGTAAACGGCAGCATCTCCCGTTTTTGTACAGCTCTTCCTTTCCCTGGAGTTAATTGCCTTTTTTGTTTGCTTGTTGTCTTACTTCTCTGTGTACCCATCATTCCTTTGTTCCCCAATACCCTGCTGAAGCTGTAAAATTCCTCTCAAGAGAGTCTCAGTCCTCTGGGGGGCTTCTGATTCCATTTTCCCCTTGGAGACGCCCGCCTGGAGCCCCTGGCCTCTTCCTTCAGTCCAGGTCCTGGAAATGCCCCTCCCCACCGTCTGCGGGTCTCCTCCCTGCCTCTTTGTGCTTTCATCCTCAGCTTCCTCCATCCTATAATGTTGTTTTTCTTGATGTGCAATGTGAGGCAGGAGTTTATTTTTCCTGAAATACAGGTGGATTGTGCCACATTGTGCAGTACTTAGAGATTCCTTGGTGGGATCAGCTTCACCCCCAGACCTGACCACCCTTGAGAGGGTGCTGGACATTCAGGCGTCTAATATCAGGGGCCTGCATCCCAGCACCTTGTCCAGAGGCACCTTTCTCCCAGGCAGCTCCACCTGTCCTCCTGCCCTGCATGGCGGTCGGGAGAAGCACGTAAGATCATGTGAAAGGGAAAGCATTTGTTAAATCGGAGAAATAAACAAATGGGTGAATGACGAATGAGTGATGAAAGTGCCCAGGGCTCTCCTCCCGGAATCCAGGGACAATGAGCTCATGCTGCAGCCCTCGTCTCTGGGACCTGAGCAGAGACACAGTTTAAAAAGGCAAAAGGCAGCCAAGCCAGGACCCACGCTGTCTGCTGGTAACCTCAGGCTCTCCCGGGAGACGCGTGCTTCCTGGAGACCGGGAGCAAGAGCTCATTCACAAATCCCTGCGTCCATTCACTCAACAGACGTTTACGGAGCGTCTCATGTCAGTGAAGTCCCAGCAACACAGCAAGGAGTGGGACGGTGTGAGAACAGGCTGTGAATGGTCATGACGATGGTAGAAGCGACTCTGGGCACAAATCTGCTGGTGCAGCGTGTCCGGGCTGGGACCCGGAGTGCAGTCGTGGCCTCCTTTGAGCTGTGCCACCTCTGCCACTCCTCCCGCTCCCCATGCTGCAGCTGCTTCCTCCTCTCCCTGGACCGTGCCAAAGCCAGTCCCCTCTTGGGGACCCTTATCGACAATGCCTGGTCCCCAGGTTGTTGCAGAACTGGTTCATTTCTCTCACTGAGTCTCCCTCAGACCAGACGCCACTCCATGCCCAGACAGAGGGCATGTCGCCCCATTTACTGATGCCAAAACATGCCTGCTCGCTCATGTGGCTGTTTGCCGACTGCCCACCTCCACCTGTTGGCACTTCAGCTCCGTGAAAGGCGCGTCGGACTCGTAGGACATCGCCTGACACCTAGGAGCTCCCCAGCAAATCCTGGATGGGCGGAGGTGCTCAAGGGCACAGAAGGAATTGGAGATGTGACGAGGTTCCGTCAGTCGGGGCAGTAGGGTCAAAATCCCGCAGATAAGATGACCGAGGATAAATTCTCATTAACATTCAGTAAATGCCTGTGGAGGGAATCAATGAATAGTCAGCCCTCGTGTAACCTGCGGGGCGGAGGCACCATTGTTTTCTCCATGTGACGGATAAGGAGGCTGAGGCTAACATGCCCGTGGTCCACTTGAGACCCGATTCTGAAACCCTGAGGCTTCCTCTCCAGGTGAATGGTCAGCCTGGGGTCCGGCTGCGCTCCGTTGCTTCAGACTTTCAGTTTCTTGTGTAGGTTACATCCTTGTCTTGTGACAAGTGGCAATTATGATAATCCAGTGGTGTGAGCTAAAGGGCTTTTCCGTATTTATAATTCATCCGCAGACTTGACCGATTTTACTTCGGTCTACAGTTCCTCTTACTGGTAGAATGACCGCTTTCAGTCTTAAGGCTATTATGTAACGTGTGATACTAAGAGAAGCTGAGCTCACCGCCCGATGCATAGTTAATGCTTTGACTGAATTTGCTGTGCTGCCCTCAGATTGTCGGCCTCAGTTGTGTGTGGATGGCTGCGGTGGGTCATAGCTGACCCTCTGTGTTAGTTTCAGGCAGTGTCTGCCCTAATCCTGTGTGCTCCTGGAGTATTAGAAAATGTCCATCAGCCCTCAGCTCTGCGGAACTCCTGTTTTGAAGGTCCTTGTAGCCCTCGGCATAGTTCCTTGAGTCTCACTGACTTTTCTGCAGAGCTAACGTTTCATAACGCCCACGGAGGCCCCTCCCTCACTCTGCTCCATCTAAGCCAATGCCCGTTGTCCCGTCACAGTCGCCGGGGGCCTGGACGGCCTATTGCTCTGTGCCCCATCCAACCTAGCTAGATGCCCAGCACTTCGGCCACAGGGAATCTGCCCTCCCTTCTGTGAGCGCCATCCCCCCAGATGCTGCTGCTGCTCCTGCCGCAGGGCCTGCCCACCTCCCGGAGAGCAGATCCTCTGGGTAACAGGCCTGTTCCTCAGGCCTCTTCCTCCAGCGTCGGGAGCTCCAGTCTCCCTGCTCTGCAGGAACCACTCTCCGTAAAGGTCGCACTTTCCCTGTGTTGGCCCCTAAATGAGCCTCGCTTAAGCTGTTGCTTGGATTTTGTAAGAATTCAGCGCTGCCAATTTCAACAGTCTATTCTGATTGCCCAAATGGCCCAGTTTGCACCTGCAAAAATGCACTGGTTTTCATCTGAAGCTGGAAGCGAAGTTGTACTGCCAGCTTGGCTGAGTTTTAACAGCCTGCTGGAATATTTTTTGTTTTGTCTTTTTTTTCAATCCTGCCAGTTGAAAACTATCTTTGATTCAACTGAGTCAATGGTGGCATCATTTATATAATCCCTGTATGTTCCCTGCTTGTTTGTCTCTTTTTCTATTTTGCTATTTATTGTTGCTCTTGCTGGTTTTTGCTTTGAAAGGAACAGTTTTCGGCCTTCGACGGTTGAGCTGAACTTGAGAATGGTGTAATTAACATGCTGTGTTCCAGTCACTTGCCCAGCTCTTAAAACTCTCATTGGAAATATGTGAGAATGGAACTCATATGAATGAACTCTACAGAAACCTCAGACGACTCTTCATTTTTAGCCCAGGGAATGGCAGATTTCCCCTTGGCTGGGGAAGCCAAGCTCTTCCCTGTTTTCAGCGCACGGAATTTTGAGAATGAGAAGTAGAAACTGTTAAGATAATGTTCACTTGCTTATTTATGATGTTGAATCGTCCATCACTAATTATTCTCCAGGCAGCTAGAGGAAATATTTCTCTAGAAACTGAGAATTGTAAATGTAAGTCACAGCGTAGCATATGGATTCTTTATTAGTGTTCCACGTTTTAAGAGCTAGGTGCACTCTGGTGTCAGAAAATAATGCTTCTTAAAAACCCCCATTTTCCTGCTCCACGGGGAATGTTTGGGAGATGCTGATGTCAGTGTGAGGGGTGCACAGTGTGGACTGTGCTGCAGGCGGGAGCCTGGTTCGTCTTTTCTTCTCTGTCTCATTACAGCCTCAGAAAACCAACCTCCAGTGTCCGCACTTTAGGAAGTGTCCCATGCTTTCACAGTTGACGATGACGTTCGTTAGCACTCTTGGTTTCAAGCGACAGAAAACCCAAACAGGAAATTGTTTTTGTGCCCATCACTGAAAATGTGGCTTCAGACATGGCTAGATCCAGGGCTCAAATCTGCTGGCCTCAGACCCAGTAGAATCCAAGGCCTCCCCGACATCACCAGGACTTGGCTGCTCTCTGCCCTCCTCTGGATCAGCTTCAGCCTTGGTTTCCCTGTGGAGACCCCCAGCCACTCCAGCCCTGACCCTCCTGGTGGCAAAGTGGCTGCAGCCTCACCTCCTCCCAAGCCAAAGTCCAATAGAAAGGGGCTTCCCTCTCCCGCAGCATTCTCAGGCAGAGGCCCATTGCCCTCCGTAGGCCCCACACCACCCAGGTCACCAGTCGCTGAGGGTTCAGACTGTGCTTGGCACAGGGGAGGTCCAGACCCCAGCCAGTCCAGAGGTTCTTCCCAGGAGAGGAGCTCCTGACGCTGGAGGAAGAGGCCTGAGGAACAGGCCTGTTACCCAGAGGATCCGCTATCCAGGAGGTGGGCAGGCCCTGCAGCAGGAGCAGCAGGAGCATCTGGGGGGATGGCGCTCACAGAAGGGAGGGCAGATTCCCTGTGGCCGAAGTGCTGGGCATCTAGCTGGGTCAGATGGGGCACAGAGCAATAAGCCGTCCAGGCCCCTGGCGACTGTGACGGGACAACGGGCATTGGCTTAGATGGAGCAGAGTGAGGGGCCTCCATGGGTCTTTTGAAACGTTAGGTCTGCAGAAAAGTTAGTGAGACTCAAGGAACTATGCCGAGGGCTACAAGGACCTTCAAAACATCAAAGCCATTGAAACACGACAGGTCCTTACCATCATGATGATGCTGGGACTTCCGGGCCTGTGAGGACAAGAAATAACGGTGTTTGATGCTGGGACTTCCAGGCCTGTGAGGACAAGAAATGATAGTGTTCCATCTCAGATGTGCTTGAATCTGCCCTTTGCCTGGGCAGCAGCCATCCCGAGACATTTCTGTAGTGAAACATGTGAAGTTATTCTGTGGGGCCCAGATGGCTTTGCCGCCAGTGCTTTGAAGAGGGCGGCCCTGCCACAGGCTGCAGGTGCCAAGGCCTGTTGCATGCTCAGGACCCAGCCCCGGCCCCTCCTCCAGGGCCTGGTGAGGTCTCAGGGAACCTAGAGCTGACTGGGAGTCAAGTCTGCAGGATTAGGTTTTGTTTCCAAAGCAGTTCGTCGGATGTTTGGGCAGATGAAGGTGCTGTCAGAGGCATTGGAGGGATGCTTCTGCTACTAAGCTTATCACCTGGGTGAAGAAATAATCTGTGTCCCAGACCCCCTGGATGTGCAATTTATCTGTACAGCAAACCTGCACATGTATTTCTGAAACTCAAATAAAAGTTAAATAATGAATGTAGGAATAATTTTAATTCCTCTATTAGAGGAATAAAAATAAATGATCCCCCACCCCCAGTGATTCAGACATTGATCCGATTGTCTTCTTTCCCCTTTGGACATTTACTCTTTTCTCTCTTTTCATCATAAAAAAGGCTCAGGTTGAGGCTAAGAAGGAGCATGAAGGCGCAGTGCGGCTGCTAGAGGTAAGGAGCGTGCCCCTGCTTTCTGCCCGGGGGTGGGGGACGTTGGGGAGAGTTGCCCTGATGCCTGCTAGAAATAATAGATGATGTTTATGAAGTGCGCCTGGTGCACCAGTTACTAGATGCCATTCATGTGTCTTCTCATGTCATCCTCACAAGCAACCAGTACTACAGGTGCCAGGACCAGGTCCGTTCTTACAGGGAAACTGAGGCACAGAGAGGTTAAGCAGCTTTCCCTTGGCCACACATCCAGACCCAGAACTGTGTGTCTCAGATGTGGTCTGCTGTCCTCTGGTGGCTCCTCTTGGGTGGAAAGTGAGGGGGCGTGGCTCACTCGCTTGCTTGTGAATTAATTTCCCCAGGGGTAAAGGCCGGTGGACCTTCCGGAGGCCATCCTGGTCTCTGATGAACTGCCTTGGGGTACCTTTTTAAGGTATGACACCCATCCTGGGGAGGCATTTGTAGGATCAGAGAAAGGAGGGCCTGGGGAATCAGAGTCCTCAGCGCCATCTGAGGCACTTCCCCGGGTGTGGTCCTCGCAAACACGACATGAGTGGCCTTCTCCTGCCTCCCAGAGATGTTTCCCACTGGGGCCTTGGGAAGGAAACAACGGCTACGTCCCACCTGCGTGAGTGGCGTATTGGGAGTGACCACCCCTGTCCCTGGCTCCTGGTCCAATGCCAGCCTCCTTGGGAGTGAGTAGCCAGGCAGACAGGGAGGGCTATGGGGTCCCCCTCAGGCCTCTGCTGTCTGCATCCATCATGCACAGTGGCTGGGCTACAGTGAGCTGGGGCCCCCACCTGCCGAAGTCAAGGATCGTGTAATTCACCACCCCCTCAAGGAGAGATTTACCTCGGAGGGGATCTGCCCTGGGGTGGCGTCCTCCCGGTAATGTTCCCTTAAGTGAGGCCAATATTGGATGAGGCTGCCCTCTTCAGAATGACCTTGTCCTGTGTCCCTGGGGGAGCAGCAGCCACTTAAAACGGGCTATGTGCATCTCTTACGTTGCCTTTTAAAGTCTATTCCTCCCACAGGAAAAGGTTTCATCATTATCATCCTATATATTAAAATGGATTTTCTGAAAGCCTCCATTAGTTAATGACTATCTGGAGGGAGGAGTGTGATGAATAGCAAATAGGAAAATATATAACCTGGGAGAATAGAAACAGACCTCCAAATGGCCATTTATCTCCCTGGAAAATAATTCACTTTCCCTGGCCTGAGTTATCCACCGCACTTTAATTTGCATCGTCTCCTGGCAGAAAAGGTAGTTGCCTCTCCCCAGTTGCCCCGGAGCCCATTGACATGACCCTGTGTGGCTTCAATCCGCCTCTGAGGGACTGCTCCACCATGATCCCGCTGTCACCTGTCACCCCGTGCTGCTGGTGGTGCATGCTTTCAAATGTGGTGACGGTCGCAACGCAGCGTGCTTTGGTTCGAAAAACAAGGCAATTCGGATGTGCTGGGAATTGTGTCTTTTATTTACGGCGTCTTTCTGTAACTGTCTTGCTTTGCTCTTCGCGCAGAACACCTTGGACAGCATGCAGGTATTCTAGAGAATAGCATCTTCCCTGCCCGGCGTGCTTGGCGATGCTTTTCCCGTGAGTGGACGCGGCCATGAGTCCTGGGCCTGCTCTGACCTGCCTCTGCTTCCTGAACTGCAGCTTCTGACGCAGGTGGGGGGTGGTCGGGGTTCCTCAGCCTGGGGGAGCTGAGGAGCTGCTCCGAGGAGCTCCACAAGCAGGGCCTCCCCCTCATCCGGGCGTCAAATGCAACGCCATGCTCGCTGAGGTGCTGCGCAGGCCCAGACACATGGCTCTTCCCGTCCTGCCAAGGCTGTGACTGTCAGGCTGGGAGAGCAGTCCTGGGGTTCAGATGACCGCAGAGGAGAGAAATTGTGGGTTGATTCTATCCTTGGGCCAGAGTTGTTGAGAGAGCCTAGCGGATAACCCTGAATTCGGTTAATTCGGTTACTGGTCATCAGAATTCAAGCTGCACGCCTGAGCCTCACAACCTTCCGTTCTGCCTCTGCGTTGTGTGGACAGCAAGCTCCTTCCCACAGGCCAGGGAGGCTGCCTGCGCTCCTCTCTGTCAAAGACCACCCCCTTGCTATTCCCCTGGGGTGGAGGAGAGGCTGGGTTGCCCCCGAGACAGGCCTTTGAAAGTTTTCCACGCCTCTGAGTTGGATGGTGAGTTCGTGGAAGGAACGGCCTTTCCCACTTCTGGACAAGTGGTTCTCTAAGTGGGTTCCCCGGGGCAGCAGCAGCGCCCAGGAGCTTGTGAGCAAAGTGGCTTCTCAGGCCCGGCCTCGGACCTGCTGAATCCAAACCCCTCAGGGAGGGGCCCAAGGTTGGCTGTAATCACCCTTCCAGATGTTTCTCATGCCACTGAGGTCTGAGAAGCATTGTTTAGGGAGCCTGTGAGGCCAGCTCCTGGGAAGCAGAGAGTATTTTCAGCAGTGCGTTCCCTGGGAAGCCCTGGCCTTTGCAGGGTGAGCACTTTGGGAACCTGATCCCAACACTGCAGCTGTTGACCAAGAAACCATGGCTGTCAAGTCCCACCCACTCACCCATCAAAGAACCACCTGTGGTGTGCAGTGGGGGTTTCATGTCTAGGTGTTTGTGTCCTTGGAGAATGGGGCATATTCGTGACTTTCTGTAGACAGAACATTCCACTGGGCAGCCTGCTTCCATGCTCAGCCAGATACAATAGAGGGCGCCTAGATAGGATACACCCCAGAACACATGTTACATAAAATGCCTGAGCACACGGAGAACCAAAGGTGTCTGAGATGGGTCTCAATCAATTCAGGACATGGCCAATGTTAAGGACGCACCTGTGACACAGCCTCGGGAGGTCTTGATGACATGTGCCCAAGGCTGTCTGGGTACAGCTTGCTTTTATACATTTTAGAGAGATGTGAGTCATCAATAAGTATAAGATGTACATTGGTTCGGTCTGGAAAGGTGAGACAACTTGAAGCGGGGGCTTCTGGGTCATAGTGTAACCGCCTAGTGGGTTCACCTTGCCCGTTGCCTAGATACAGCCAATTTATTAAGACAGGGATGTTGCAATAGAGAAAGAGTAATTCATGCAGAGCTGGCTGTACAGGAAACCAGAGTTTTATTACTACTCAATCAGTCTTCCTGAGAATTTGGAGACTGGAGTTTTTAAGGATAATGTGGTGGCTAGGGGGCCAGTGAGTTGGGAGTGCTGATTGGCTGGGTTGGAGATGAAATCATAGGGGGTCGAAGCTGTCCTCTTGCACTGAGTCAGTTCCTGGGTGGGGACCACAAGACCAGATGAGCTAGTTCATCCATAGAGGGCAGGGTCTACAAAATATCTCAATAACTGATCTTAGGTTTTACAATAGTGATGTTATCTCCAGGAGCAATTTGGGGAGGGTCAGAATCTTTCAGCCTCTAGCTGCATGGCTCTTAAACAATAATTTATAGTCTTGTGGCCAATTTGTTAGTCCTGCAAAGGCAGTCTTATTTCCAGGCAGGGAAGGAGGCTTGTTTTGGGAAAGGGCTGTTATCTTCTTTGTTTCAAAGCTAAACTACACACTAAGCTCCTCACAGAGTTCGTTCAGCCTACACCCAGGAATGAACAAGGACAGCTTGGAGGTTAGAAGCACGATGGAGTTAGGTCAGATCTCTTTCACTGTCTCAGTTATCATTTTGCAATGGTGGTTTCAATAGGTAGAGAAGAGACAAAGGGTTGCATTCTTTTGAGTCTCTGATGAGCCTTTCACTGAATACACAATTTCCATGTGAGAGGGAGGCAGAGGAATTGTCATTTGTGCCTTAGTCTGGCTCATTGAATCTGCATTTTTGCATAAATAATAGGGCAGAAGAAACAATCAGATATACCTTTGTCTCGGGTGAGCAGAGGGTTAGGAGCTGAGTTCTTTGTCCCATCCCTGTGAAGATAAACGATCAATTTACATTGCCTGGGTGAACTTCAGCGGAACTGTTTTAGGATAAAGATCTTGAGGTCCACAAGGAATCTCTGTGTGTGCAAATTCTGAGGGAGGTAGGTAGCTTTTTAATCTTTGCGGCTATCTTATTTAGAAGCACAATGGAAGCCAGGTTTGCTGACACGGTTCCCAGCTTCATGCTTCCCTTTGGCTTGGTGATTGTGGGGTCCTGAGATTTATTTTCCTTTCACGGTCCCCACATACACAACTCCAGTGCCATGGACACTTCTGGGCCCTGTTCTCTAAAGAATGAATGGCCAGGAGGTTTTGGTGGCAATGGGGAAGTGTCTTTTTTCTTGGTTGCTCTGCGTGAAGTCCTGAGGTCCCAGGAGTACCCTGAGCTAGTTTTGGGGTTTAGCAAAGATGTGCATCAGGATTTAAACACAGAACAGAGGTTTTCAGGAACTTGCCTGTCAAGACAGTTCTTTTTGTAAACCTAAGAACCTGAGAGCAGGGAGATTCCAGCTGCTAGGAGTTAAATAATTCCTTTGGCACTTAGCGTCCTATCAAAACAGAGAAGCAAAAGAAAACAATGAGAGCAACACCACCACCTCAAACAGGTGCCCTGTGCTGGGCCGTGTCCTGAGAGTGCATAGGAGAGACATCGAGACATCCACAAGATAATGCCCATTTCACTTGATCTTCTTCATGTCTGGGGGAAACCAAGACACAGGGAGGTTAATGAATGACCTGCCTGAGGGTCTCAGATAGTCATGAGCAGAATCCCATTCAAGCCTCAGGAGTTTGGCTCCGGAGTCCAGGCCTTCCACGGCTGCTGCACAGCACAGCTTCCTGTCAGCTCAGAACTCTGACCTCCCTGCAGGTGCTGGGTGGGGGCAGAGGGGACAGCGACCCTGGTCCTGCCTGTAGAGCGTACTGGAGGCTGAATCATAAGTCAGTGTTGGCAGCTCCAGACTGAGGAAGCGCCGGCCGGGCCATCTTCACCCGCTGGTATTCCCTGGGTGCGCAGCAGTAGCAGAGGGCAGGAATGCAGGAAGTCGCTTTACCCCAGGCTCTTGAGAAATACAGTCATATTTAACCCCTGAAACCACTGCCTGAGGTTCTCTGTCACCTCATTTTGCTGATTAGGCAATCGGGGCACAGAGACAATGAGCCACTTACCCGAGGACACACAGCTCCCAAGTGCCAGGGCATGGCCCCAAGGGCAGGAAGTCAGCCTGGTAACACCCTCTCAGGTGCTTTGAGAAAAGTCTAGGGGCTGGTGTGCTTGTCACCATGTGGCTGGGCTAAGAGATGAGGATCTGGGCTTCCTGGTCAGGGGAACGTCATGAGGAGCCTGTGCCAGTGCTGTGTGCTTGGCGTGTGCGTGTCGGCAGCTCTGTGGTGGTTCTTCAGGGCACCCTGATGGGAGTCCCTCGCCTTCTCTCCACAGCGCCTTGGGTGTCTCCTCCTGGAGCGAGGCATTGAACCTCAGGTGATGTCAGCCCTGGTTCGTCTCGGCCTCAGAGGAGCCCGGCTATTTTTCCTGAACAGCCCCCCTTCCTCCCTGGGAGACTTTCGGGGTGGCCAGCGTGCTTGCTTCCCAGGCAGGCTGAGGTCTACCTCCCCGCAGGCGTCTGGCCTCAGGCCTGCAGTGGATGATTGTGGGCTGTGTGGCCTTTGCCTTTAGGGGTCGTCCCTTCCTCCATAAAATAATCCTAACAGTTGTGTTTTGCGTCTATTGTGGAATAAAGATGAGTATTACACAGGCTGGATGCATGATGTATGTCTCACCCTTTTTCACTTCTTTTCTGATTTTAAAAGAAACTAAAATGGAACCATGTCTGTGGGCCCCTGAAGCTAAAGGGCTGTGGTCCCAGGCGCTGGGCCTGCTCGGCCTGCAGGGAACCAGCCCTGCCTGGCTCTTGTTCAGAGGCTGGGTGACCCCTGGGCCAGTGAGTGTGTTAGGGGAATGTGTGGGTGAGTGAGGGCACAGGCTTGGGCTTAGGTGGGCCCTGGACAGAGAGACTCAGAGGCCAGAGAGACCTGGGTGGGTCCTACTGCCCACTGGGGGTGTGACCGCAAGTCCCTCTTGGCCTCGTCTTCTGCCCTGGTGCAATGGCCTAACACCAACTTACCGGGGAGGTCTCTCTGAGTCAGCAGCAATGCATGACTCCCCCAGGCAGGGCCAAGCACATAGTAGGTATTCAGCCAGTGAGCAATGAAATCACGCAGGGCCTGCCACATAGTAGGTATTCAGCCAGTGATCAATGAAATCACGTAGGGCCTGGCACATAGTAGGTATTCAGCCAGTGAGCTATGAAATCAGAGGGCCTGGCACATAGCAGGTATTCAGCCAGTGATCAATGAAATCACGTAGGGCCTGGCACATAGTAGGTATTCAGCCAGTGATCAATGAAATCACATAAAGACAGCACATGGGACAATTTGTTTCCAAATTTTCCTAATGTTACCGGAAAGCAGCCTCGATCCAGACCCCAAGAGAGGGTTCTTGGATCTTGCGCAAGAAAGAATTTGGGTGAGTCCGTAGAGGAAGGCGAAAGCCAGTATGTGAGAGAAGTGAAGAAACGAATGGATGGCCACTCCATAGGCAGAGCAGCAGTGTGGGCTATTCGTGGTTGTTTCTTGATTATATGCTGAAAAGGGGTAGATTGTTCATGAGTTTTTGTCGGGGGAGGGTGGGCAGTTCCCGGAACTGAGGGCTCCACCCTTTTCAAGCCATGTAGGGGAACTTCCTGATGCTGCCTTGGCGTCTGTAAACTGTCATGGCGCTGAGGGGAGTGTCTTTTAGCAGCCAATGCATTATAATGAGCGTGTAATGTGCTGTGAGGACAACCAGCGGTCACTCTCTTTGCCATCTTGGTTTTGGTGGGTCTCGGTGGCTCCTTTACTGCGCCCTGTTTTATCAGCAGGGTCTTTGAGACCTGTATCTTGTGCTGAGCTCCTATCTCATCCTGTGACTTAGAATGCCTTCACCATCTGGGAACGCAGCCCAGTAGGTCTCAGCCTCATCTTTCCCAGCCCCTATTCAAGATGGAGTCGCTGTGGTTTGAACGCCTCTGACACTAAGTCAAGTGACCCGGTGAGCCTGGACCGTCCCTGGGTTCTGCCTATGATTCTGGAGTGATTATGCATCTGGCCCCTTGCTCTCAGAACCACCCCGTTTGGATGCCAGCCGCCAGCACAGCGCCTGCTTATCACCCCTCTTCACAGAGGCCGGGAAGCCAGAGGAGGGCACTGAGCCAGGAGCTGGGGGAGCTGTGGGGGTGTCTTTGGATGCTTCCCCCTTGTCTTTAGAAATAGCCACATCCACATTTGCGAGCCTCTGCTGTTTGTTCCAATTACAGTTGACTTGCCTGATGACTCTGCCATCTGTTCCTGCCTGGTCCGGACTCAGTTGCTTCTGAGCAGTGCCCTGCAGACCCTAGCGCCGAGCAGGTGGCCTCGGGATGGGGAGGAGCAGCACCATGGGGCTGGGTGTGTCCCTGCATCCCTGCAGCCGGGGTGACACCCAGGCCCAGTCCCAAACCCAGACAGGACAGCACTCTGTATCCGGAAATAAATATCGAGGTGTAAATGCGCCTGCCTGGGGCAGGACCACGGGTTGCTCTTTTCTCTCAGCATGCTTTGGAAGCGGCTGCTGCTGGCAATTCCTCCCCATAGGCAATTGGAAGCTCTTAGCCCCAGCAGGGACCCCCCTGGCAGTCACGAGAGCCTTCCCTGCTGCCAAGACGCCAGGGAGCTGTGCTCAGGCGAGGAGCCTAAAGGAAAGGTGCAAACAAGCTGGATGTGGGCGGGCAGGACTCTTAGGTTCTCCTTGGTAGGAATTTGAGGTGGGGGAGGCTGTGCCCCTGTTCCACACCTTCATTGTAGGTTACAAGGAAAGCAAGTCTCACAGCAGATTCTCCCATCAGACAAGCATTTACGGAGCACGTGCTGGTGGACAAGCAGGCAGGAGAGGGTACATTCCATGCCTGGTCTGTGAGCTCCACGTGGTGCCAGCGCTCTGCCCTGCTAGGAGGGTGCTTGCGCTTTGGCCCCATGATGCTCATTCGGGGAAAGCACGTCAACTGCACAGGGACTAGGGCAACCAGATTCCTCGAGTCAGCGTCCACACACAGGACCAGCTAGAGACCCAGCTCTGAGCACTGTGCCTGAGACCGCAGGAGCAGGGCCTCACTAGTCCACACCCTGCTCGTTCAAAGGTGAGGCAGTGCTAAGATGTGTGAGCTGGGTGACATATCTTCACTTTAACCAACGAATGCCCGTTTCTCCCATCCCTTATGCTTATGGTCACGCCGAGTAGCGTGCCTTGGGCCTCGGTGGAGACGCAGCCGGGCAGGCATCCTCGGGGCAGCTGTCTCCAGGCTTGCGGCAGCGCGGCCTTCCTGGTATCTGCACTGGCCACCCCTGGGTGGGATCCTCAATTATGGCAATGCATCGCCCAGCTTGTCTGTAAGTGCGTGTTCAATGCCCAGGTGGATGTAGGCATGCAGAGGGTCACAAATTCTAAGTTCCAGAACCCCCCAGGCCCAGGAGCAAGTGAGGGATCGTCCTGTGTGTCGGAGGCTTATGTGGGTACAGCCGGGGGCATCTACAGGGCCATGAGGGCATTTGATCCAACCTGACCCCCCACACACCCAACCTGCTGATGCGGGAGTGTCACCATGCTGTCGTGCAGAGCAGCACCACGGCCAGCAGCCACAGCCTGCAGCCATCTCTAGACATGCCTGTCAGCCCAGGCTGCTGATGGGCCTTGAAATACTCAGCAGGGTTTAAAATGTGAGACTTCCGGTGAATTGAAAATTCCCTGGGTGTGTCAGGCCGTTCTTGCTATAAAGGAATGCCTGAGGCTGGGCCATTTATGAAGGTTTATGAAGGTGATTTATGAAGGAGTCACTGGCTGATGGTCCTGTAGGCTGTACAGGGGGTGTGCTGGCTTCTGGGGAGGCCTTGGGAAACTTACAATCATGGCAGAAGGCAAAGGGGGATCAGGCGTGTCGTGTGCTGAGAGCAGGAGGGTATGGGAGGTGCCAGGCTCTTTTCAACAAGCAGACCTTGTGTGAACTTAGCCTGCTCATTATGGCAAGGACAGCGCCAAGCTATTCATGAGGGATCCACCCCCAGGACCCAGACACCTCCCGCCAGGCCCCGCCTCCAACACTGGAGGTCACATTTCAACATGAGATGTGGAGGGGACGACGCCCTGCTGCTCCTGGGAAACCAGAAGCTTTAGCTTTTCAACATGAGATGTGGAGGGGACAATGCCCTGCTGCTCCTGGGAAACCAGAAGCTTTAGCTTTGTCTTTGGTGGGCTGCACCCGGGCCGAGGCACCGGCCCCTTTGGACAGAGCTGGTTGCCCTGCTCACCACCCCATCCTGAGTTCCTGCAGGTCTACCCTGCCCCTGCCCCTGCTGGCACCCCTGCCAGTCTGCGTGCAGGACTGTGTCCACACGGTGATTTGCTGTAGCACTCAAGTCCACTCCGGGACCCCCCGAGGTGTAAGGAGCAGTTGGCAAGAATGGGCTGGGCAGAGCCAGCGTCCCTACAACCCCTGGGCCAGGCTCTCTGCAGCCGCCTCGAGAGAAGCAGGGCAGTGTGGCTAGGGCATCCTCCCATCCACATCTCATGTGGAAATGTGACCCCTAGTGTCACGGGTGGAGCCTGGCAGGAAGTAGCTGGGTCGTGCGGATGGGTCCCTTGTGGATGGCGAACCACTGGCCCTATCTGGTGGCCCCTTGGAGGAGAAACACCCTCCGGGAGGAGGTGACAGCTGGGAGCCTGGGGGCGTTTCTCAGGCTTCAAGAAGGGAGTGACTTTGTGTCACAGGAGGGCATGGAATCTCCTGTGCAGTGAGCCCAGTTGGGTGAGGGGACTGTGGGACGGGGCTCAAGGCGAGCTGGCTCTCCCCCGTCACTGCTGCCCGTGGGCCTCCTGCTCCCGACACCCCCTCAGAACGCGGTGGATGTCCCCGGCGCCAGGCCCTGGGGAATCTGCGGGGGAAGCAAGGACAGTGGCTGGCTGCCACTCTAAGAACACCAATATCCCTGCTGTTGCTGCTGCTAATATTGCATCTGCTGCTGCTACTAATACTAACACCAAACTGTGACTGTGAAGGATAACGCCAGTACGCTTGCAGGTAGTAATAATGATACTGTTGCTACTAGTACAAATAATACCAATATTGCTGCTGCTGCTGCTGCTAATACTAGGCTGCTATTAATACTAATACCAACAGCACTGTTACTATACCACTACTCATACCAATGCTATTCCTACAAAAAACACTGCTATTGCTACCACTGCTGTTAATGCTCTAATACCAAAGCAAGACTTCTACTACTGCAGGTGATGAAAATACCAGTACTACTGATACTAGTACTGCTCATCAATACCAATA
Source organism: Homo sapiens (assembly GCF_000001405.40). Classification (NCBI taxonomy): domain Eukaryota; kingdom Metazoa; phylum Chordata; class Mammalia; order Primates; family Hominidae; genus Homo; species Homo sapiens. Next base: position 130,460,354 of record NC_000012.12, on the reverse strand, counting down.
CTGCCACCATGATTACGGCTGCTCCTGCGAGCGCCGCTTTGCTGCTGCTGACGGCACTTCCAGCCTACCGAGGGGCCTGCGTCCTCTGTGCACAGAGTGGGGCCTGGAGCACAGACTCACAGGATACCTAGAGCTGAGGGTTCCCCGTGGGAGAGGGAACCCGGCCCTGATGAACACCCAGGCCTGTGATGACACAGCGGCCCCTGTGCAGGGGTCTCAGGGTTCCTTGGTGAGCCACCTGGTGGCTGCTTCTCCACCCGTTTTCTGTCTCCCTTGGACAGAGGTGACCTGGTTCATCTCTAACTGAAGGGTACTCCACAGTTCCTGTGCGTAGATTAGTTTACCCGCAGCTTATTGTGATCCATCAAATATCTGTTAAATGTCCACCCTGTGCCAAGTCGTGAACTAACGGTTGAGGATGGACTGATGGGCCAGGGCAAGGGGCTGACCTTGGGAAGCGCCACTATGGCCCCCATAGGACACAGGCGTGGGAGTGGCCCTGCCAGGCCCTGGGGACCAAACCACAGAGAGTATGCAGCTGCTGCTCGGCTCACCCTCGTCCTTGGCCCCCCACCCCCCGTCATTTCTGGGAGTCCCATGGAACCATGTGAGAGCAGACAGCCTGCCCTGTTCCCTCTGTATTGCGACGACCTGTCCTCCTGCAAACAAAAGCAGGCAGCCCGCAGCCTGCAGGCTGCTGGCAGGTGTGTATCAGATGCAGAACCCGCTTTAGGCTCCTGTGACCTCAGCCGCCCTTAGCCCCCTTGATGGGGTGGTACCTTTCATTATCTTCACCATCTCTGTATGCCACCTGTATTCTTAGTTCCTATTGTTTAAAATCTCTTCATTTCTGAAAACTTTATTTTGAAGTAATTTTAGGGTCACGGGAATTTACAAAGACAGCAGGGGGAGTTCCCGTGGCCCCTCTTCCTGCTTCCCGGTGGTGGTGTCTCTGTAGCCAGAGTGTGTTCTCAAAGCCGGGAAGCTGGCGTGGGAGCAGCACTGTAGCATGCTGGGGAATTTACTTGCTTTCTCGAGTGTTTATATCCACTCTTTTTTTTTTTTCGTATATAGCTGTATGGCATTTGGTGGTATATACAGATTCTCGTAACCACCACCACCACCACCATCAGCTGTACAGACGGCTCTGTCACCCAGAGAAACTCCCTCATGGCACCGTCCCTCGTCACACCCTCCCCTAACCCAAAACCCTGACAACCGCTGATCTGTTCTTTATTGCTATAATTTTATCATTTCAAGATTTTTGTATGAAAAGTCTATTCACTTTTTTTTTGTTTTTTTTTTTTTTTGAGACAGAGTGTCACTCTTGTTGCCCAGGCTGGAGTGCAGAGGCTCGATCTCAGCTCACTACAACCTCTGCCTCCCGGGTTCAAGTGATTCTCCTGCCTCAGCCTCCCAAATAGCTGGGACTACAGGCGCGTGTCTCCCTGCCCGGCTAATTTTGTATTTTTAGTAGAGACTGAGTTTCACCATGTTGGCCAGGCTGGTCTCGAACTCCTGAGCTCAGGTGATCCGCCCACCTCGGCCTCTCAAAGTGCTGGGATTGCAGGCGTGAGCCACCGTGCCTGGCCTATTTTAGTTAGGTCATTTTCATAGACACGACATTAGGGAATGGGTGTGCCAGTTACATGTTCCCTGTCACATGTTAGAATGAATGCATGACTATTAAATGTCTCCTGTTTCTCCACACCCTGGGAAGGCTCCGCGAGTGCCCCATGGGTGCCTGGGGGTTCGTTGGCTCACACAGTTGAGCTCAGGGCCTTCCGGGGTCCGGCCTTGCCTGCAGCGGGCAGTGGCAGCTGTTCCCTGGCCAGGACCCTGGCTGCCCTGCAGGGCCCGTCACTCTGTCTTAAGGGCTGAACCAGCAGAGTCAGAGCCCCTGCAAGCCCTGCGAAGCCAAGTCGTCATCCCACCTGCAGACCCCACATTTGGGGTCGGAGCTGTCCCTGGGCTTGGGTTCCCTCCGATGCTTTCCATGTCAGGCCCCAGAGCCCCTGGGTTTTTAGCTCTATGCCTATCTTGGTAGACACAGCCGGCTTGGCCAAGCCCATTCAGCTTTTTAAAGAAGAATACTGCTGATTTCTTTTAATGAATCAAAGAAATTAATTATAGGCTTTGGATTTGTTAGGTTTATTTTAGAAATCCATGATCTCAGCCATAAATAGTGCTTCATTCTGGACTAAGGAGCTGAGAAGCCTGCTGCCTGTGGAGGGATAGTGGGGGAGAGGATGGATGAAGAGGAGGGGCGGAGGAGGGGAGGGGGAGGTGGGGGGCTGTTGCTGAGCCCTTTGCTCAGGTCCGGGACGCAGCAGGAAACAGGCAGACAAAGCCCTGCCCTCATGGGGCTGACATTTCACTGGGGGAAACGTCAGTGTCGTCAGCCCCACAGATGACATGAATAACCCCATAAATGGGATGTTCCCGGCCATCCTAAAGTAAGGAGTGGCAAGAAAGCGGCTTTGCATGCAGACCTGACAAGCCATCCCCACGAGGAGCACGGTGCCCACAGCTCAGGGCTCGCCTTTTTCACTGATTCAGCAAACGCTCTTTGAGCACCTGCTGGGTGCTGAGTCCATGCAGAGTATCGAAGGTGTGTCCTTGAGCCAGAAAGCAGAGGCTTGGGGCCGAGAGTGTAGCCGTGGACACCGACAAGAAACGAATAGCCCAGGAGCTACTGCAGTGCCGGGGGGCGGTCAGCACAGTGGAGAAAGGAACGCGGGGTGAGAAGGTAGAGTGGGTCCTCTGTAGACCCCTCTGTCCTGCACCTTCTGTGATGGGTGCCAGAAACCTATGTCAGGAGGCCATGTCTTATGTAGAGCTCAAGTCCCAGGGGAGCAGGGAGCGGGGCTTTGCCCATGCACCTCTGACCTGGGAGGAAGCCCACAAGGGTCAGAGATGTCCCGAGACTGGACACAGCCCAGGCCTGTCCTGACCCGAGGAAGGAGTTTGCTGGGCTACCCCTTTCCTGTGCGTGTCCCTGGGGGAGACGCTTGCCTTCCCCAGGGCTCCCGACGTGGCTTCGTGTTGTCTGCAAATGCAGCAGTGTTGCTAACTGAACATAGCAGATAGAGAGTCCTTATTGCTCCAAGTGGTGCTCTTAAGGGTTCTACAGTCCGAGGGGGCGGGCGCCCTGGATGAGAAGAATTGCATCCTTGCATCCATGGGACAGCACCTGAGCTGCTCCCCTGAGTCTGGGCCGCATCACAGCCTCATACTCCAAGTTCCAAACAGCTCTAGCAAAGCCTGCCAACTGCAAAGTGCCCGGGCTGCACGCACAGCCCAGAACAATCTACGGTTGGCTGGGAGCTGAGTGTTTGCAGGATTTCTTGGCACCTGTGGTTTCTCACATTGGCCAGTAGCCAGGTGGCAGGAGAAGCTGGGTTTATCAGGCACTGCTCTCCCGTGAAAGTGGGAGGCGGCCCCTGCTGCACATGTCACACACAGACACGTGCACACAGGATACATGCTCATATGCACACACTCAACCACACATGCATTTTCACAGACACAACACGTGTGTACACACGTGCACACAGTGCACATGTGCACACGTACAACACATGTGAACAGGCGCACACACATTTCCACCACCAAATGCCACCGCTGACCCCCTGTCCTGCTTCTGCCGTGCAGTCCAAGGTTCGAGAGCTGGAAGAGAAATGCCGGACTCAAAGTGAGCAGTTCAACCTGCTGTCCCGGGACCTGGAGAAGTTCCGGCAGCACGCTGGCAAGATTGACCTGCTGGGTGGCAGCGCGGTGGCCCCCCTGGACATCTCCACGGCCCCCAGCAAGCCTTTCCCACAGTTCATGAATGGCCTAGCCACCTCCCTCGGCAAAGGTAAGCGCCTGGACCTTCCGCCTTGGCTGTGGTGGGGAGAGAATGGCCGTTGGCTGCCTGCGAGGGTGTGCACAGGTGAAATCGGTTTGGTGACACCTGGCAGAGGGTACAGGGACCCGCCACTGCAATGGGAAGGATGAGAACAGGGCTGCTCACAGCCGTGGGGCACACGGTACACTCAGCACCTCACGGGCATCCACAAATGTGGGACCCACACATTTTCTCACCTGTAAAATGGGCCCATTTTACAGGCGAGAAAAACCAAAGCACTAGTGTGGGTCACACAGATGCTGATGGAGGCTCAGTCTGGGATTTGAACCCAGGAGTCTGGCTGCAGAGTCTGCACTGGCAACGACTCCACAAGGATTTCTTGGCTGGGTACTCCAAAGCTCTGTGAAGCTCATTTCTCTGTGTTCGTTGTTTTTCCTTCCTTCTCATCTCAGTAACTTGTTGGTGATGTTGGGACGTGCTTGGAACCTCTGTTCTAGCAAAGGCAGTGGTGAACATGAGCCCTCGCCCATCACAGTCCTGCTTAGAGGCCGGGTGGGGAGAAGCCCCCTGTGTGTGTGCTGGGGGATTTAGTCTTGGTCGCAGGCAGAGCGATCACAGATGTCCTTTAATCAGACCTCGGTGGAGGTGCTACGTCCTGGCTGAAGGTTAAGTGGGATGCAGAGGTTAGACAGGTTTCATGGCCAGGTCTGCCCACCTGTTTAAGAAGTTGGTTTAAAAAAAAATTAGGGGAGATGAGCGTCTGAACCTCACTTTGGAATTCTGTAAAAAAGATAATTTGCAAATTTCCCCTAGTTCTTATCAGAATATATAAGTACCTTGGGTGCTTTTTATCATTAAAATAAGGAGATGCCACTTGTGTCTTGCTAAAAAACATTCTCCTGCCTCTCCGCTCGTCCCACGCCTTCCCATGCCCTTCCCTTTTGGTCCACGCATCAGAGAGAATGCCGGGTGGGGTAAGTGGTCGTGGCTGTGGGAGGCCAGCAGGCAGGGACCAGGGTCCGAGCGCTCTGCCGCTCATCTCCAGGCACTCACGACACCCAGGCTGCATGCCCTGCCTAGGTTGCAACGCTGAGAGACAGACAGGGCACCGTGCGGAGCTCCCGCTGGCGGGCAGACGATACGTGGGGAGCCTCTGATCCAGACGCTGCATGAAGACCAGGTGATGAGGTGGACAGTGACTTGGGCTCTTCTAGATGGTCCTGGAAGGCGGCTGCCAAGAAACCACATTTGAGCTGTGACACCTGAAGAGTGGAGGAAAACAAGACGGTTTCCGTTCTTCCCAGGGGAAAACAGAATGCACGTGTCTCCATGCTGTCTCTCTCCCTCCCGTGAAGGGCCACACAGAGCCCCACTCCGTGCGACAAGAAACGCACGGCTTCTGCTCTGGGAAACCCACTGAGACTTGGGTCCAGAGCTTTTCCTGGGGGCTGCTTGCGCGGGCACCGTGCCCACCGAAGCTCCAGACTCCTGGAAGGAAAGCAGGTGTTCAGTGTGAGCTGTGTGGTGTGCACAAGCTAGGCCTGCCTTTATCAGTCAGGGGATGTTTCCATCCAGTGTAGGGGACATTTCAGAAGCTGAGTTCCAGACACTAGCCAGTGACCCACCTTGCAAGCTGGCCCTTCTGTAAACAGCAGTCCCAGGCCTGCCCGGTGAGTCCGAGGCCCACAGCATGTGAATGTGGAACCCGCTGCAAAGCTCCCGGGACAGGGAGGCGGGAACAGGGATTGGCCAGCATGGAAAAAGGAATCTGATTAACCACTGTGGAAAATGCACACTGCATAAAACCAAAAAAACAAAGTGGTACCATGCCTTTACTAAGCCAGGGCCGCCTGGCAGAGAAGAAGGTTTGCACCACGGCTTCTGTTTAACAACTGTCTGGAAGACGCACCCTCCTAATGAATCCAGTTCATTTAATCACAGTTTCCTCACCCACCAGGGGTCGCCTGGCATGGCCCATGCCCATATCCCCTGGCATTGCCCTGGCACTCCCCTCACAGTGCATGTCGCTTATGACGGCGGTGGACACCAGTGCCTCCAGAGAGCTGCCCCACAGCACCCCGATCCCACCAGGACACTCCTCCCTGCAGACAGCGCAGGCCCCTCTTCCAGGCCTCTGCTTAGGGTCTCCTCTTGTTTTATTCTTTCTTCCCCCACTCTCTGAATGTGTTTACTTATTTTTGTACATTTTTTCCAACTTTGAGGTATAGTGGATAATTAGAAATCATACATATTTAAGGTATACAACTTGATCCGATGTAACATAAATCAATTGTGAAATAATCACCACAGCCAAGCTAATTAACATACCACCTCCTATCCACATCCTCACGTGGTTACCTTTTCTTTTCATGGTGAAAACCCTTAAGATCTGCCTCCTTTGTAAACTTCAAGTCTATAATCCAGCATTTTGTTTTTTGTGTTTTGTTTTTTGCATTGGAGTCTCGCTCTGTCGCCCAGGCTGGAGTGCAATGGTGTGATCTCGGCTCAGTACAAGCCCCGCCTCCCAGGTTCAAGCGATTCTCCTGCCTCAGCCTCCCAGGTAGCTGGGATTACAGGTGTGCACCGCCGCGCCTGGCTAATTTTTGTATTTTTAGTAGAGATGGGGTTTCACCATGTTGTTCAGGCTGGTCTTAAACTCCTGAACTCAGGTGATCTACCTGCCTCGGTCTCCCAAAGTGCTGGGATTACAGGTGTGAGCCACCGCCTTGGCCTACAACCCAGCATTTCAGCTGCATTCACGTTTATGTGTAGGAGATCCCCAAAGAGTATTCATCTTGTGCCCTTCGATCAACAGCCCCCGGCCCGGCCCCTGGAAACCACTGTTCTGTTCTCTGCTTCTGCGAGTTGGCCTTGTTGAGGTTTCCCACGTGAGTGGGGGCCGTCCGTGCCATGTTTGTATCTCTGTGCCTGGGTTACTCCACGTAGCAGAGAGTCCTCCAGGTGCATCGTGTTGTCACAAAGGGCCAGGTGTCCTCCTTTCCTGAGGCCGGATAACATCCCATTGTGTTCAAATCTGTATTTTTTACCTGTTCATCTGCCGCAGATCTTCCCACACTGACCTGAGAGAGAGGATGGTGGAAGGTGCAGGGCTGGCCGCAAGACAGAGAAGGGGTCCCGGGTGGATGTGCTGTCACTCACCTGCACTTTCACCCAGGGCTCCTCCAGCCTGTGGCTGGGGCAGGCCACAAAGGGACTCGCGCCCTGTATGGGGAGGCACCTCTGACACAGAGTGAGGCGCTGCAGTCAGTATGTGAGGGCAGGCGTTGCTCATGGGCCACACTGTCCCCGGCAACCTCCTAGGAAGGAGTGTGTTGGGGAGAGGCGTGGCCTCTCCTATCCCTGGCGCAGCCAGTTTTCCTTCCAGTATGGGAGCTGGGTTTTTTGAGTCAACATTTTTTTGACCTATATTTTTCTAGAACATACGTATTTTGAAGCATTACCATCATGAGAGAGCGCGGTGTTTGCATCTCGAGGGGCCCGTGGGAACCAGCCCCATTTGAAGGCACTGCACGTTTTGTTTCTAATCTCACCTTGTCTTCTCAGGCACAATGGCAGGTAAAAGCTGCCACGGGGATTACGTTATTTTTCCCTAGAGAGTTGGGTTTGGATAAATTGTGAATACAAGGTGACTACTGTATTCATATCACCTTCATCAGCTGTGCCGTCCCCTGCTGTTCACTGTGGCGCGGTGTCAGGCAGGAAGGGCCAAGTTCTGCTGCAGTCACACGCGGCCCCCCAGGTCTCGGAACGCTGGAGGACAGTGTTTCCTCTCTGGAAAGTTCCCTGGCCACTGTGTGGGGAGGAAAAGTGGCTTTTGCCCACAAGTGGAGCCTGCCACTCCCCTCAAGGTTCACTGGCCCAGGTGACTCTCGTGGCTGGGAGCAGAGAAGAGGCAGCAATGCCAGTTGGAAGGGGAGTAGCCTGCAGCAGGCTCTGCTGTCGGCTGGGTTTCCGAGGCTTCTGGAAGCTGAATCGTTCGATATTCACTTTGCACCTGCTACACGCCGAGCCATGTTATAGTGAATACAACAAGGTCCTGCCCTCCAGGATCAGATGTTCTCACAGGGGACCCCAGGGCAGGGCTGCCCCAGCTCCAATTCCCTGCCATGGTGGCGCTGTCCTGCTGTTCACTCCAGCCTGGAGTTGTGGGGCCTGCTAGGGGCGGCTCCTAGGGCAGCCGTTGTGGAACATTCCTCATGGTTTTTTAAATCATTTTATACTTACTGATTTGGACTCAGCAATTCATATTCATCAGTGAGGTGACTGTCATGATGTGACAGCTACAGAGGGACCGAGGACCCCAGGGAGGGGGTGTCATCATTCCCAGCAGCGGAGAGCTTGGGAAGGAAGCAGCCGCGTCATGTTTCACACCCGGATCCTGGTTAAAGTGCTGCGCTGTCGTCTGACACCCAGGCCAGCGTTAGTCACGTTGCTCAATGCTCCCTTCCAGGCAACCAGGACAGGGCTCAGCAGCCCCTGAGACCCCAGGAGGATAGGACGGGATAAGAACTATTTCAGCCCTTGCAAATCTCTCGTCAAGAGTATTTTTTTAGCCACAAACCCACCCCTTTGGCCAGTTAGGACTCAGGGTCATAAGTGACAGCAAAGCCAACCTAAACTGGTGTGAGCAAAAAGGAGTCTGTCTGTCACCTGAGTAGATGAAGAGCCAGGACGTGGCTTCAGGGACATCTTGAACCAGGGGCTCCAAGCCCATCGCCGGGATCCACTTTCTCTCGGTCTCGCTGTGAGCAGGCGCCGTCCTCACGTGAGCGTTCCTCTCGCAGGTGCAGGAGGTTTGCGGCCTCCCTGAGCTTCACAGCTGCTCAATTTTAAGCCAAGGAAAGGAGCAGCCTGTTTGCCATCAACTCTCCTTTAGTTCCCTCTGCCTGGGACCATCCTCGTCCTGAGCCCCCAAACAGCGTTACCGCCAGGGTGGCTCTGCCAGCTGGACGGGCCCAGAGCTGAGGGTGGGGTCGCGCCGCCAGCCTACATAGATGGCGAGCAGGAGACGGGTGGACCCCAAAATGAAAATCAGTGGCTGTTGTCAAAGAGGGGAAAGGCACCCCGGGTAGGCGCATGACCAACGTGCTTTGACGATGTTATTCGCATATTTGTTTCAACTTGTTTTAATGTTCGTGGCCAGGTCAGGAGAGCGCTATTGGAGGCAGCTCTGCGATCGGTGAATATATCCGGCCCCTTCCGCAGCCTGGTGACAGGCCGGAGCCTCTGTCCGCCAAGCCCACCTTCCTGTCGAGATCCGGTAGCGCAAGATGCAGATCTGAGTCAGACGTGAGTCCCGTCCCGCAGGGGCTGCCGGGGCTGCCTGTGCTGTGTGTGTCTGGTGTGGACGTTGGCCAGTTTGTCCTGTTTTTTCTTCCCCATCTTCCTCCCTGTCTTCCTTCTGGTTGGTTCTTCCCTTTGCCCCTGTTAATTCCCTTGCCCTACTATGTGCTGGAATGTGGGGGGGCCCCTCTGTGAACACAGGTGAGGTCCCTGTTCTAAGGGGGAGCAGAGAGAACACTGGCGAGGCAGCGTTTAGAAAAGCAAATCCCATCGAGGGGTGCAAGGATGACGCAGCAAGGCTGTTGACGCAGAGCTGGCCGGGAGGGGCCTGTGGAGGTTGGGGAGGGCCCTGCGCGTCCTGTCCTGTGGCATTGATGGGAAGGGGCTGGTGTGGCTGGAGAGGGGGCGGGGGCAGAGGACAGCGTTTGGCTTTTTGTCTGAGTCCGAGGTGAAGCCACTGAAAGCTGTTAAGGCAGGGGGTGATGTGGTCTAATTCCTGCTTAAAGACTGTTCCAGCTTGTGTGGGGAATGCACTAGGGGGAGTGAGAGTGGGATCACTGGGGGGTCGTGCACATACTGCTTAATTTTACCCCCACCCCTATGAGAAAAGGCCACGCCGCTGACTCCCGGGATTGCTGTAGGAGACACTGGGCGGAGTCTTTGAGCCTTACCTTCCTGTTTGGGGACTGGGTTCTCTACAAACACAGAGGGGGCCTATGTAATAAGGGGTCCACACCGAGGGACCACCCTCCTTTCCAAGCTCGCATGTGGGTGTGCGGGTGGCAGTGCCTCCTGGGAGTGCCACAGTCTCAGGCCGTCCCTCCTGGGGCCCAGGAAGCTGCGAGGGGCTTTCCCGTGTGCCGCGGGAATGGGGTGGGACACCTCCAGCTTCAATAACCCACACACCCATTGCCTTTTTCACAGATGGAGAATGAACGGAATTCCAATACCTCCAAGCAGAGATACTCGGGGAAGGTCCACCTCTGTGTTGCCCGCTATAGGTAAGTGCGGCCCCTCGGCGTCCACCGAGCCCCTGTGAGTGGGGCAGATGAGATGTTGGGTCTGGGAACACTCTGGGGTCTGAGAAGTTCCCTTCTCCCAGGGCACGAGGAGAAGGTGGGATTTCAGCCTGGCCTGGAGGCTGAGCAGGGTTCGGTGGAGAGAGTTTGGGTGGCACGCAAGTCTCCCAGGGCTGCCATGACAGGAGGTCACAAACCTGGTGGCCTGAAACTACAGGTTTCTCCTCTCCCAACCCTGGAGGCAGAAGTTTGAGATGGGGGTATCGGCAGGGTCTCGCCCTCCGAGGGCTCCAAGGAGGGGTCCTTCTTTCCTCTTCTGGCTGCCGGGAGACCAGGCGGCCCTGGCTTGTAGCTGCGTGGCTCCAGTCTCTGCCTCCATCCTCCATCCTGCCTGGCCGCCTCGCCCTCCCTGTCTTTGTGCGTTCTCCCCTCTTCCTTTAAGGATACCCTTCCCTGGATTGGAATCTGCCCCGCTGCAGTATGACTAACTCCATCACATTTGCAAAGACTGTTTCCAAATAAGGTCCCATTCACAGGTGCAGGGGTTGGTCCATGAGTGCGTCTTTCCAGGGGACATCCCGCCACCGAGAGTGAAAGGGGACATGTCCAGAGCCCCGATCCCCACCACCGAGAGTGAAAGGGGGTGTGTCCAGCACCCTGATCTCCCGCATCCTCACCCTCTGCTGGGCGCTGCAGGCTGCATCTCGCTGCGATGACAGCCGCTGAGTGGGCTTCCCGTGCAGGGGCCTTCAGTGTTTGTGCTCGCTGAGAGGTAATGAGCCAGTTTTGTCCCGCACACCTCTCAGGTCCTCCACGGGAGCTTCCGCAGAGGCGGACGTGGGCAAGGATGAGAGGTCCCCCAGGACTGCACTACCTGATCGTAAGGAAAGCAAGCTGCAGCCAACTCTGCCCATGGGCGGACACTTGGGAATTCATCAGCCAGGGGCAGCAGGCCCAAGACAGAGCAGTTCACCCCCATTTCTTAGCACTCGTGAAGACCCAGCCTTTTGTCTCACAGATGCTCCAACAGCTCTGAGCGTGGGCTTGGCCTGAGGCTGACCTGACAGTATTTCAAAGGCAGATATCCCTGCCCTTCAGCTGGCATCGGGCAGCCAGAGTCCCGTGATCTGTTTAGGGACCAAGCTTCAGTGCAGTTGCCACCCTCACTAGATCCTTAAACTCTGTTCATGCAAAGGAGGTGACTCTTGATTTAAGCCAGTCCATACACCTTGAATACCTTTTGCTTTCTCCAGCAAGAGCTGTTTCTAACACCATTAAGAGGATCAGCGGATCACATTCCGCTCGTTGGTAATACACCAGTTCCACCAAAGCAAACCCATTTCTGAGGTTCAGGTAGCAGAAGCACTGGGGTAGATGCCCCTGGGCTGTGGGCTCCCATTAGAATCCAGCCCAGGCAGATGTGAATGCTGGCTGCACCCAGGTGGGGGCAGGCCCACCATCCGCTCATCTGTCACCATGCTGGAGGACAGCATCACAGCGCTGAGAGGCTATTGCATGCAGACGCACAGGGCCACAGTTGGCGGGGCCAGGATGAAGACCCAGTCCTACCCCTGGCTCCTTCAGTCCGGTTCTTGCTGTGTGTGGAGCAGGCCCAGGCGCAGCCATTCACAGAACCCTCAATGCCAGCACAGGGGCAGCGCTGGGCTGGTGTCCTCTGAGCCTGGCACATGCTGAGGTGGCTTCCCAGCCAAGCAGGGGCCTGGTGTGCCACAGACGCCTTCCTTCCCAATCATGAGCCTGGTCCAGCGAGGCTGCCACATGCGACCTACGATGGCCAACCTCAGAGGGCCACTGGGTTTGCGTTCCTGCCACTTCTATGGAGAGGGCATGGCTTTTCTGGGGGGAGCTGCCCTAGAGCTAATGTCCCCCGAGGACTGACCCACGGCTGGTGTGGCTCCAGAAGCGGGGGCGTGACGAGCCAGCACATCTGCCTCTCCCGTGGCCATCACCAGTCACAGCCCACGCACATTCTCCTTATCTCACTCTTTCAGTGGTATTCCTATTTTACTGGTGATGGATTTATGCCTTTTTTTTTTTTTTAACCACCCACCCTCTCTCAAACCAAGTCAAATTGTGAGGGGCATATAGTGCTGGTCCCCGAGAGAGCTGTTTCTGAGTTTTCTGAAAGCCCTCAGAGCCCCTAAGAGGTGGCTTTGCAGGTAGATGTAGGGAGGGGGTTATGTTTTCTGCCCCGGGTCTAATCAGTGTCTCCTCTTGCTGTCATTATTCAGCAACCTGCTTAGACATTTCTGCAAACCGAAAGCCTCTTGCTCACCTGGGCGCTCACTCTGGGTGCCGAGCGGCCTCTCCCCGCCCTCCATGCAGGGGCTGCCTCTGTGTCCATGTCTCCTCCCTTCCATCTGGTGCAGCCTCCGCCGTGGGGAACGCCTTGCTGAGGGCTCCTGGGTCCTTCCCACCCGAGGTCCAGGGTGAGGCTGACACATTCATCACCATCCTTCCTTTCGCCAGCTGTACGGAGAGATGGTCCTCACTGCACAGTTCACCCACTTGCAGTGTGCCGCCCAGGGCCACTGCTGTGCTCACAGATGCCACGGCCACATGTGGGGGTCTCCCATCGCCCCTCAAGAACCCATTCCCATCAGTGATCACCTGTCCCTCGTCTCCCATCGCCCCTCAAGAACCCATTCCCATCAGTGATCACCTGTCCCTCCTCCCCCGCCTCCAGCGCTGCGTGACCCCTGACCTACTTCTGTCTCTGTTGAGTCCCCATTCCCGACGTGTCCCCTGGTCTCATCCACACAGTACGTGGCAGCGTCTGCCCTGAACACCCACGAGGTCGGGTGGCCTCCAGGGCCCACACGCAGGAGCACCGACGAGGTTGTCACGACAGCCGTAGGATCTCCCACTTCTTCTCCGTGCCCTTACCAGCCAGGGACCTTCTTCCACCCTTCTCGGTGTTCACCTTCCCTCTTGGCCTCCGCGGCTTCCCTCTCAAGCTCTCAGGGTGTGTCTTCCCTACCTGCTCCCTGGGGAAGCTTCTCTTCCTGAGCGTCAGGTGTGGGCACTCCTGAAGGCGTGGCCTGGGGGCTCCTGTTCCTCTCGCTCCCTCCTCCTCCTCCTCCTCCTCCGAGAACACTCTGCCAGCTTCTGTGTCTCGGCCATCTACCCATCCAGACCCCCCTGCAGATCCCCCTGAAAACCCCCACTCAGTGACTTGTGTCCCCGCCTGCTCACCCTGAGGCCAGAAAGCCGAGGGTCCTCCTGCACCTCAGTCCCTCATCCCTGCAGCCAGGCAACCCGCATTTCCACAGCCTCCTAAGTCACTCCCCGACCAAACTCCTTTGCTGGAACTCCTCCACCAAGCTCCATCCACACAGCACCCACGAGGTCTCTTTGTAAAACGCAAACATGATCCTGTCGCTCCCTGGCTTAAAACTCTTTCATGACATCCCACAGCTTGTGAGATCAGGTTAAAACCAGTCTGGTCCCTGCCAACCTCATCTCTCTCCTCCCTGCCTCTGGGCCTTGGCGCATGCTATTCCTTCTTCCAGAGCTCTTGTCCCGTTCCACTGCCGAGCTTTGTGTTAGAGGGTGGCCCATGTCAGTTCCTGGTGCACAGCCCTCTAGGCTGACCTGCTGGGTGCTGTCAGGGTCTTGGATTGGGTTCCTGGACCTCTGCACCCTGACCATGAGGGGCCACGTGACCTGGTGTGGTTAAAACTGCGCAGGACGGGTCAGGAGGTCTCAGCTCTGGTTCCCCTTCCACCGATTCATAAGCTTGTGACTTTGGGCATGTTGCCTGACCTCACTCAGCCATTGAGACTGGGGACCTTATCTTCTCTGTTTTCCTAACATTTAATGGCCATCGAATAAAACGTGTATGAAAGTGTTGGTAAACTGCACAGTGCCACTGATGCATGAATCATTTTCATATCATAATTATAATATTACAGTGTCTGGCTATCTTCTCCAACTCTAATGTTATTTTCATTTTTTAATGAGTTCTTCGCTGTTATTTTAAGTTAATTTGCCTTTTATTTAGAGAATCCCCAATTCATCTGGGTTTGTTTCATGTGTTTGATTTTCCAAGTTGGACACGGCTTTGAAAATTATTAATCCCAATATGTTGAGGACTGGAGAATATGGATACTCTTATATTCCTGGGGGTGTGGGGGGGGGGAGCATAAAATCATGCGTCTGTTTTTCTGAGCATTTTGACTGTCCACACCCAAGACCTTAAAAATGTAGGTGCCTTTGACCAAATAAGTATATTTCCTAGGATTTATCATTAGGAAGAAATTGTGGAAGTGTGCAAAAATATGTTTATAAGAATATATAATGCAATACTAATTATATTAGCCAAAAGTTAGAAGAAACCTCACTGCCCAACATTAGGAAACTGGTTAAATAAAGTATGTTAATATGTTCAGTGGAATACTCTACACCCATTAAAAAGACTATGATGATAATATTTCAAGAGGTAGAAGTATAGGATGCTATCTTGCAAGGTGGAAGAATAAGCAGGTTGCTAAATAGTATATATGATTCTGTTTTCACTAAATTGTATTATTGAAAGATTATAGGGTTAATTTTCTTCACATCTGCTTGCTAATTTGGAGATGTATAGTTACAGCAGAAGAGATAAGTGTGAATAGAATGTCAGAATCATAAACCTGTTATCTGATGCAAATAGTTCTGAGCATATAACTTCATTTCCGAATTGCATTTTTACTTTAAATCTGTGTGTGTGAGCTGGCAGTGGCTTGAATTTCCAGTGTACAGAGAACTCATCAGCCCCGAACGATTATGTGGGTTTGTAATTCCCTAGGAGTGGGAGAGAAGCCATGTGCCCGTCTGGCGTTCTGCACGGACAGGGGTGCGGGCTGTGTCCTCCAGAGCCTCTAATGAAGGAACTGTGTTTTCTCTGCAGTTACAACCCCTTCGATGGACCGAACGAGAACCCCGAAGCTGAGCTGCCCCTCACGGCGGGAAAATACCTCTACGTCTATGGAGACATGGATGAGGATGGGTTCTATGAAGGTCTCTGTTGGAACATGGCTGTGGCGGACGTAGGCTGGGCCAGTCCACCCCGCAGACCACCTCTTCCAGGGGCCTGATAGATAGGCAGGGCTCCCAACATACTCCTGGCCACCCAGCCCTCCTCTCTGACCCTTCCCCACTCCGTAGTTACCAGGTTTGCCCTCTTTGACGACTGGAAAGAAACCTGAGTGGGGTTTCCAGTATTCAGCTCTAAGCTGACCTCTGACACATGGTAGATGTTTTCCGCTAACCTCTGCAGAGCTTTTGGCAGCTATTTGCAGACACATGGGACTGACAGACCCTCTGCTTCCAAAAGTGTCTCTCCTGCTCTTGTCTTTCAGCACCCTCAGGGTCTCCCAGAGGCACCCTCTCTGGCAGAGCCTTGTTCTGCTCCAGGTGACCTCACGGGAAGGTGGCTCTTGGCACCTGTGGAAGGCCATCCATCTCCTTGACTTCAAGGCACTGTTGTCAACTTAGGGGGTGGCCCCAGGTTGCCCCTGCTCATTCCCTCGAGGTCTCCTCTCCAAATTTGAAATCATCTGAAAGGCCCCACCTTTTGTTGCCTTTTTAGCTTGAGAATAAACATGTAACAGCACCAGCAGCCCATAAATCAACGTTCTAAAGGATTTGATTCCCTAATTCCCTACATGTTTCAACTGCCCTGGACAAATAGCGTGGTCTTGGTTTCTTCCTCTTCCCCCTGAGCAGAAGGAATCTTGCTTGCTAAGCTAGCAGGTTTCTCTTTCGTGACCTCATGCTGTTTTCTCGGAGCTGATGGAAGCCCCAGGTGCTTTTCCTGGGTGTTTACTTGGGGTGAGGTCGGGTCACTTCTAGAGGTGTCCATGAGCAGGAGCCCAGCAGTCGAGCTGCCTCACTCACCACTCGCTCACCACTCTCTCACCAGCTGTTCTTGGCTCTGGATGGTCCAGCCAAGAACTCTCACCACAGTTGGTAGCAAAGCAGTTTGAATTCTTCCCATAAGTCCACATTATCACCACTGATTTTCACATAAGCACAGAAATATGTGCCCAAGGCAGCTGCCAGAAAACCTGTGTTGAAATCTCTGGAACTTTCTCACCACACATGGAGCCCACAGAAGCATTCCAGGAGCCTCTTTGCAGGCAGGGATCAAAACTCAGGGCTCCATTGTCTGTGTGACAGCAGGAAACTTCCTTCACCTCGCTGTGCCTCAGCTTCCTCTGCTATAGAATGGAGATAGTAATAGTACCCACCTCATAGAGGGTCTGAGGAGAAATGAGATAATAGATACGACGGTCTTCGGATAGAGCTTAGCACATAGTAATTGTTCAATAAATAGTAGCTATCACCATCACCACCAGCATTATAATCATCTTCATAACCATCACCACCATCATCATCATCACCGTCACCATCATCACCATCACCTCCATCTCCTCCTATGCCAAACTAAGGATTTTTAAATAGCATATCCTCAGTGCAAAGGATTGGCTCCTGCAGACCCACACCCTAGGTGGAGGTTTGGAACGGAATCCAAGTCCTTCTTATTTATTTTATTAGCATCCAGGACTAACTAAATGGTTGACATGTCTTCCCCTGGGCCACAACACATCACATGCTCCCCTGAGGCAGGGGGTCTTCTGGGCGCAGAATCCAATGCTCAGCATTTCCCAGCCCCTCTCTGTGGGTCTGTGGGTACCTTGTGATGAATTGGTGGAAACGGTCCATTCTGGGTCTGTGCTGGAAGATTACCCAAACTGCCTCATCTTTGAAGCTCTGAACACTTCTCCGTTTTCTGGCCGTCTGCTGTTAGCAGCCTTGTGAGCCCTACTAATGAAGAAAGCACGTAGAAGTTAGACTTTCACAAAATACAGCGGTCCCCACTATGTCCACTCTTAACCACAAGAGCTACTTTGACTTTTTTTTTTTTTTTTGCCACACAACTTGTGGTTCTGACACCAAATTGATAGTTTTGTTTCACATCAAATTGGACACATTGTGCATTCATTAAGATGTGCCCAGTGCTTTTCAAGGGGGCCAGGAAATCACCTTTTAATTCTTAATCAAAAATCATAGTAAGATGTTTATTTTCTTAATCTCCAAAAGCCACTGATTTGACTGACTCGTCCTTCTAACAAATCTTTCCTGTGCACTGTTGTGGGCCAGCTGTCACTCTAGGGCTGGGCATTCAATAGTCGTGTGGTCCCTGCTGTCCCTGAGTGTTGTTCGTGTTGGGAGGGGGTAGTCAGTGTACGTACACGGATACACAAACATGATGGTTTCAGGTTGCGATAAGTATCATGGAGAAAAGAAGACTGGGCCACGGGGATGGAGGAGCTGGCTCTTTAGATGGTGGGTGTGGAGCTGGCCCCAGCATGGACTCCTGGGAACAGCGGAGGAGCCCCAGGGCAACCCTGTTGCTCTGCCTTATGGTCCTGGTGGGGGAGGTGGGAGTACACTGGGGGCCTCGAGGCCCCTGCTGTGTTGGCTGGGTGATAACTCTGTCCTTGTACCCAACAGGAGAGCTCCTCGATGGCCAGAGGGGTCTGGTGCCCTCCAACTTCGTGGACTTTGTGCAGGACAACGAGTCGCGGTTGGCAAGCACGCTGGGGAACGAGCAGGATCAGAACTTCATCAACCATTCCGGCATCGGCCTGGAGGGAGAGCACATCCTGGACCTCCACTCCCCAACCCACATAGATGCGGGCATCACCGACAACAGTGCCGGGACCCTGGACGTGAACATCGACGACATCGGAGAAGACATCGTGCCTTACCCTAGAAAAATCACCCTCATCAAACAACTCGCCAAAAGTGTTATTGTGGGCTGGGAGCCCCCGGCGGTGCCACCAGGATGGGGAACGGTGAGCAGCTACAACGTCCTGGTGGACAAGGAGACACGCATGAACCTCACGCTGGGGAGCAGAACTAAAGCCCTCATCGAGAAGCTCAACATGGCAGCCTGCACCTACCGCATCTCCGTGCAGTGCGTCACCAGCAGGGGCAGCTCGGATGAGCTGCAGTGCACGCTGCTGGTGGGCAAGGACGTGGTGGTGGCCCCCTCCCACCTGCGGGTGGACAACATCACGCAGATCTCCGCCCAGCTCTCCTGGCTACCCACCAACAGCAACTACAGCCACGTCATCTTCCTCAACGAGGAGGAGTTCGACATCGTCAAGGCCGCCAGGTACAAGTACCAGTTCTTCAATCTCAGGCCCAACATGGCCTATAAGGTGAAGGTTCTGGCCAAACCCCACCAGATGCCGTGGCAGCTCCCGCTGGAGCAAAGGGAGAAGAAGGAGGCCTTTGTGGAGTTCTCCACGTTGCCTGCAGGTGAGCCCTGTGTCCTTCCGTGGGTCCCCCAGGGAGAGAACGCCAGGATGTCACCCTGCTAGTGGGGAGGGAAGGTGGGGCAGGCAGAAGCAGGAATCCCCATCCTGACAACATGACCCTGGAAAATCCCTTAGGTCACCGGCGAAGCACAGAACGTGTGTGCGTGTGCACAAGAGTCCTTGGAACATGTTAGGGACCATGTTGGCAATTTTTCTTTGAGCATTTATATCAACAAGAGGCTCATCCTACAAAAGACAGGAGGGAAGTGAGTCCCCCCAGGGGACACGGTTACATCTTCCGTGTCACATGCACCCCTGGACACATACTCACTGAGTTGGATACTGCCTGGAAGTGCTTACGTGCCTTTCAGAATCATTCCTTCTTTCTCGTCCTTGTAAATTATTATTATTATTATTATTATTATTATTATTATTATTATTATTATTTGAGATGGAGTCTCGCTCTGTCACCCAGTTTGGAGTGCAGTGGTGCAATCTCAGCTCACTGCAACCTCTGCCTCCCAATTTCAAGCGATTCTCCTGCCTCAGCCTCCTGAGTAGCTGGGATTATAGGCACCTGCCGCCACGCTCGGCTAATTTTTGTATTTTTAGTAGAGACAGGGTTTCACCATGTTGGTCAGGCTCGTCTCAAACTCTTGACCTCGTGATCTGCCTGCCTCAGCCTCTCAAAGTGTCGGAATTACAGGCACAAGCCTCTAAGCATGCATACGTGGCTTGTATAAAAGAGATGCAGTTTCATCACAGAAGCTATTTTCGCCGCGATGTGAACTCCAGTGTTCTTTTCTGCTATCTCCGCTCAAACAGGGAGTGTGATGTGCCCCCTTCCTTTCCTGGGGAGATGGTAGGGAGGTGGGGTGAGTGTGGACACTTTCTTCGTCTTCTTGCTCTCCGACTCGCCAGGGTCCCAGTGCTGCTGAGTTACTGGGCAGCCAGCACCCCCACCTCCGGAAGCCTCCACTGCCCGCTCTGATATTCATGAAACCTTTGGTCAGCTAGAGCCTGACAGAGCAGTGGTGTCAGGGGTAGGTGGGACAGACGCTGCCTGAGGGGGACAGCACGTCCAGGTAGCAGCTAACGTAGGCAGGGTCAGTTCATCTGTTACACGACGACATTTTATTTCCTCCCCAACTGCCCGGAGTTGATCAAGAATGCTGGGATAATGAGGCCACCCACTTTTCACTGACGCCTCCCGCGATGCCTTCTGATGAGTGCGGGGGTGAAGAACGAGAAACACCAGACACGGGCACTCCGTGGGGAGTCAGGAGGTGAAGGGCACCTCTCTCGGGGCCTTCAGGAGAGGCTCCCCTGGACACTAACTTTGAGATGGAGAGATTCAGGTAGAGGAGGGGCCCTTAGCACAGAGGTGGGTCCCCAGGCTCACCCCAGTGACTGGGAATGAGGTCTCAGAGTGGGAAGTAAACTGGAGGGACGTGTCTGTGTTGGAGGAAGAAGGTGTAGTTGGGACAATCACATGTAGGTCAGCATTTCTCAGAATTCATGCTTCAACCACACCCCATGTATCATCCCCCCATGGTCTTGGGTATGGCCAGGGTTAGCCATGCCCGGGGATGGTGGTGCAGGTACGGCCAGGGTTAGCCATGCCCGGGGACGGTGGTGCAGGTACGGCCAGGGTTAGCCATGCCCGGGGACGGTGGTGCAGGTACGGCCAGGGTTAGCCATGCCCGGGGACGGTGGTGCAGGTACGGCCAGGGTTAGCCATGCCCGGGGACGGTGGTGCAGGTACGGCCAGGGTTAGCCATGCCCGGGGATGGTGGTGCAAGGTTGGTGTTCTTCAGAGTAACACAGCTGGTGGGAGATACGGATGTGCTTATACTCACACACACCCCACACACACACATCCCTACAGACCCACATACATGAATACATGTACACACACCCACAGACACCCCCACAGACTCACATAGACAGATACACATACACATACCCACATACACACACCCACAGACACCCCCACAGACTCACAGATACACATACACACACACACAGACACCCCCACAGACTCACATAGACAGATACACATACACATACCCACATACACACACACACAGACACCCCCACAGACCCACATACACACACCCACAAACACCCCCACCGACACCCCCACAGACCCACGTACACAAAAACACATACACCCCCCACACAAAAAAACACATCCCCCCCACACACACCCACAGACACCCCCACACACCCACATACACAAAAACACACCCCCACACACATACCCCCACAGACCCACATACACCCATGGACACCCCCACCGACACCCCTACAGACCCACACACACCCACACATACCCACCCACAGACACGCACACACACATACACACACATACACAAATACATACACACCCACACACCCACACCCACACACCCACATACACATATACCCATATACACATATATACATACACATGCATCCACATACACACACCCACATACACACATACGCATGCCCACACATCTACACACATACATACACTTACACACATCTATACACACCCACACACACACCCACATATACACACACAATGTACATACACACATACACATGTACATATACATACATACATATACATCTACACACAAACACATCCACATATACACATATATGCACACATTACACACATACACCCATACATACACATTTACACACACATACACACATATACACACACACGCAGAAATGGATTCTCAGGTTCAACGATGTCATCAGACCTGGTCTCTTCATCTTTCAGTTTTGCTCAGTTTCATGGGGTGGTAAGATGGGGAATATGCGGTCCGGGCAGAGGGTAGAGGGAGAGAAAAGAGAGAAGAAAAGGTGAGAGGATGAGGGGCGGGCGGGGGGATGAGGGGATTGCCTTCTGCCAAGATCTCTCTTCCATTCGATCTGCCAAACGCCGGCGTCTCGTTGGCCCCTCTCTGAGCTAATCGTGTGGCTGCCTGGCCAGGCCTGAGACCCCTGGACAGAGGTAGCTCTGCCGGGTCACAGAGACTGAGGACAGGTAAGGAGGTGGTTCCACAGACAGTTTAGGTTTGCATTTCCCAGAAGATGGTGACTAAATGCCGAATTTAAAGGAAAAGGGCAGCTGTGCATCCTGGTACCTGACTGTACCCCGGCCCCACCCTCCCACCTCACCACAGTTTCTGATGTGCTTTCAACACTGTCTTCTCTTTTTCCCTGGCGACTTTACCGAATGATCTCGTTTCCAGGTGAGATGGGCAGAGCCCAGTCACGGCTCACCTGCCAGGGCTGGTCCCTGAACGCCTCCGTTCCCTTCTGTCCCCTCCCAGGACCCCCAGCACCCCCACAAGATGTTACCGTCCAGGCTGGGGTGACCCCCGCCACCATCCGGGTCTCCTGGAGACCACCTGTGCTGACGCCCACCGGGCTGTCCAATGGCGCAAACGTTACCGGCTACGGCGTGTATGCCAAAGGGCAGAGGGTGAGTTTTCGTTGGGTGGGTGGGGAGGGTTTGTTAGGCCCTAACGCAGCAGGGACCGGCCCGGTATTTGCTCAGTGGAGGAGGCAGGGTCTGCTCTTCCAGCCCTGATCACTGGAGGCACCCTCAACCCCGAAGACTCCATCAGCGTGAACCCCAGGACCCCTTCCTCACTTCCAGCACTCCCCCCATCTCGCTCCCCTCACTCATCCCCTGCCCTGCTCTGCTCTGGATTAAAAATGCAGGGGCCAGAGAGGGGACCCCTAGTGTCAGAACATTCTTGATTGATGACTGCCTTATTAATTTCAACAAACTGAGTCTTAGCACGATGATACCCATGGCCGAAGGCGCGTCCCGCCTTAAGATACTGCTGGGTCTGCACGTGAACAGGTGACCAGGCCTTGACTCCAAGAAATGGGTATATCCCTGGTGCCTGGTGTGGGGAACCAAGGACACCAGCCCCCTATCCCTGCCTGGGGTGAAGTAGAAGCATCTGCCCTCAGGGAGGGCTTGGGAAAGCAGCTGCTCCTCACCGTCCCCAGCTCCGCCCTGCAGGAGCAGGGGTGACTTGGGAACAGAGGCAGTGCGTCTGCCTGAGCCGCTTCCTGCAGACTCCTGTGCTCTGAGGCGGGAAGTCCCCAGCATGGGCCCTGGCCCCTGCAGAGGAGGCCCTCAGCCCTGTTCTCTCCCAGCAGTCGGAAGCCCACGTTGGCCTCTGCCTGAGCCCCTCTCTTCCCTCCAGCTGTGGTGGTAATAAACCTGACACTCACTCCCCTCTCTGGCCCCTGCATCTACTCAGAATGGGTCCAGAGGATGGGAGATAAATGGTTGACGTCACTGGCCTGACGGAACCCTCTACCACTGATTGGGTCCTGGGGCCTGAGGTCTGTGAACCTGCCCCGCCCCCTCCCCGCAAGACTTCCTGGAGCTTCCATACCTGGCGGGTGGTTGGAGTCGGAGGTCGCTGGGCATGATCCTTTGCACCTGGCCTCTGGGCAGAGGACTGGTCGGCTCCCCATTGCAGGACCGCGGGGCTCACCTCGGGCAGCCCGCGAGCCAGCTCTGCTTGTCCACAGGTGGCTGAAGTCATCTTCCCCACGGCAGACAGCACGGCCGTGGAGCTTGTGCGGCTGCGGAGCCTGGAGGCCAAGGGCGTGACCGTGCGGACCCTCTCCGCCCAGGGCGAGTCCGTGGACTCTGCAGTTGCTGCCGTTCCCCCCGAGCTCCTGGTGCCTCCTACCCCCCACCCGAGACCTGCACCCCAATCAAAGCCATTAGCAAGTTCTGGAGTCCCCGAAACCAAAGACGAGCACCTGGGTCCCCACGCCAGGATGGATGAGGCCTGGGAGCAGAGCCGTGCACCTGGCCCTGTGCATGGGCACATGCTGGAGCCGCCCGTGGGCCCCGGAAGGCGGTCGCCCTCACCCAGCCGCATCCTGCCACAGCCACAGGGCACCCCGGTGTCCACCACCGTCGCCAAGGCCATGGCCCGGGAGGCCGCGCAGAGGGTGGCCGAGAGCAGCAGGGTAAGGCTGGGGCTCCCGCCTCGGTGGCTCCTCAGTCCCCAAACCCCACGGGACGGGGCCCTGTAATCTCCCCAGCCCATGGAGGGGGACCCGCATCCCAGCTTGCAGGGAGGGGGGCCGCGCTCAGCCCACCGCTTTGCTGGTGGACTCTGTCATGTGCCTGATCCTGACTGAGTTAAATGGTGTTTTTTATTTGCTAATATGTAGCCACATAACTAAGGAAATGCCAGGCACTTGCCTGGCTTAGAAAGCAGGCTCAGAAGAATCCAGACATGGCCTTGGTGTGCGACAAGGGGTCTGAGAGTTGCCCGGTGGAAGTTGGCCAGGACCCACTTTCCTGAACCAGGCTCTTCCTGGTTTTGCTGGCTGCAGAGTCCTAGGTTCTGTGTGTGTGTGCATGTAAATATATACACACACATGCACATATGTGTCTATACATATATGGACATGCACCCATAGATACACGTATCTGTATGCACCCTCATGTATATACATACATCTGTACCTATGTGTAGAAACGCATACGGACATATAGACCCCTGCATACATATTTGCATGCCTGCTAACTGAACTTTTCTGGGTCCAGGAGAGAGCATGTGGATTGTGGTAGGGCATGTTCCGGATGATACACACAACGGGACGTGCGTTTTTGAGAAATCACCTGCAGAGCAATGCCCCCCGTGCAGGGCTAGGGGAAGAGATGTGGGGCTGGGAGCCAGAACGTGTGCCCGCATCCCCACCCAGAACCCGCTCTCATCTCTCCTGTTGTGTTGAGCCCGTTTCCACCTGAGGTGGCAGCACAGCCCTGGTCAGGACCCTCGGCCCTGCTGGGTCAGCCTGTGGGGTCTCACCGGGACCCTACACTGTCCTCCTGTGAGTGTTCCTCTGGGCTGGGGGCCGGGCCAGGGAAACCGAGGCGGGGCACGCACTGTGAGAGGTCAATGCTGAGCAGCTCAGGTGTGTCTAGGAGGACAGAAAGGACGATGGTGACACTGGGCAGGGAGCTACCTTCCGCCCCCACCCCGTCCTCCTGAGTGGGGCTGCCCCGGCAGCACCTCAGCACCTCCTGAAAAACTGGAAATTTTCTGTGAAATTTGCTAATTCGTTCGACATTGGCCACTAATAAAAATACTAAACATGAATTTGTGGCCTTTCTATAAAGGAAGCCCTTCAGAATATGTGAATTCACCATGGCTCTGATTGGTTCACAGGCAGGAGCCCAAGCCCTGAGCTTGGGAGGTGGTGCTTCTGGGGAGGCCGTGGGCAGGACGGGGTAGCAGCTGCCCTGTGGGATGCGGCTCCACTTCTGCTCCAGGTCCCCAAGAAGGCTGTGAAGGCAGGGAAGCCTGGGGCGGGAGAGAAAGCAAATACTTCCAAGTCCTATGTTTCAGACAAATGTGAATTGATCAAATTATTAATAAAAGCTGGGCAGAGGAGACCAATGGAGGGAATGAGGAGTCATCTGTGTATCCAAATGTTACCTCAAAGGTTAAAAAGAGGCTGGACGCGGTGGCTCATGCCTGTAATCCCAGTAGTTTGGGAGGCCGAGGTGGGCAGATCACCTGAGCTCAGGAGTTTGAGACCAGCCTGACCAACAGTGAAACTCTGTCTCTACTAAAAATACAAAACTTAGCCAGGCATGGTGGTGCATGCTTGTAGTCTCAGCTACTCGGGAGGCTGTGGCAGGAGAATTGCTTGAACCTGGGAGACAGAGGTTTCAGTGAGCTATGATCATGCCACTGCACTCCAGCCTGGGCGACAGAGTGAGACTCTGTCTCAAAAAAAAAAAAAGATTCTGGTGGGTCTGGGGCAGCGAGAGGGCGGCAGAGCTGGGCCCAAAGCACTGTGTGGGGGGTGCCTGGCCAGGCTCTGAGGGGCTGAAGGTTTGGTGAATGCAGGTGGGGCTGAGCGTAGCTGAAGGTGGCCCTGCCTCACCCGTGTGCCTCCTTTTTCTTTCCAAGTTAGAGAAAAGGAGCGTCTTCCTAGAGAGAAGCAGCGCGGGGCAGTACGCCGCCTCAGACGAGGAGGACGCCTATGACTCTCCAGACTTCAAGAGGAGGGGCGCCTCGGTGGACGACTTCCTGAAAGGCTCTGAACTTGGCAAGCAGGTGAGAGCGGGCCGGGCCCCACACCATCCTCCTGGTGGGCGCGGGCTCGGAGCGGGCCCCGTGGAGATCAAGAGACATGGGCACTTTCCCCGCTACCCTTGGGTCCCTGAGAGAGATGGAGACGCCCAGCTGGGGTCCTAAGTCGTGCTAGGTTTCTGAAGTTTATATTTAATGCCTGTCACATACCCTCATTGGGGATAATTGAAAAAGTCGAAGTGCAGGGCTTCCACCCTCCCCCGCTGCACCATCCTGGTATTCGGTCATAGGGGTGGTTTTGCAGGTCCGGGTAGGGTTAGGCTCAGTTCAGGCAGAACCTGCCATTCGCTCATTCACCTCCGTTAACTGGGCAGATGTTTGTTGGCCATCTGTGTGCTAGGGAGGCATCATGGGAGCCAAAAATAACACAGTCAGTGTTCGTCCTTCAGAACAGCAAAACGGCAGAGCTGGGCTCATGAGGAAGACATTCAGCCAGTTTGGGGTTTCTGTCTAATTTCCGATCGTGCATATTCTAATGGAAATGCCCTCAGATGCTGTAAAGAACAAAACTTGGACAACAGGAGGGACTGGAAATAACCGAGGGCCTGGGGAATGCTAAATAGTGGGAGCTCGAAGACGCTGCAGTTATCAGATCACACAGTATCCTCTGAACCCACTCCCACAGCAAAACAGCCCCATACCCGGAGAGGGGGACTGGCATCTCTCAGGCCTGGGTTTATGTCCCGGCTGGTTACAGACCACAGGTGAACAAGTCCCCCGACTCCTCCGGCCATGACGTTCTTCATCTGGAAGATCCAAATCGTTCAGAAACGGAATGCCCAACTAATCACGGCTAAGACAACAAAGTCGTTTAATTACCCCACATCACAGGGAGTCTGCAGTAGAGGCTGCGAGGTGGATTTTTGGCTCTCAGTGTGTCAGGGGTCTGAGTTCTGTCTCGTCCATTCTCTTGGCCTTTCTCTCGTGGTTACAAAGTGGCTGCCATAGCTCCAATAATCACACCGTCCTATGAGAACACCCCAAGAAGGAAAAAAGGGATGGACGGAAGCCAGACTTCCTTCCAGTCAGACTTTCTATGACATCTCGCTGAGCAGACTGAGGTCACATGGCCACCACCCAGGCAGGAACTGGCTTCCAATGAATGGCTTATCAGTGATGTGTCATCCGAAAGCCCACCAGGAAGGCTCAGAGGTAGAAAGGAGAGCTTTATTGGTGACATCAGTTTGCAGACCAGGAAGAGAGAGGCTCTGGCATGTGCTGAGGGTGCTCTCTCTGAAGAGGGAAGGGCAGGGTGATTTTTATGCCTCACAGGGTCCACATTACACAGAACCATATGCATTCAGGTTGGGGAAAGGCTGTGCATCCATCCGAGAGGAGTCACACGCACATGCAGTGAGTAGACATATCTGTAGCATCCTCTGTGTGCACCGCACATGGGGCGGGTTTTAGTGTTAGAATGAGGTGGAATTGGCTCTTTCCACCAAAAGGTAAACCCCACGACTCAAAGCCTAAGCTAAAATGGGCTTAAGCCTCTTTAAGCTGAAACCGGCTTAATGTCTACAGTCGCTTATCAGAAAAGAGTGTGTGTAAGGCCGGTCCTCTGCCCAGTTGGAGTTGCGTGGTCTGGGTTGTAAATGAGAGTTAGGAGGAGTCCCATAGCGCCTGTTGTTCTGGAGTTTAGCAAGAGTGTGGGTTTTCTTGCAGCGTAGGAATTTACAGAGCAGCCATGCCAGCCAGGCCTTGACCCCTCGGCCCCAGGTACCTTTTATTTCCCTAACCTTAGGGGCCATCTCAGTTGAGAAAGAGGTATCTGTTTTGGTCTCTTGGGTCACAGATGATTCCTTTTCTTGGTGCTGGGCCCTGGGTGAGTTCTGGAGATAGGATTTCTGTTGACTGTTGTACTCGTCTGCTGGGGCTGCCGTCACAGAATACCATAGATCAGGTGGCTCAAACAACAGAAGTCTGTTTCTCACAGTGCTGGGGGCTGGAAGTCCAGGGCCGAGGCACCAGCAGGGCTGGTTTCTTTCCCCTGAGGCCTCCCCGAGGCCTGCAGATGGTGCCTTCTCCCTGAGTCCTCACGTGGCCTTTTCTCTGTACATCCCTAGTATCTTGTCCTCTTTTTATAAGGAAAATAGTCCTATTGGATTAGGACCCTACCATCATGATGTCATTTAATCTTAATCACTTCTTTAAATAGCTCATCTCCAAATAAAGTCACACTGGGGGTTAAGGTTTCAACTTCTGAATAGGGTGGGGTGGGGAAATACAACTTAGTCCATAGCAAATGTCGAGCCAGCAACACCTGCCACGATAGCACAGGTTTTATGAGGCTTTCTGTGTATTACATGACACGCAAAACACAACTGGCAAGTAGTAAGTGCTCAGTAAACGTAAGCTCTTATTTTATGTATACAGGGAAACTGAGGCCCACAGAATTGAGAATTTTTGTCCATGATTACGCAGATGGTCTCCTAACAGAG
The DNA here is from genome assembly GCF_000001405.40 of Homo sapiens. Lineage (NCBI taxonomy): Eukaryota > Metazoa > Chordata > Mammalia > Primates > Hominidae > Homo > Homo sapiens. Next base: position 130,432,256 of record NC_000012.12, on the reverse strand, counting down.
CTGGAATTAGATTGAACCGAGGCCTGAAGAAGACCTGTTTCCACGCCTTTCCCCATGTGCCACGTTCTCCTCACCTATCCAGGAGTGAATCATCACCTTCCCTGCAATCTGCTCAGATTACAAACCCGGAGGAAAGGCTGGAGCACTTGTTCTCTGGGTGAAGGACCCATACCCCCACTGGTTTTTGAGATCGGCATTCAGCGCTGTCTTATGGCAGCCACAGCCCCAGGTGGCCCCAGAGCCCTTGACATGTGGCCACCTGGGGCTGAGTGTGACTGAGGCCCTGAATTTTTACTTCTATAAAATTAGTTCCAGATTAGTTTACATTCTAATTAGTTTACATGTAAACAGCCACACGTGGCTGGTGGCCACCAGTGCTGACGCCCAGCTCTGGATGACCACACCTGCTACAAGAGATGACTTTTCTAGAGAAGAGTAGAAACACAGCGGCAGAAACACAGCTCTGCACTTCCGAGGGCCTCCCACTCCTTCTGATGAGACTGCAGAGGAAGTCTGTTTGGCCAAGCATGCTATTAACACGTTTTCCTGCTTGTTTTGTTTTTTAACAGAGCAAACAGGTCTGTTTCTATTAAAATTTAAAAAGCGTTAATATTTAGCAGCATTGTTTTATGTTGTATTCATAACATAATAATATAACAATATATTAATTGTTAATATATATTGTTAATAATATAATAATATAACATAAAATAAGTGATACTTATTTTCCATTTACAGTTGAGATATTTTCTTTAAAAGTAACGTTAAATATTGATTCAATTCAAAGAATACATTCATTAATCATACAGATGGCGTCTGGCTAGGTGACGCATCATGACAGTGGTAGGGAGTGACTGAAGTTGAGCTGGTGCACAGACTGCCAGTTTTACAACCCGGGAAGTGTTCCCTGACCATCCGCTTCCCCATGCTGCCCGCCCCGTCACATGAGCCCTTACCCCCTGGCGCTATCCCATCTGCTCCAAGACACCGATGTTCTAGTGGGTGGAAGCCTCCACTTTTAGTTGACTACGGTATCTCTAGCATTTCACACATAGTAGGTGCTCAATGAATGTTTGTCGAATGAATGAATGAAAGAAGGGAGGCTGAGAGTAGCTGGGACATTTGCTCTGAAAAAATCACCTCCATTCTCCCAATATTACAAAAGCATTTTCATTAAGTCCACAATGAGAAATGCTCACTGTACCAATAAATAATATCTTTAGTTATCTATTTTTAAAAGTATTTCATTGACAAAGATTGTCTATGTTCCGGGTGTACGTCTTGATGACCGGATGTGGGTACACATTACGTAAAGACTGTCAGCATGGCTGAGTGTGGTGGCTCAAGCCTGTATTCCCAGCACTTTGGGAGGCCAAGGCGGGTGGATCACTTGAGGTCAGGAGTTTGAGACCAGCCAGGCCAACATGGTGAAACTCCGTCTCCACTAAAAATATAAAAATTAGCTGGGCGTGGTGGCAGGTGCCTGTAATCCCAGCTACTCAGGAGGCTGAGGCACGAGAATTGCTTGAACCTGGGAGGTGGAGGTTGCAGTGAACCGAGATGGTGATACCACACTCCAGTCTGGGCAACAGGGTGAGACTCCATCTCAAAAAAAAAAAAAAAAAAAAAAATGACTGTCCCAGTCAAGTTAATTAGTACATCCGTCATTGCCCATGCTGAATACTAGGCCCCCAGAACCTGCTCCACATGTAACCGAAAGTCTGTACCCTTATTAAATCTAAGGAAAGAGGCTTTTAAGAGGAATTTGTGATTTTTAGTTTGGCGAGAGAAAAGGTGGTTTGCCGAGTGATAAGACTGAAGTTTGCTATAGTGATGATCCAAATCCTGTCTCGTGGAGGCTTTACCTCAGCCTCTTTATAAGTGAAATTTATAGCCACAGGCCTCCTGCTGGATGCGGGGCTCAGCACCTCCCCTATCCCCAGGGAGGGCCATCTGCCTGCTGGCATTCTCCACTGAGGACTGGAGGGTAAAGCTGCGTGTCCCCCTAGGAGAAGGCACCCACCAAGTAGAGTGTCTAAGGTTATGTTCTCTGTCAGCAGAGGCAAGGGCAGACCTGGACCCTGGTCCCAGCCCTGTCGTTTACTTGCTGAGCGCCTTCAGCCAGTCACTAGACATCTCACTGAAATGCTGGTGACCTTTGCTTAGAACACTATTCCAAGAATGGAGAGAGGGCTGACCTCAAGCATCTGGCGAATGCCAGACACCTCCTTCCGTCCCAGGAGTTGACCCCTAGCTCACTGCTGGGGTTGAATAAAGTGAGACTGTGCGGTGGTGCAGGCAGTCCCTCCCCAGAGGCCTTGGGAGGGCCTCGTTAGACCCAGTCTCACCTTTTAAATCCATTTAAACCCAGTTCGCTTTCGTGCCTTCCGCTTGGAGCCTGGTTGGAAGCATTAGGGCTGGCGCAGCTGAGAGGCTGGTGTTGCAGACTGCCCGGCCGAGGCCCTTCCCGTCCTCCCTCTCACGGGCTTGGGGCAGGGAACCTTCCGCCCGCAGCCCCACGCAGCTTCCCTCAGCAGGCCAGGAACTGACCGTGACGCCAATGCATACACATCTTCATCTGGGTTAGGAATTGAAACCAGATTTTTTTTTAGATAAATACGTCACAGAATGCTATTGAATACCTTTGTCTTGCCACACCTCCGCAAAATAAACTGTTCTTAATCGATACCATGTAGCAAAAACAGAATATCTTTATGGATGTATTACATTCATCAATCTGAGTGCATCAGAACGTGTAGTTCGAGTTGTCGAAGGTTTACTTTGCTTTGAATACCGTTACCACGTGACTAGGTGCTTTCTCTGTGAGTGGAAACCCAGCGGCTGCTGCTGGCACCATCACTGGGAGAGACCACCAGGGCTGTCGCTGTCTCCAAGCTGGCATGTTACCAGGTAGCCTCTTCATTTAAACACACTTTTTTTGTTGAAGCCTTTCTGCTGTCCGCAGCCTCCGCCCAGTGCCCCTACTATCTGCACAATCTTCGTCTCATGCTGAGGCTGAGCTGGGCCCGGAGTAAGCACACAGTCTGTGCGGTGGCTCCACCTCCTGCCAGGCCAGGCTGTCTGCCAGTGTCTGCGCGTGTGTGTTAGACAACGTGGCATGTTTTAAAAACCTAAGTGTCTTTTGTTTTGTTTGTTTTTTGAGATGGAGTCTCGCTCTGTGGCCCAGGCTGGAGTGCAGTGGGGCAATCTCGGCTCACTGCGAGCTCCGCCTCCCGGGCTCACGCCATTCTCCTGCCTCAGCCTCCCGAGTAGCTGAGACTACAGGCGCCCGCCACCACACCCGGCTAATTTTTTGCATTTTTAGTAGAGATGGGTTTTCACCGTGTTAGCCAGGATGGTCTCGATCTCCTGACCTTGTGATCTGCCCACCTCGGCCTCCCAAAGTGCTGGGATTACAGGCGTGAGCCACTGCGCCCCGCCTAAGTGTCTTTTTATGGTACATATACACCTCACCTTACCACTATCCCCCTGCCTCTCTGACACAATGCTGGATCCAGGGTACACCTGGTGTGCACTGATCCCCACCGTCACCAGAGTTTGGAGCCTTTGTCCAGCCAATAAGTTGGAGAAGCTGAGGGTGCCCAGAAATGGACATTCTGCCCGCGTGTCTTGTAAGCCCCAGTGGGTTTTCTATCTTGTCCAGAGCTCAGGTGTTTCTGTACCTGTTGGAGCTGAGAGACCTGCGCTGATCCCATCTGTGCCACTTCAACAGAGAGAGTGGGTGTGTCCTCTCTCCAGCCTCACTTTCCAGAACGAGTAACACACACCCTGTGCCCGTCTCTAGGCCTGTGAGCCCCGTGAGTCAGCGAAGCAGGGAAAGGGTTGGCAAGCTCAATCTGGCCTCTTGTAGGATGCGGGAGGAGCCACCCGCTCAGTAGCCCCTTTTCTTGGCCCCCAGCCGCACTGTTGCCATGGAGACGAGTACCACACAGAGAGCAGCCGGGGGTCTGACCTCTCAGACATCATGGAGGAGGACGAGGAGGAGCTGTATTCTGAAATGCAGCTGGAAGATGGGGGAAGGAGGCGGCCCAGCGGCACGTCCCACAATGCCCTCAAGGTGAGTGGCTGGGGAAGGGGGACCCTGCACTCCGTCCCCAGAGTAGCTCCATCCACGTCCCTTTGCTGGGGCTGGTGAGGCAGGCTCCAGAGGGGCCTTGCCCTACAACCAGTAGCCCTCGGATTTGGATTCGCTTCTTTCTCACTATTGAATCTGCATTTGGGAATTACCTACACTCCTGTCTTGCTCTTGGCCAAAAGGTCTGGGTAAAGGAGTTTAGAGGAATCTATTTGGCACCCTCCAGGGGGCACCCAGCTCTGTGCCAGGAACTGAAGTGGGGGGAATAGAACAAAGAAGAACCCCCTCCACAGCCTTAAGTCTCATCTCGAGAGAATCGGCAGCCGAGAGAGCGTGCATCAACCTCTAAATGTAAAGCGGAGGCCAGGACGGTGTGGTCAGCAGGGAGCTCCTTAAAGGAGGGCACTATGGTGGCCCTGCCTGGTGGTGGGCAGGGGTCAAGCACAGTGAGGTCGGAAGAGATGGGTGTCCCACATCTGATCACACCGGCCTCAAAGACAGGCTGGAGGCTCCATGCACCTGCTCAGACCACCTCCCGCTAGACCCTCTCCCTTCTGCTCTGGCAGAGGCCATCAGCAAGGGGTCGACGGGCAGTTACCTGCAGGAATATTGAGCTCGAGGCACCCTAGAGCCAAGGAGGGTGGGTTTCCCATCCACGTGGCTTTCCCTTGGTCCTGGCCTTGGGGAGATGTTTGTCATTGCTGCTGCGGTTGCTGGCCAGTGCGTCCGACTCCCGCATTCATGTGCTCTGCAGGGCAGTGCGGGATGACCAGCTCTATGCACCAGGCCCTGTGCTAGGCTAAGGGGTGCCCTCTTCAGGTCCCAACCTAATGGGGAGACAGACAAAGGCAAGCCATTGGTAGGAGCTTTGTGGGTTTTCCAAATGAAAAAGGCCTTGGAGAGGAAATCCCCCGGGACGAAGCTTCCCAGCACTGCTTTCTCCAGGAACAGAGGGCGTGCATTTTGAATGGTGGACAGAAGACTCATCCAAATCTGGCCTGCCAACTCGGTGCCTACTTGCATAGACAAGACTGACTTATGTTCTCCTGGCAAAGGCCCCTGGCAGGGCCTTGGGGGATGTCCTGTCACCAAAGAACATGCCAGATCCCTATGCAAACCCTGCATGGTGCAGCACGTGCTATCCCCGGCAGCTCCTCCGTCCCCGCTCCCAGGTGACACCACGGAGCAGATTCACACTGGCCTTTGCGGAGTGGTCCAGTCTGACCCCACGACCCCTCTGTGTGCCCCAGAGCCAGGAGCTCCGAAAAAGTGCCCATGAGTCAGGCCCGGTGAGGCGGGCAGCTGGTCTTCCCCCGCCCCCTGATGCCTTTCCTTTTGATGGAGGAAGAGCCCGGGAATTGCTCAGTAGAGAAATAATGTCACCTTCTCTCCTCAGAAGGTGGCCCAGGGTCAAGCGAGTTCATCATAAAGTTCCTGGGCTGAGCCCCACCCCCACAGGCACAGCCCCACTCCCTCCACCTCTTAGCAACAGGGGGATCGCCGGGGCTGGAGCTTGGCCAGGATGGCAGCAGCCTCCCTCTCCCATCCACAAGGTGTTGTCTGGTTTTAGAAATCATGTAGGAGGCTGGGCTCGGTGGCTCATGCCTGTAATCCCAGCACTTTGGGAAGCCGAGGCGGGCAGATCATGAGGTCAAGAGATCGAGAACATCCTTACCAACATATTGAAACCCCGTCTCTACTAAAAATACAAAAATTAGCTGGGCGTGGTGGCACGCGCCTGTAATCCCAGCTATTCGGGAGGCTGAGGCAGGAGAATCACTTGAACCTGGGAGGCAGAAGTTGCAGTGAGCTGAGATTGCGCCATTGCACTCCAGACTGGGCAATAGAGTGAGACACTGTCTCAAAAAAAAAAAAAAAATAGAAATCATGTAGGCAGGTCTGGATTTCTGGGTTCTCTTTAGAAATTACAAGATGTGGTACAGAGATCTGGCCACTCAGCGCACACGTTCTCACGTGGCAGTGAGGAGCTGTAGCGGAGCCGGATCCCTGATGGGCACGGCAGATGTTCGGCCCCCGCTGGCCCGGTTCACTCATTCCCGCCTGCCTTGGAAAGTGCCTGGGGTTGCCATCCCTGTCCTCTAAGGATGGTTTGTTTTCGATGTCCTTATTCGCTCCAATATTAGCTGATGTGCTCCCGAATCTGCAAAGTGAAGGGAGAGAGCTATCAGCTGCACAGTGTGTGCCCCGATGCCTCCTCACCTGGCTTGTGGCAAGTCCCAGGCCCATGGCAGACCCTGTGTTAGGCAAATCCCACATGGTCCCCAAGATCAAGGGGCCCACAGCAAGAGGGGGGACAGACAAGTGGCCCTGTTCCGTGCCCATGTGGCTCATCTCTACTGAGCATCCCGAGGGCCGACGGCCAGGACCCAGGGGCACGCTTTGCCTGGGCGGTCAGCCAAGCCCCCTTGAAGGAGAGACCAGTCAGGAGTCCTTCATGCTCTTTGGGTAGAGGGTGAGTTGAGGGCTGTCCCCGGCAGAGAGTGATGGCGTGCAGACGGGCAGTATAAAAGTCATGGACACTGGTCTGGTTAAGCAGCTCCCGGTGTGGCCAGCTCTGTGCCACCCACTGGAGACTGTGATGGCTCAAGTGTGGCTCTCAGGGACTTGATGCAGGATGCAGAGGAGACAGGCGGACCCCAGTCCTTTGCTGACACAGACTCTGCACGATGGTGTGCGGGCGCTGTTGGTGGGGCCGGGGATGGCGTGGTTTCACGCAGCTTGTATCTTAGGGAGAAGGGTGACACGTCAGCCTAACTAGAAAGTCCTGCAGAGGGTGCCGAGCGCTGGAAGGGAAGTTGGCCCAGTGGATGGACAGGGACGGGTCAGGCTCCGTGTCTGGTGAACTGTCTCCAGTCACACACGGCCTCCAGTGGCAGCTGCCCTCAGGGTTTCTGAGGATGTAGCCCCCGGGCAGTCTCCCCTGGCACCGTGGCCACACCCACCATCTACAGCAGCGGTACCGTGGGCACTGTGGGGCCTGATGTGCCGCCGGGATCTCACCTGCCCTCTCCTTGGCTGGATGCATGGCGCTGGCTCCTGCCCGGCCCGCTGGCTCTGCGTGTGCTCTGCCTCAGCCTCCACCCCGCCCCAGCCCCGTAACCCATTCTGTTTTCATTGCAGAGCCCTCCACGGCATGCCCCCGGCCTGAGTAGACGCATGCTTCCCCCCCCTCGGTGCCTCCAGGACTAATTCTGTCTGTATTTTCTTTCCTCCCCTGGCCCCCACTTCATGCTGACCACACACTCTTTCCCGCGCCTGTTCTTGACACACCACCCCGTAAGGACTGCACTGACCATAGGACCTCGGAAGGCACTTTCTGGGAGCAGCCCGAGTTTCCCCACCAGCCCCACAGGAAGAGACTTTTCAGTATCCCCGAAGTAGCGGAAGAGGACGGAGAGTGCTGTGGGCTGCTACACAAGCAGGGTGCAGGGCCGTCCCCCAGGGCCAGGACGGGGCTGGCCAGAGAGCCCAGGCCCGGCAGGCCCTACAGGGGCGACGAGGCCCCTCGGGGCTCCTGGTTCCCGGTGAAGCACAGGGGCTCGGGGGCCGTCCCCCACGTGGAGGACTTCCTTCTGGAAGACAGGGGCTGTCGGTTCAGCCGCTCGGCCACCCGGAGCCCGGACAGCGGCCTGGACTGTGGGAGTGAAGAGGACGAGTCGCGGTTTGGCTTCGGAAACACCGTGGCCGCGTGCAGCCCAGGCCCTGGTCACTGTCCCTGCAGGAGGGGCCCGAGGCCGCTGCTGGCCCGGCGGCGGACGCTGACCCGGCAGAGCAGCGTGGAGGAGGACTTTGGGGAGCAGGTGGGCCCTGGTGGCCTCCTCAGGAACGACGACCCCCAGCCCGGCCCGGAGAGGCCGCCCCCCAGGAAGCACGGCTGGGGCGAGCCCACCGAGCACCAAGATTTTCGGGGTGTCTGGAAGAAAAGCATAACCATGCCCGACAGTAGGGCAGCTGCCCCCCACGCAAAGCCACCTCCCAGAGTCGCACAAGGCCCCCTGGTGTGTGACCTAAACTTCCTTTTCACAGCCGCTTGCCAAACCAATCTGTCCCATCCTTTCACTGGTTTTCTGTTTGTTCTGGTGTCCATCCCTGGGGACTCTCTTGCTGGCTGTCTTTCGTTTTCCCTGCATTTTTGATTTCTCAAGTCCGATTTGCTTCCCAACCTTTTGACCATGCTGAAGATTTCTTTACTGTGCTTAGAGTAATGATTTCCACCCCCCAGAATCAGTAATGAGTATGGCTGCTTGAATTAAAGGACAACTGAATCTAAATTTTAATTAAGGGTTAGCTGAAGTGTGATTATCTGAAAGTTTGGCAACATGTTTGTGTTCACAGGGATCCTTAGGGATTTATTTATGACTACTAGTATTGTCGAGGGTTTTTTTTCCTTGTTATTTTGGAGTTTTTTTCATTGCTTTCTGACATTTATAACCAAAAAAAAAAAAAAAGATTGAAGAAATCTATTTTTTTTTTTTTTTTTTTTGCATATTGTTTCCAAAGTTCTTGTTTTTTTCCCATTTCTTTTCTGTGCCCACAGTTTCCAGAACAAATTTTCCATGATCAGCCTTCTCCCCGCCGGCCCTGCCGTCTGGGCTTGTTGTTGGTTTTGAGCATAGGGATTCATTGAAGGCTTCATTCATCTCTATATTGTGTCCTCTTTTCGGAACATTTGCTCCTGTCATGCTGACCTTTTCATTGAAAACACAGGTGAGCCATCCACATGGCGCCAGGCCTTGGGTCTGAGGCCGTGTGCTTGCGATGGGCCCACCCAGGAGAGGTGCGAGATCCGTGCCTCAGTGACTCAGCCGCCCACGGCAGCCCGCAGCCTCCCCTGCCCTGCCACAGGTTCTGCAGCAGACACGCCTCATCCCCGGACTCCCTTCCCACCATTCATGCCTGTGTTCCTGAGAACTTCCTCACTCCATTTACTTACTAGCAAGAAGAAGGTTTTGCTGTGATTGTCTTTAGTCAATCCTAACCCTGATCTAAAGGTGAATTTAGAGGTGAACTTAGCCAGAAAGGAGACCCGTCTGAGTCCTAGAATGTTACCAGCATTTTCAGATTAGGAGTAGAATGTTGAGTTTTGAAGCTGATAAAATGTAGAAACTTCCGTCTTTCAGTTTTTTGAAACCTCACATACGACTTTTATCCAAGCAGGACAGGAGGAACTGCAACATCTTCCCCACTTTCGTGACAGCTGGGAGGGGGGCATGTGGAGACTAAGAGGGACTCAGGTGCTCCAAGGAGCCAAGGCGGGGTGGGATGTATTCAAGCCATTGTCTCTTTGGTCCCAAAACATTTGTCTTCAGCACCAGCAGCAGCAACCAAAAGAGACCCCCCCACAAGGAATTATTTTTGCCCTCACCCCACCATGCGCCCAGCAGCGGCTCCGAGTAGACAGTGGGGTGCTGGTGCCCGGCTTTGTTCTCTCCCAGGCCATTCAGCTAACCTTTCAGTTAAAAGCTAAGTTTAGTTGCCTTTACAGATTCTGCTTTTCAACCCGCTTGATTTGGCTAACTGAATTCTTCAGTTCCCAATGCTGGCGAGACTTACGACTTTGTTGTTGTTTTGTCTTTAGATTTTAGGGAACCCAGCCTCTGCAGGACGGGTGGATCACATGGGCCGGAGGTTTCCCCGTGGCAGCGCTGGTCCTCAGAGGTCCCGGCCCGTGACAGTCCCATCCATCGGTTAGTGGCCCCATCATCGCTGTTGTGTCTTTCAGCCGCGGAGCATGTGGCTGCTTACTCCATCTAAGCATGAACAAAACTTTAGGAGTAGCATTTTCCGCTAAGCAAAGAACACTGTTATTCATGGCAAAAAGAAGGCAGGAACAGCACAAGATAAATGAAAGCTATTTGTAAGTATTCTTGAAATATCAAATTGGCCTTCTACATCCATGTTCTCCCAGCTGATTTTTTCCTGGAGAGCTTCACAGGGTAAGCACTGAAGGGGGGACCACTTTGTGTCACCTCCCTCATCCTGGCATGGGCTCCCTGGGACACTCAGGGTCACAGTCCATGGCAGGTGCAGAAGCTGGATGTCAGCGTGCCTCAGGGGTCTGTGAGCCCCACCCGAGGGAATGCTGCCTGTCTGCAGAAGACACGCTGGCAGCAGAGCTAAATCCTGGGGGACACCGTGCAGCTGAGTGTGCCCCTGAAATGTGTGCTCCCCACATCCATCTGGGCACCTCCCTTGCTCATGAGTCGTCATCTGGCATTCCGTTTCCATTCTCTTCCTGACTTTTTGGAATTCAGCCAGCCATGCTGAAAGCTATCGTTTTAGTCATCCTAATCAATCCATGGAGGGGGATACTTCTATTATTGGAATCAATCATGGCAAGGAGAATTCCAAAAAGTATTATGCACAAGATAATGGAAGCTGGTCATCAGCACAGAGGAACCAGGCTTCTATGAAAACACACACACACACACACACACACACACACACATATAAATGCAGGGAGAACTCTTGATACAGCAGAAATAGATGAGGAGAAACCGTCTTGGTTTGGCATGACAGGGCTCAAGGAGGATAACTTCTGGATAGTCTAGGCCACTGAAAAGCCACCTGGAATCTCGTTGAAATAGCTGAAGTTTAAAAGGCCATTGGTCTTTTCCATCAATTCAAAATGAAGAAAGGCTTCATAAAGCAAAACAGATTCTTTGAAATTGTGTCCTGCCAGACTTTTTCTTCCTTGTACAATTCAAACAATAAGAAAAAAATTCCATCTTCACAGCTTTTAGATTGTGTTTATGTTTCTCTGGTAAAAATTTCATGCAATGTTAAAGATCCTTAGGAAACCGTATTTTCAGTTAACTGAGTAATAAAAGATGCAGTCAGGCTCACAGAACATTGATGGCACTTATTACAGATCAGCTAGCAGGGTTAGTGGAGCCCAGATTCCTTTCGGGTATTCTAAACCTAGTGTGTGTCTCTCAAATCTTCATTCAATTCGTGTGTCGTTCCCTCTGGAGGGACTATGGAGCTTAATAAATCGGTTCTCCTGGCTTTCATGTTAAATGACCTGTCCGAGATGTCCTGCCTTGAGAAACGATGTGGGGAAAAGGCCAATCCCCCTGTTCAAGGCTCTCATTCTCTCTCTGTGGTTAGGGTGAGATTTCGAGTCTTCATTTGACTGTAACTTTAATGAGTGAAGACTGCAAGCATGGCTCAGGAAGTGACCTGGGGATGGTGTAGCCGCTGAGAAGTTAATGCTGTAGGCGCTCAGAAAGGACGTCCTTTGGAAGAGGCATGGTAGGTCTTCTACTCCAGTCTCCTAGGACTGAGAACTGAAAATTGTGCTGTGACAAATCAGCACTTGAGCCAGGAAGTCCAAGAAAACCAACCCTGGGCCTGCAGTCTTGCCAGGGTGACCCTCGCTGTCAGAGTCTGGTTTAAATCTACTGTCCTGGGTTGTCTTGTTGCTTGGACTTAGACTCAATATTGGCTTAAATAATTATTTTTTGTCTCCGCTTTGGTTTGCTATTTTCCTAGATCAGTATTGCTTTTCAAATGGCTGTATATTGTTGAGACTTTTTTTTTAAAACTGCATTCATCAGCAGTGAGAAGCTTTAAAGTTTTATTAGTATCATAAAAACCCTTCCCAAATGAAACTACTTTTGATGAATGTGGTTGGATTTTTCTGAAGCCGTAGAATTCCAAAGGCTGCATGCGTGTCTTAATTTCAGTAGCACACTTGTTAAATTGGGTGAAAGAGCAAATCTATGTCAACACCTTAACAAGGAAAAAGCCTCTGAACATAACTCAGAAAAGAGTTAACTGACAAACCTATGATAGGTTTGCTTTAATTGTGCTGACTTCTTATCATGTAGCAAGCCGGGACACCACATAAAATAACTCTAACCAGATACTTTACACACAAATACACATCTCAGCACCTATTATGGTTTCAAAAGGAAACAGAAGCGGAGGGTGCTTATCACCCACCTGAGGAGGAGGAGGACTCGGCAAAGAGCTTTGGGAAATGAACATCAGTGACAGCTGAACAGACAGGATATTCCTCTAGTTGTCATTTACTTCTATTTTTCTTGTGAAAATACTAGAAAACAATATTTTAGAAATCTATATTTCAAAGGATTACTTATCTTTTTCAGAGGAAATTAAGTCTGTAAACCATACACTTCCTATTTTTAATAAGCAGTGGACCTACAATGAAAAATAATATAAATTTTAATATTTTCTGGATTTCCAAAATTTAAAAAATGTCCTTCATGATTAAAAAACAAAATTATGTGGCTTCAAATATATACTTAATTAGGTTTGATTTTTATCCTTTATAACTTTTGGTCTTTGCATTTATCTAGTTGTTGACCTGTCAGACAGAAGGCCTGTAGCTTCACTCTTCTAAAACCGAAGCACCACGTTCAAGAGGATTCTGTTCTTAGGAATCAACTCTGAATATCTCCTCTGTATTCTCCCATTTTTTGTTATTTTGGCTACTGAGCCTACAAAGTGAGGAAAGTCCAGCGTGTTTTCTTTGTGTCCAGGGAGGAAAAATAAAAACATTAGTAACTCTATTGACAAAGCTTTGCCCCTTAAAAAGGGGAGCTCTTTTCTTCAGGTTTCCCTGCAATAAAAAAAATCAAAAGCTGTCAACTCTGTTTAATAGATGATTCCCTTTATCTCCATAGAAATTACAACGGACAGTAGCAGTGAGGGCAGTCGGTCTGGGCCAGGTAGTGAGGGAAACCTCTCTCCTGTAGAAGACGGTGCTTATTCTTATGGCACCAGTGGATTTGGGAGCCCACCCAGGCGTCCAGGCATGAGCCCTGATCTCCCACACGATATGCACACCCTTCCTCCTAACAAAGACCCCTTGGGCCAGCACACTTCCTCAGCAGGATGGGAGGCAGTGCCCACTCCCCCCAGGGTCAGACAGACAGCTGTAGGTAAGTGCTTCTTTCAGTCTCGCCTGCCATCACCAAGGACAAGGGACCCCCAACTGCCCAGTCCAGTCTGCAGTGAAGCCAAGTTTCCATGGACACATTCCAGGGAGGCTGCTACTCTTTCCCTGTCGAGGTTTGGTGCTCATAACACATCCAGTGCATCCTCTCTGGAAGAACATACGGTGGAGTCACCGCATACGCTGATTTTATTCACATACGTTCAACTCCAAGTGCTCCACCCACCTCTACCCCACACCTGTCTTCCCCCCAAAACAACGTGACATTGTGGGCAGTTCTCTGGAAGGAGCCTTCGTTGGGGGACTGGCCTCAGGCAGCTCTGTGTTGGGGTGTCTGCCTAAATGCCTCCCGTGGTGTGGCCAGTTGCATGGTCCATGTGAGTTTGGACTTGAAGACACAAAGATGTTTTCACAGATCATGGTCCTTGAGTATAAGCCACCTACTGAGAAAATGCACTCTTACGTAGGCTATAGGAGGGACCTGAAAGATTTTCAAGGGGTATGTTGACCACACCCAACTCTCTCTAGAATCTGACCTTAGCCCCTGACCCCTCTGCACGTTTTGATGCCACAAACTTGCCACATAAACTCAGCTGGGAAGTGCTGAGAACTTGCTTGGAAAATGGTGTAGCCAGAGGTTCTCCTCCACTGGCATTTTTCCGTACCTGGAACTGCATTCACTAGATCACACTGACATGGTCATTAAGTTCCTCCAGCAGATCTCCAGCAGAATGGAAAGCAGGCGTCCTTCTCATGCAGCCACAGCTGTTCTCCACCATCATCCCTGGGTGTGAGCAGGGGCTGCACAGCTGTGCCTGTTGTAGAGGCCATGGAGCGCTTCACATTCTATTGAACTCAGATACCACTTGAAACTAGAAAAAAGTCAGGTTTTTTCATGGACTATCAACAAAATCATAACAGCCTGGAGAAATTAATGAAGGCTGCTGTGGAAAAGGTTTGTTCCCTGGCAGAAATTACTGACATTTTAGATTAGGCATTCAAAAAAGACTCTGAATCTCAATAATGTAAACAATTCATTGCATTTTAAAATTCAACCTTTCCTGCAGCCAAAGTGCTTTTGTTAGACTGCGTGTTTTATTTTTTCTGGTGAAAGAGGCCAAACGGTTTGGTTCTTTCTCCACCACCTGTCCTGTCTCTTCTGCATACCTGTGTCATCTCGTCCCACCACCTGTGTTCCTCGTGCTGGGACAGAAGCTCACACTGGGCTGCTTCTCCCAATGCTGCTCTCTCTGCTGCCAGCTGGCGTGTTTCTCACTTGCTTCCCTGATGGTGTTGTGAGACCACCTCCCATGATCAGACCAATATTATCTGTCAGTTCCCTCTCCCCTCCCATTCTCTCTCCATACATATATACACATATGTACACATCTATCTAATGATGTTTAGTGATCCACATGTATATATATGCATATGTATTAGGATTTCCAAAATAATTGTTTTGATTTCTTAAAATAAACTTTCAACTTTTATTTTGGATTCACTGGGGTACATGTGCAGGTCTGTTACATGGGTATAGTGCAGAATGCTGATGTTTGGGTTACAAATGATGCCATCATCCAGGTAGTGAGCATAGCGCCCCGTCAGGAGTTTCTCGGCCCTTGCCCCCTCCCTCCTTCACCATCTAGTGTTCCCCAGTTTCTGTTGTTCCCATCTTCGTGTCTATGTGGACCCAATGTTTAGCTCCCACTTATAAGTGAGAGTATGAGGTATCTGGTGTTCTGTTCTTGTGTTAATTTTCTTGGGATGATGGCCTCCAGTGGCTGCAGAGGACGTGATTTTGTTCATTTCTCTGGCTGCATAGCATTCCATGTGGTATACGCACCACATCTTTATTCAATCCACTGTTGATGAGCATCTAGGTTGATTCCATGTCCCTGCTATTGTGAACAGTGCTGCGATCACCATATTGAGTGCCTGTGTCTTTTTGGTGAAACGACTTCTTTTCCTTTGGGTATATACCCAGTAATGGCACTGGTGTGTCAAATGGTAGTTCTAAGTTCTCCAAGAAATCTCCAAACTGCTTTCCACAGTGGCTGAACTAATTTCCGTTCCCTCCAATGGTATATACATTTTTAAGTGTTTCTTTTCTTTGCAGTCACCCCAACGTCTATTTTTTGACTTTTTAATCGTCATTCTGACTGGTGTGAGATGGTATCTCATTGTGATTTTGTCTTGGATTTCTCTAATGATTAGTGATGTGGAGCATTTTTATTTATTTTTATACATTTTTTAAATATATTTTTTATTTATATTTTATTATCTGCTTGTATGTGATCTTTTGAGAAGTCTATTCATGTCCTTTGCTCTTTTTAATGGAGTCATTTTTTGCTTGTTGATTTAAGTTCCTTGCAGATTCCGGACACTAGACCTTTGTCAGATGCACAATTTGCAAATATTTTCTCCCATTCTGTAGGGTGTTGTTCACTCTGTTGATAGTTTCTTTTGCTGTGCAGAAGTTCTTTAATTAGGTCATGCATGTTAATTTTTGTTTGTGTGGCAATTGTTTTTGTGGTCTTAGTCATAATTCTTTGCCAAGGCTGATGTCCAGAATGGTATTTCCTAGGTTTTCTTGCAGTATTTGTGTAATTTGAGGTCTTACGTTCAAATCTTTGATCCACCTTGAGTTAATGTTTGTATATGGTAAAAGGTAGGAGTCCAGTTTCAATCTTCTGCATGTGACTAGCCAGTTATCCCAGCAGCATTTATTGAATGGGGAGTCCTTTCCCCACTGCTTATTTTTCTCAGCTTTGTCAAATATCAGAGGGTTGTAGGCATGTGGTTTTATTTCTGGTTCTCTATTCTGTTCCATTAGTCTGTGTGTCTGTTTTTGTACCAGTGCCATGCTATTATAGTGACTGTAGCCTTATAGTATAGTTTGAAGTCAGGTAATGTGATGCCTCCGGATTTGTTCCTTTTGCTTAAGACCACTTCGGCTATTTGGGCTCTTTTTTGGTTCCATATGAATTTTAGAGTAGTTTTTCCTAATTCTATATAAAATGACAATGGAAGTTTGATAGAAATAGCATTGAATCTGTAGGTTGCATTGGGCAATATGGCTACTTTAATGATATTCTAACCCATGAGCATGGAATATTTTAGCATTCATGTGATCTATGACTTCTCTCAGCAGTGTTCTGTCGTTCTCCTTGTAGAGATCTTTCACCTCCTTGGTTAGGTACATTCTGTGTGTCTTGGTTAGATGTATTCTGTATATTTTGTGTGTGTGTGTGTGTGTGGCTATTGTCAATGGGATTGCATTCATGATTTGGCTCTCAGCTTGAACAATTTATTGGTGTATAGAAATGCTACTGATTTTTATACATTGATTTTGTATCCTGAAATTTTATTGAAATTGTCTATTGGTTTAGGAGCCTTTTAGCAGAGTCTTCAGGGTTTTCTAGGTTTAGAATCATATCATCAGTGAAGAGAGATAATTTGACTTCTTATTTCCTATATGGATGCCTTATCATCAGTGAAGAGAGATAATTTGACTTCTTATTTCCTATATGGATGCCTTGTCATCAGTGAAGAGAGAGAATTTGACTTCTTGTTTCCTATATGGATGCCGTATCATCAGTGAAGAGAGATAATTTGACTTCTTATTTCCTATATGGATGCCTTTTATTTCTTTCTCTTGCCTGACTGCTCTGGCTATAGCACTCCAGTGTTGAACAGGAATGGTGAGAGCAGGCATCCTTGCCTTGCTCCAGTTCTTAAGGTGAAGGCTTCCAGCCTTTGCCTGTTCAATATGATATTGGCTGTGGGTTTGTCACAGATGCCTCTTACTATTTTTGAGGTACATCTTTCAATGCCTAGATTGTTGAGGGTTTTTTTAATCATGAAGGGATGTTGGATTTTATTGCAAGCTTTTTCTGCACTATTGAGATAATCATATGGTTTTTGTTTTAGTTCTGTTTCTGTGGTGAATCATATTTATTGATTTGCATATGTTGAACCAATCTTGCATCTGAGGGATAAAGCCTACTTGATCATGGTGAATTGTCTTTTTGATGTGCTGCTGGATTCAGTTTGCTAGTATTTTATTGAGGATTTTTGCATCTGTGTTCATCAGGGATATTAGCCTGTAGTTTTCTCTTTTTGTTGTGTCTGTCAGATTTGGGTATCAGGGTGATGTTGGCTTCATAGAATGAGTTAGGGTGGAGTCCTTTCTCCTCAATTTTTTGGAATAGTTTCAGTAGAATTGGTACCAGCTCTTCTTTGTATGTTGGTAGAATTCAGCAGTGAATTCATTTCATCAATATTGGTCTATTCAGGGTTTCGATTTCTTCCTGATTCAATCCTGGGAGGTTGTGTGTGTCTAGGAATGTATCCATTTCCTCTAGTCCAAAAGAACCACTTTTGGAAGCTGGGTGGTATATGGAGTTGAAACCCAATTCACCAGGAAATTATTAATTCACTGTAATAAGGATGCATTTGTTGCCAGTTACATATTTACGTAAGTGAACAGTTGGTCACCTCTATGGACTTTGACTAACATACAAACATTTTAAACGTGGGCTGTGCTTAGCTTTCCATTTTGCAGAGTGTGTGGGTCCTGGGAAGGCTCCCCAGCATGGGCCATCCTGCCCCTGGCACGGCCGCAGCCCCTGCCCCAGCCTGTGCTCTCTGAGGAGGCCCCCGAGGCCCAGCCCTGTCTCAATGCTTTCACATGCAGTGTGGCCAGGTACAGAGTGTGGCTGTGGTTATGTGCTTCTCCAATTCATCTGACCTAGACCTCCCGATCTATTTCCACCTACATGTTAAGACACAAAAAAGACAAAAGTCAAGGAACCGCTGCCATCCTCACTGCTTTCCAAAGCTGCATTTCCCGTGCACGCTCCTCAGTTAGGCTCACTGCCGCTCTGTTCTTCACCCCCACTTGCTCGCAGACGATTACGGGCGAGACCGCCTTTCTCCAGACTTCTATGAAGAGTCAGAAACTGACCCTGGTGCCGAAGAGCTCCCGGCCCGGATCTTTGTGGCTCTCTTTGACTACGACCCGCTCACCATGTCCCCAAACCCAGATGCTGCAGAGGAGGAGCTTCCCTTTAAAGAAGGCCAGATCATCAAGGTGCGGGATGGCTGCCTGCGGGCGGCTTCATCAGCCCCTGAGGCGGGTCTGGGTCATGGGGGCAGAGACTGGCAACAGGGTATCGACTTAGAGATGGCCTTCTCCTGCAGGCCATGGGCGAGGCACGGGAGGAGGTGGCATGGTGCTGTGACGGCAAGGGCCCTGCCCTCTGCAAAGTGCCTTCTCCAGCATCTGCCCGGTTTGTGTGCACACAAACACACCCAAATATGTCCTGTGAACTCTGGATTCTATTAGGGCCTACGTTGTTGAGAAAAATAACACAGGCTCCAAATTTTAAAACAACACTTGTCAGTCAGCAGACAGGCAGGGAAGAGAGGAAGGAGGGAGAGGGAAAGGGAGGGAAAAAGGGAAGAAGGGAGCATCAGCAGCTAGAGGCTGGAGTTCCATGCCTTAGTTCTTTAATACACCTGATGGAGGTTGTTTCCTATCCCTTTGGTACCCAGTTCCTTTTTTTTTTTTTTTTTTTTTTTTGAGACAGAGTCTT